>NC_000003.12:56373636-56676666 GCF_000001405.40 Homo sapiens
ACAGTAAATATTTTAGTCTTTGCTAGCCAAGACCGTCTCTGTTGTAACTACTCAACTCTGCCATTGTAGCACAAAAGCAGCCAGAGACAATAAAATGAATGAGTATGACTACTGTATGAACTTTAATTATTTTTTATTTCCTAAATGTTATGTATTCATGTGTTTATTTTATAAATTTTATTTATGGACATGGACATGCGTATTTCATGTAATTCTTGTGTGCTCTGAAATGCATTCTTTTGTGGGTTTTTTTAAACCCCATTTAAAAAAGTCAAATTCATTCTTGCTCGTGGGCTATACAAAAACAAAAGGTGGGACTAACTTGGACCTTTGATCCTCGTTGGCTGACTGCTGGTCTAAAGAGGAGTTGTCCCAGTTTTCCTTTATAATATCATCTTCAATCAAGTTCACACCTTGCATGCCCACCCCTATGCACAGAGGCCATCCAGTGTTTTTGTTTGTTTGTTTGTTTGTTTTTGAGACTGAGTCTCGCTCTGTCGCCGAGGCTGGAGTGCAGAGGCGAGATCTCAGCTCACTGTAACCTCCACCTTCCAGGTTCACGCCATTCTCCTGCCTCAGCCTCCTGAATAGCTGGGACTACAGGCGCCTGCCACCACGCCCAGCTAATTTTTTTGTATTTTTAGTAGAGACGGGGTTTCAGCGTGTTAGCCAGGATGGTCTCGATCTCCTGACCTCGTGATCTGCCCACCTCAGCCTCCCAAAGTGCTGTAATTACAGGCAAGAGCCACAGCGCCTGGCCCAGTGTTTGTTTTTAAACAATAAATATAGCCAACACTTTTTACATATGTATTACTTATTACACTTAGTACTTGTGATGTACTTACTCTATGCCAGGCTATGTGTGAAATGCTTTGAGTATACCATTTAATTTATTCCTCCCCTAGACCTTAAAGATGGGTTCCATCATTATCTCCATTTACAGATGAGAAAACTGAGCCTAAGAGAGGTTAAGTAACTTCCTGAAGGTCATGAAACCAGTAAGTGGTAGGGCTAAGAAGTTTGACTCCACAGCCCCTGTTATCAGTACCCACTATTATGTCATCCTCAAAGCGCTTCTGTGGGACAGAAGGCAGGAAAGAAGAGTAAAAATCAACCAGGATGCTTGTTATTTGAAGAATAGCCAGCAGGAGACATCAACAGAGCAAAGGCTACAACCACCAACACAATACAGAAAGCTCATATTTTTACATTTCTTTTGAAAAATGACTAATCCTGATTATCTCAGTCTTTTATTTAATGGTGAATACTGCCAGTTTCAATGCAATAATATTTCAATTCAATAATAAACTACTAAGCATGAGGGACTAAAATCTAACTGAACATCTATTCAGTGTCTTCCTAGTTTATACTTCTTTGAGATGGATGAGAGCAGCCATCCCTGTATTCTTCCTCAGTGCTTGCATCAAGGGAGGGGACCCAGGATGCTCCCAAAATTACCAGGTTGCATTTGTCCACCACAAGGGAGAATTTACATAGTAATCTCTCCCCAAAATCCTTCCCTCTAGGAAAAAGTCTCCAAACTTCTCTTCCTAGAATCAGGAGGCCAGAATCCTGGAGCCAGGGCTAAGCATGGGAGAGCGGGAAAGGGATGAAGATGCCAAGGGAAATTAGATACAGTGAACCCTAGCCCAAAGGGGCTCCCAAAACATCAGTTCTGAATAGGTGGGAAGAGAGTCAAGAACCAAATCTAAAGTCAAGGGTCCCCAGTTTGGGTCAGGCAAACAGGGTAGGCCCAGTAGGAGGAAGACACTGGTGGCTAGAGAAGAGAGAATTTTTGTTGAGGTTGAGCCTATTGCCTCATTCATTCCTTCAACAAATTTGTACGAATATCACTTTGTGCCACAACTCTAGGCCTTGGGGATACAGCAGTCAACAAGACAGGCATGGTTCCTGCCCTCATTGGGTTTATAGGCTGTTGATGGAAGGCAATCCAATAGTAATAATAAAGGTAGAGGAACATACAACGATGAAACACTAAATCTTATAGAAATACTAGAGGGAGAGAATCATTAAGGGTGCTGTGTTAGGCAGCTTCGTAAATTGTTCCTAATACTCTCCACCTCCTGGTATGCATGCTCTTGTGTAATTCCCTCTACTTGATTGTGGCCTCGATCTAGCAACTTGCATCCATTGAACAGAAAGTAGGAAGTTATTAAAAACCATGATTTCTGCCAGCTTACATCCTCTCTTTCTTGCTCTCTCTTGCTCAATCACTCTGAGGGAAGTCAGCTGTTGCACTGTAAACTGCCCTATGGAGAGGCTGAAGTGGCAAGGAACTAAGGAAGACCTCCAGGTAACAGCCCATGAGAAACTGATGCCCTCAGTCCAATAGCCCACAAGGAACTGAATCCTTCCAACAACCGCATGGATGAGCTTAGAAGCAGATTCTTCCCCAGTCAAGCTTTCAGATGAGACTGCAGCCCCAGGTGGCACATTGATTGCAACTTGTGTGAAACCCTGAGCTAGAGGATGCAGCTAAGCTGTCCTCAGATTGCTGGCCCACAGAAACTGTGAGATAATAAATATTGTTGTTTAAAGTCAGTAAGTTTTGAGGGGATTTGTTATAAAGCAATAAACTAATACAGATTCCAATCCAGGTTGCCCAGAAAATATCTACCAAACTCTCTCAGACTTACCCTGTTTCTCACAAGAGAAACAGATTATAGAGCATTTACTAACAAGGCCCAGAATCTCTGATAACATTGGTAACATTGAGATTGATGTTGCAAATGGAAACCATCCCTCTCAATGGGTGAGGCTGAGCTGGCTCCAGCTGTGAGACAAAGAATCTTAATTGCTCCCAAAAAAAAAAAAAGAGGTGAGTTGGCCGGGCACAGTGGCTCATGCCTGTAATCCTAGCACTTTGGGAGGCCGAGGTGGGCAGATCAGAAAGTCAAGAGTTTGAGACCAGCCTGACCAACATGGTGAAACCCTGTTTCTACTAAAAATACAAAAATTAGCCAGGCATGGTAGCACAAACCTGTAATCCCAGCTACTCAGGAGGCTGAGGCAGGAGAACCGCTTGAATCCGGGAGGCGGAGGTTGCAGTGAGCCAAGATTGCACCACTGCACTCCAGCCTGGACAACAGAGCAAGACTCTGTCTCAAAAAAAAAAAAAAATGAGGTGAAAGAAGAAAGTCCCTCTTTTGGCAATGAGCTAAGAGTGGGGCAGATTAAGAGGAGTCTAGTAGAACCAGAACAGAGAAAAGTACAGTAATTAAAGAAGTCGCAATACATGGGAGGCTATTTCTAAAATATCATTTGGGAGGCAACAGATGAACTGACTTAGCCAGATTCGGTTTTTCAAGGGTAAGAAGCACATGTAATTATAATGGTCCTTCAGTGCTCCCACAGTATCCTGATGCACCTCCCCCCATCACGATCCCTTAACATGCTTAACTCAATGAACTGTTTACTGTCCTGTTTCTCCGATTAGAGGCCCAATGTTAATATCAATTACCACTGTATCCTAGTGTCTAGTACAGTGCCTGCCACACAGTAAGAATTCAGTATATACTTGTCAAGTGAGTAAAATATACCAGTTTTGTGACAAAAAATATGCATAGGAAAAAGACCAGAAAGGAACACATGAAAACATAAACAATCTTCTACTAGATGGAAGAGTATGATCCTTTTCCTTGATATACGTGTCTCCATTTTGTCTGCACATAGACTTGTCTGTGCAATGTCTATAATGCAGAGAAAGAAATGCCTGAGGATGCCATAAGACAGATCTTTTGGGTCCTACAGAGTTTACTTTCATAATTTTATAATATTAAGATTGTTGCCATAAATTTCCAAACTCAAAGACATTTATAGTAGATTATCATCTCACTTGTCAATTTGTCAACCTGAAAACTGAGTTCTTAAGCACCATGTAGAAACTTTCAAATATAAGTTAAGATATCAACACCTGCAGAGCAATATTATGCATAAAGATGTAAAATTAATCATTTCACACATTAGGCCCCCCAAAAAAGATAACAAATGGGAGATCATATCGTATTAAAAATAACCATGTGAGATTCTTTGGATTGTGCGGTAGCACAGCTCTCACCAAACTTCAAAATACTCTGGAATTCGGGTGCAGTGATTCATACCTATACTCTCAGCTACTCGGGAAGCTGTGGCAGGAGAACCACTTGAGCCCAGTAGTTCCAATTCAGCCTAGGCAACATAGAGAAACCCTATCTCCAAAAAAAAAAACAAAAAACAAAAACAAAACAAAAAAAGTATCGGAGCATCCAACCTAGCAAGCAATATTGCCCCAAAATGCAATCAATTAAGTGGAAGATTTTGCATGCATGTATGTGAATTTCACATTTTTATCCTGAGTCACCAGATCACAAAACCAGCAAGCTCAATCTTCTTGAAGGGAGCAGATCGCCCGCCCAGAAGCTCAATACCTTCCATTTGGGAACCCAAAGGACTATAAATCATGCTGCTATAAAGACACATGCACACGTATGTTTATTGCGGCATTATTCACAATAGCAAAGACTTGGAACCAACCCAAATGTCCAACAATGATAGACTGGATTAAGAAAATGTGGCACATATACACCATGGAATACTATGCAGCCATAAAAAATGATGAGTTCATGTCTTTTGTAGGGACATGGATGAAATTGGAAATCATCATTCTCAGTAAACTATTGCAAGAATAAAAAACCAAACACTGCATATTCTCACTCATAGGTGGGAATTGAACAATGAGATCACATGGACACAGGAAGGGGAATATCACACTCTGGGGACTGTTGTGGGGTGGGGGGAGGGGGGAGGGATATCATCGGGAGATATACCTAATGCTACATGACGAGTTGGTGGGTGCAGCGCACCAGCATGGCACATGTATACATATGTAACTAACCTGCACAATGTGCACATGTACCCTAAAACTTAAAGTATAATAAAAAAAAAAAAAAACAAAGGCAGCAATCTGAAACTGGTTCTCAAGATTGTGCTCTAGATTTATACAGATAGAAAACATTTTTTCCATATAATTCCAAGTTCCCAAAAGAGCCCAAAATCATTCATATGTCCCAAGTTTAGAATGTCACCAAATAAGCCAGATGAATTGAGTTCAGAGACAGGCTCCCATTCCTGCCTTGTCATGACTATACCAGCAGTGTGCCAGAAACAGTTAAGGGACACCTCCACTGCAACAGAGGCACTGTGATTTGGCAGATGTACCTCCATTCGAGAACCCTGGCCTCTTAAGTTAGCCCTGCACAGTCCAATGGAAGTGTAATGCAAGCCACATGTGCAATTTTATATTTTCTAGTAGCCACATTTTAAAAATATAAAAACAAATAGGTGAAATCCATTTCAATAACGTATTTTATTTAACCCAATATACCAAAAACAGTGTTTTCGCAACATGTAATGAATATTAAAAATCACTGATACTTTACATTCTTTTTTGTTGTATTAAATCTTTTAAATCCCATGTGTATGTCATACTTAAAGCGGTCAATTCAGATAGCCCACAGTTCAAATACTCAATAGCTACAGGTGGCTACTGAGTATTGAGTATACCATATTGGCTATTAAGTATACCATACTGGACAGTTCAGGGTAAATGCACTTATCCTATCTGACTACTCAGGAGAGACCTTCTTGTGTTATT
Organism: Homo sapiens; assembly: GCF_000001405.40. Taxonomy (NCBI): domain Eukaryota; kingdom Metazoa; phylum Chordata; class Mammalia; order Primates; family Hominidae; genus Homo; species Homo sapiens. Next base: position 56,379,290 of record NC_000003.12, read on the forward strand.
ACTTATGAAGATAGCTCATCTCTCATGAATTTAAGTCAAAGCCAACCATATAGAGATGAAAAAAAACCAAAATAACCTGGTGTAGCTTCTATTCACTGGTGAAATAATATATACTGAACACCTTCTCTGTGCCAGGCACTGAGCCAAGGGCTTTACATAGCTCACTCCATTTAATGCTCACAGCAACCCTAAGAGAAGGTACAACTGTAATCCCCATTTACTTATGATGAAACTGAGGCATAGAAAGTTAATTTCCCTAAGGTCACACTTCAAGCAGGTGGTGATGCTTGGATTTCAACTCGAGCAGTCTGACTCTACACTGCACACTCTACCCACTGCACATACTCAACAAGAGGGAGTAAAAGAAGGATATGAAATGCACGGTTAAGAAATCTTAGTCTGACATGAGTGTGCATATCAGAAAAGAATCAAGAAAGTATTTGAAAGCCTGCGACAGAAATCTAGGCTTGAGATACAGAGATAAATTCACCTACAAGGTAAGGAAGGGAAGGGAATGAAATATGTTCAACAGGAAAAATAGAATTAAGAACTAACTAAAATTTTGTGTCAACAACTGATGACGACAATGATGATGATGATAAGAACTAACATATTTGGAGCCTTTGCTCTGGGTCACGCATTGTTCTAAAGTCAGTTTCTCAGCCTCAGCATTATGAACGTTAGGGCTGAGTAATGATTGTAGGAGCTGTCCTGTGCATTGCAGGATGTTGAACAGCACCCCGGGCCCCCTCACTAAATATAAGGAACAGCACTCTACTCTCAATTAGCAAACAATCAAAAATGTCTCTGGCCATTGTCAAATATTCCCCTGGGAAGCAAAATTGCCCCCTGTTGAAAACCCTCAATCTGAGTGTTTCATATACATTATCTCACTTATTCTTGACAGCAGACGTCTGGGGAGACATGATTGCTTTATAGATCAGAAAACTGAAGGTGTGGTTGGGCAGCTGACCTGAGGTCCTGTCGCTAATAAGTGAAAGAGCTAGACAAATCCAAATTTGTCTGATTCTAAAGTATATTTTTACTGCTAGCCCCCAGTACAAGTTCTCGTCTCATCTCCAATTCATACAGGGATTTGTGTGCTTTCCCACTCCCTGGGCTGATGCTAGAGATGAACAGAAACAAAACACTGCTGGACACTCCTCACCGAGAAGTTCTCCTGCCACAATCACCTTTTGTGTCTCCTTTCCACCTTGTGTCTCTTCGCTCTATTTGGACCCACGTTTTCTTGGCTAATAGCCTTTCAGGAAATAGGCATGGTATGAATGAACAGATAAATCTTTAAAGCCTGAATACATACTTATGGAGAACGAGTCCTCAAACTCAATACAAACATCCAACCAACTGCAATTAAAAGCCACAAATATGTTTTTATAAGAAAATTAAGCTATCACCATATCATCTTTGATATAAAGTGAGATATGACTAAAAATGGAGGTAAAGTTCAAATTGCTACAAGTTGTAAATTTGTTCTTGAAATATCAAACACATGGGAAACAGAAGCTAATTATTTTGTCCTATTTTTGTATGTGAAAATTACTTATAATCTGCCTGTTAAACAATTCAAAATTATTTTAAATGATAATTGACCATCAAACTAGGCCAATTTACACCTACAATCCCTCTGAAATTGCCTAGAAACTGGGACAACTGCAGAAGAAAAGAAAAACACTTCCATTTGCGTCAATGTCTTTGTTTTTCATCCATCAGTCTCCAAGGCTGCAAAATCAGAAAAGCTTAAGCACAACTGATTAATAAGGAAGCACTTTAGGACTTTGCATTATTTGATTATGCCAAGAAAAACCTTATAATTCTCATAAATTCATTATTCCGATATTGGTCATGAGGAAGTCTACTTTTTAAAGAAAAAAATGGGGAATTTCTTCTTATAACTTCATTGTCAATATTTTTAAAGTATTATATGATTTGTTTAATGCCTTTAAGCCCATCCCAATGAAGGAAAAGGGCATTTGTTTTCGTATTACAATCATTCCTGGGTATACTTAGGGGATTGGTTCCAAGACCCCCTATGCATAACAAAATTCACGCACACTCAGGTCCTGCAGTGAGCTGTATAGAATCTGCACGTACAAAAAGTTAACCCTCCGTATTGGCAGGTTTTGCATCCTGTGAATACTGTATTCTCAATCTGCATTCAGCTGAAAAAAAAATCCACGTGTAAGTGGATCCTCACAGTTCAAACCCATGTAGTTCAAGGGTCAGTTGTAATTTACTTTTAAAAAAAAATATGTTAGCCAGTTGCAGAGAATAGATTCAATAGCAGATTCTTCTTAGTGTCTCAAAGATCAACTTAAGGAGAAAGACCAAAAGGAGGGAAAGCAAAGCAGAGAGGGAGGGGAACAGAAACAAAGAGACAAAGAAGGAAGGAAGGAAAGAGAGAGAAAGGAAAAGAAAAAAAATAGAAAAAAAGTAAGGTGGAAAAAGAAAAAAAGGGGGGGGTGGAAAAAAACCAGGCAAAGTGATCTCTGATGGCTCATGAGAGACTCTGATCTCCCTATAGCTCTGTATATCCCAGAATCTGAAATTCTCAAAATCCCTTCACTGTGCATTCTGGAACTCAGGGTCCTCAAGAACAAAGATCTCCTATACCCTCAACCTCTTCGAAAATGATAGCTTCCCTTTCCTGACTTAATCCATTCACCTTTCCACCCTTGTTGGCAAGTACTTCATACCTTCTCCTTCAAAGCTTCAGCACCTCTTTCCCCATACTCACTTTTAACTATTGGCCTTCCTTCCCTTTTCACCCAGAAATGGAAACCACAGAAGAGAATTTCCTTTACCTGCAGCACCCCATCAACTCACGGACTTGCATCTCTGCCCAGATCCTCTGCCATCCCTCCTGTAACTCTGGGTGCCCCAACACGTGTGCCTACCCATAGTAGCCCCTCCTCTTGTGTACTAGATCCCATCCCACCCCCCTGCTCATGGATACCACTGCAGCAGTGCATTTTCTACCAGGTCAGATCCTATCAGCAGACAAATATATCATCATGTCTCTCATCTCAAAAAGGCCTTCTCTTGACCTCTACTTCTTTCTCCACCTACCATCCTATTTCTCTCCATTCTTTATAGCAAAACTTTTAGAAAAAGGTGTCCAGGTTTATGGCCTCCAATCAGAATCAAACTTTCCCCCCACCATTTCCCCAAAATAGCTCTTAGCAATATTGATGTCATTAGTGACCTGAATAAATCCAATGGTCAATTTTCAGTTTTCATATTTCCTGATCTATCTAAAGTATTTGAAACAAATGATCATGCCCTCCCTTGTTGAAACACTTTTCTTCATTTGACCTTAAGGATACCACACTCTCTTGTTTCATTCCAACTCATCTACTCAACCTCTTAATGTTGCAATATCGCAGTGTTCATTCTCTGGCCACCTTTTTTTCTCTATATATGATTATATTCTATATTATACTCACCTTTTTCATGACTGGATGCAATCTTTCTGCTAATCAGTCCCAAATTTATACCGTTAGGCTTGCTATCTCATCCCTGGACTCGAAACTGCAAAGCCAACTAATTAATCATCTTCACTTGGATGTCTAATAGATACCCCAAGGTTCAGATGCCCAAAACCAAATCCCTGGGTTTACCCTCCAAATCTGCTTCCTTGTACTTTCCCATCAGTAAATGACAACTGCATCCTACCAGTTGCCCAGGCCCCACACCTTAAAATCATTCTTAATTATGTTTTTTTTCCCATCCCACAATCAATCCATCAGTAAATCTACCCAGCTTTATCATCAAATACTGCCATAATCTGACCACTTCTCACCACCTGCACTGCTCCTATCCTGGTGCAAGTCACCAACCTCCTTCACCTGTACTGAGCATTTGTCTCCAGTCTTCCTGCTTCTACCATTACCTTCCCATGCTTATTCTCAACACAACAGCCAGAGGAATCCTGTTAAAACATCCCATCGCCCTTCTATTCAAAAAACCCCCCACTGGAATTTCACAAAGAGCAAAACCCAGGTCGCTAAAATGGACAACAAATCCTTCCATGATCCGGTGCCTTTCCTTCTAATCCTGTTTCAGACTTCTGATACTACTAATCACCATCTCACATCCCACATACTACACTTTGTTGCTGTCACTGCTATAATTATTGTCTGTATGCTCCACTAGCATATAAGCTCCAGGATGAGAGAATTTTTGTTTGTTTCATTCATTTATATATTCCCAACATCTATCACAGTGCCTGGCACATAGTGGATACTCAACAAAATGTGCTGAATGAATGAATGAATGGAACTCTGAGAGTCAGAAAAGCATCAAATCACATCTAAGAACTAGGGATTTAATCTCATCCCTGTCATTATGGCCTTACTCTTTTTTTAATTGTGATAAGATACACATAACCTGAAATTTACCATTTTAACCATCTCAAGTGTACAGTTCAGTGGCATCAAGTACATTCGCATTATGACACAATCATCACCACCATCCATCTCCAGAACATTTTTCATCTTCCCAAACTGAAGCTCCACACCCATTGAACATTGAACAATATCTCCCCATTCCTTTCTCCCTCCAGCCCCTGGCAACCACCATTCTGCTTTGTGTCTCTATGAATTTGACTACTCTAGGTGTCACATTTAAGTGCAATCAAGCAATATTTGCCTTCTTGTGACTGGTTTATTTCATTTAGCATAATGTCCTCAAGGTTCATCCATGTCATAGTATGTGTCAGAGTTTCCTTTTTATAAGACTTTATATATATAAACACACAATAGAATATTATTTTATTTATCCATTCATCCACTGAGGGACATATATTTGGATTGCTTCTATCTTTTGGCCATGGTGAATAATGCTGCTATGAACATGGGTGTACAAATATCTGTTTGAGTCCCTGCATTAAATTATTTTGGGTATATATCCAGAAGTGGAATTGCTGGATCATATAGTAATTCCATTTCTAATTTCTTGAGGAACTGCCATACTGTTTTCTGTAGCAGCTGAATCATTTTCTATTCCCTCCATCAATGCACAAAAGTTTCCATTTCTCTATTTACTCACCAACACTTGCTATTTTGTTTTTTGTAATAGCCATCTTAATGGGTATAAAGTAGTATCTTACTATGGTTTTGATTCGCATTTTTCTAATGACTAGTATGTTCAGTATTTTTTCATATGCTTGTTGGCCATCTGTATGTCTTCTTTGTAGAAATATCTATTCAAGTCCTTTTGCCCATTTTTCCATCAGGTTGTTTGGTTTTCTTTGATGTTGTCAAGTTATAGAAGTTCTTTAATTATTCTAGATATTAATCCCTTAACAGATATATGATTTGCAAATATTTTCTCCCATTCTGTGGACTGCTTTTTCACCTTGATAGTGTTTTTGATGTATGATTTTAAATTTTGATGTAGTTCAATTTAACTATTTTTTCTTTTGTCACCTGTGCTTTTGGTGTCCTACCTAAGATATCACTTCCAAATCTAATGTCATAAATTTTCTTGTAAATGTTTTATGGTTTCAACTCTTGTGTTTAGGACTTTGATCTATTTTAATTTTCATATATGATATAAGGTAAGGGTCCAACCTCATTATTTTACATGTCCCAGTATCCAGTTTTTCCAACAACAGTTGTTGAAATGATGGTCCTTTCCCTAATGAATGGTCTTAGCACCTCTGTCAAAAATTACTGGATCATATATGTGACAGTTTATTTCTGGGCCCTTGTTTCTTTGAGTAAGTCTTCTAAGCTCTCCAACCTCCATTCCCAAAAATGTGAAATGAATAGATTCCACCAGTAAGGATGTATCTTATTTTGTCTTGGTTACTGTAACAAAATACCATAAACTAGGTAGATTATTAGCAATAGAAAATTTATTTCTTATAGTTCTGGAAGCTGGGAAGTCCAAGATCAAGGTGCCAGCAGATTTGATGTCTGCTGAGGGGTTACCTTTTGGTTCATACATGGTGACTTCTTACTGTGTCCTCATATTGTAGAAGAGGCCAAGCAGCAATCTGGTGCCTCTTCTATAGGGGCACTAATTCCATTCATGAGGGCTCTGCTGTCATAATCCAATCACTTCCCAAAGGCCCCATCTCCTGACACCACCACATTGGTGGTGAGTGGATGGAAAATACAGCCAAAGTCCTTTCTCCACCACCCTAAGTATGGCCAGCATTAATGATTTCCCCAACCAACACATGGACACCATACACCATATACCAGATTTGAGCAACTAGTGGGTGAAAACGGAACATGATATGTGTTTCTTAAATGCCTTAATGTTCTAGTAGCACAATCATTTATGTAATATTGAAATCTCTACATAAAAATATCCACATGGCCATTTGATCTATGTTAAGGCACCTCCTCCACTAATGGGGAACTCACTAATTTTAGAGGAAACTAATTCCATTTATTTAAAACTTTGGCTATTAAGACAATCCATAAACATACATATTCTTTTTAAATGGTTTGCTTTCTTCAGCTATGTTATTAGCTCATTTGGGTCCCTTTAAGAAGACTCTCTAAAGACACCAAGGCTGGAGAACTACCATGAATGGGACAGCTATAAAATGAGTAAGAACAGTATTTGCAGCTAAATGGCCTGAATTGCAGAGTAGAGTATGAGATGTAATTTGGTTCTTAGGGCATCCACTGTAAACTTGGATCTTTGCCAAAAGGAAAGCATTATGAACTACTGATAGACATATGGCTTCAAAGTCATCTCAGTTTTGAACAAGTAAAGACAGAATGGAAAGGGTTGGTTCAGTATGAATAAAACAGATGACCCCAAATTACCTCTCAAGAGTAAATTCAGCTCTATAAAAATTAGAGATCCAGTGGCAAGGATTAGGAAAACACTTAAGCAAAGCTTTGTACCTACACTGCAAAGCCACAGATCACTTGGTAGGACAAAGTCAAGAAAGACTCAAAACTCAGTGACAGCAAAAAACAAGATGTCAACTTCAGTGTATTCTACATTAAAATAAATATTAACAGTAATAATTAAGTCACAGTGAAACACTCCAAGCATCCCAGATTTCTTTGACTTTCGTTCCTATGATGGTTATGGAGATCAGTTCTGATTACACTTTTCTTTTAGTTTATTTTGATGGAAAGAACTGGATCATGGAATTATCCCCAAAGCTTCCCAACCTGGGCGATCCTCCAAACCCTCTGGAGAACTTTTGAAAATATGGGCTCCACACTAGACACTCTAAATCAGTATCTCTGCAGTTGGATTTTGTTGTCTTATGGGGTTGTTTTTGTTTTTCTTTTGTATTTTTGTTTCTGTTTTTTAAAATTTCCCCAAGTCATTCTGATTATAAGCAGGGCTTGGGACCTGCTGGTCCAGACCCCATACCTCTACTGGTTTTCCTCGCTGGAAAGACCTTAGTAATTGGCTCTGCAAATGAAGAGAGCACCAGTGACATTGGGAGACACTACTGCTACTGAAAATGATAAACTGCTAGGTCACATAGAAACATGGAGAACTGTATCCAATATAATGCTAATTATACAGCAAATGCCAGATATAACACCATATGTAAGACTTTTGGGCAGGTAAAATAATAGGTACAGCAGAAACTCTTTCATTCCATATGAACAGCATATAAAAGTGGTTGCAACAGGGCCTGAAGCCTTTTGTTGGCAACAAGGAGTTGCCTAGAACTACCTGTGAGAGGGACCTGCGTGGTTTTCACCTGGGTGGTGCCATTACTTTCAATGGCAAAAACTGTGATTATTTTGGCACCAACCTAATATTTTAAAATGTGCTATAGTGAAATAGCATCTATGTGAAGTGCACTAATCTATAAGAATTTAATATGTGTATTAAACTATGTTCAAATTTTGGCTATATAATAAATAAATATAGGCATTAGAGAATGTCACATCAACTTTAAAAACACAAAAATGCTATGAGCTGAAATTATTTATAATTACTATGAAAGTGTTTAACCAATTTGTTATTATTGTTATAGAGCCCCAAAACCTCTGTTACAAAATTCATCAGTTTGGTCTCTGTCTAATTCTGCATAATCCTCAAGGATTCTCATCACATTGTGGGTGTTCTTGGCTTCTCTTTAACCTGTACAATGCAAAGTGATTTTTTTAATTTTCTAAAATGAACACACTAATAAAATGGGCAGTGGACCATACTAAATATTAACTCCCTGCTGTTTGTTCTCTCTTGTTTATTTGACTATTCAGATTCTCTGCCATTTGTGTCTATAAAACCCGGGATTAGGTCAGGCAGATGCAGGACAATATTCGTTCACCATGACAACACTGTCGCCTTTGCTAATGCATCCAAGCCCTTGGACTGCCTTCGAAAATGACAAGGAGATTTTATAACCTCTCTAGTTGAGCTCTTCTCACCACCTGAACAGAGACAAGGGTAATCAAATTCCATTTCAAAGAAGAATATCATTGCCCTTCTTTCACCTCTTTCTTTTCCAAGAGTGTCCTTGCAAGATGCGTATGACCCAGCCATCAATGCTAAAGAGACATGATTGGATAAGGAGACAGAGCAAGTCCCCCTTTACCATCTCTAACTCTCATTTTCAACAATGACTCCCTGCCTGTGACTAGAATAATGTGGTGTGTTAGGGAAAGTTAAAATTAACAGATAAATATCTTCTTATTACACATTTGTAGAGAGAGATAATTCTCAAAGATAATTCCTGTTTTCATCTTCCATTCTATTTCTCCCCATGATCATTCCATTCCCTTTAAGACCTTTCCAATATCATATTTACATATACAAATCCTAACTCATCATTTTCATAATAAATATTTATGCAGCACCAACATGGGCTAAGGACTATGTTCAGCACTGAGCATACAATGGTGATACAGTTTGGATGTTTGACCCCTCCAAAGCTCACATCAAAATGTATTCCTCAGTGTTGGACGTAGGCCCTGGTGGGAGGTGCTTGGATCATGGGGACAGATCCCTCATGAATGTCTTGGTGCCATTCTCCGGGTAATGAATGAGTTCTCACTCTGTGAGTTCGTGCTAGATCTGGTTGTTTAAAATAACCTGGAACTTCCTCCTCTCCCCCTTCCTCCTGCTCTTGCTATGTGACATGCTGGCTCCCCTTCACTTTCAGCCATGGTTGCAAGCTTCCTGAGGCCCTCACCAGAAGCAGATGCCAGCATCACACTTCTTGTACAACCCGTGGAACAATGAGCCAAAATAAATGTATTTTCTTTATAAATTACCCAGTCTCAGGTGTTTCTTTACAGCAATGCAGACTAACACAAATGGCATCCAAGAGAGTCCACAGACCTTGCCCTCATGAGGCTTGAAGTCTAGACTTCCAATGGTTACTTCAAATTACACCTCTTCTCAGAGGCCTTCCATGATTCCTTTCCTTACTCTACGTTGTCACAATACTCTACCCACACTGTACTTTTGGTCTGTATCATTTTCTACTTTGTACGGCAATCACATATATATCTAATCTCCTCTGTCGATCCACAAAAAGTGTAGGCCCTCATTCATTTTTGAACCCTAACAGCAACTCAGCATTCAATACCTTGCTTATAGGTGGCACGCCCCAAAAAATTATCAACTCAATAAAACACACAAGGGAGCAGGAATGTATCAACCTTTAAAATCAACATTAATTATATTTTCAATTCTAAAGAGAAATTACAGACAGAAAGAGAAATTTATGAAAATTATGGAGCAAAGCATTCAGAGTATTAGGAGTACCAAAAAAAAAGAGTACAAAAATTGTAATGCATATTTTATAGAACTCTTCCTGAAATGATGAACAAAGAATAGCTCACTTTCCCATCTAAATACATTGTAGATAAATGGGAAAAAGCAAAAAATATAAGCCAGTTAAGCAATAGCTGTTAGGTTGAAAGTATTGATCATTGGGGGACTCTATTGCATGGGAGGAGGGAAATATATCAAGGAGTTTAATTAACAAATGCTGGAGAAATCGTGCTAGTCAACCAGACCTTGAGGCATGAGTCAGACTTCACAGAGAAATAGTGTAAAATGCAGAGAAAAGCCAGACTCACTATGGAATGATCTGCAGTCTTTTAACCACAAGAGTCAGTGTCACAGAAAGAACATGACAAAGCAGTGCCTACGATTTCCAGAGTTACATGCGAAATACTGTTTCCCTGCCAGGGAAACCCCAGCTCATGACAGTGGCATGAGAATGAGAAAGGCCACCTGCAAATGAAATGAGACCATCCCACCTGCAACAGCAGGAGAGGGCCACACATGGTCTTGTTAGTGCCATTTCAGGAGTTGTGCTGCAGAACCAGGGAGGAGACCAGACATTAGGTCAAGCCTGTGATCTCAAGGGAGCTGGCCTGCTGCTTCCCCAGAGGACTTCAGCTAGAGTCAGTGGAGTTAATAAATCATGTAACTGTCTGGTCCCATTATCTCAACCCATCTACCCTTTGATTCTGCTGCTTGGAAGGAATTCCCAGAAATCAAGAAACCCAGGCTGAGAACCCATAGATGTCATTCTCTGAGTAAACAGATGTTCAAACCTTGAAGAACCCGGCAGGAATCTGCCCTGCCTTTAACTAGGAAGGGTAGGCCCATCTAGATGGAGTCCAAGAACAGGCAACAGCTATATAAATCTAACTTCACAAAGGTTGCTAAATTTTGGTAGTTAAATCTACAGCTGACTGTGAAAGGGAGCCTTAAATAGGGCTGAAATTTTAACAATGAAAAATCATTTAGTTAATAATTCCTTTTTCCATTCTAAACCAGTGACGGCCAACAAAATAAATGACCATGTTGAACTCAGGAATGGAATAATATGTTCTTACAATGAAAAAAAAATCCTTTTCTGAAAACCTCTCTCAACAGCACAAAATGCCCTATTAGAAACCATTCTTTAATTAGCTTTTCCATCAGCTTTTCCATCCACTATATTTTACACTGCATAAAATACCCATCACTCAACTTCTTAGAAATCCCCCCACTGAGTTTCAATGGAAAAAATTACAACCAACTCAACACTGGGTTTCCAATAATGCTCTTATTTCTATACCAAAAATAGAATTTCACGACTTTCTTCTCCTAGCTTGCTTTTCAAACTAAACTAACACTAGGTCATTCTCCCCTGCCCCTTACCTAAATGGTTGAGTGATGAGAATGTTATAAGCGATCTAACAGTGAAAAGCAAAAAAGGGCGGCAAAGGAGAGTGATTGGCTACCTTGTACACTGGGTTTAGGAGGATTCTAAAGCCAAAACTAGGTTTAGAGGGGAAGTCTCACGATTAGTGATGTCTGCCATCAGAACCAAAATGGAGAATGGCAGTACAATATTTGTCATTGGGGCTATCTATAAATACAATAGCTGGATATACAGAAAATAATTGAGGTGCATTTTCAGTAGCAAGAAGATTCTTAAGTTATCTTTGGTTTTGTTTTTAAGAGTTAGCTGGTTCATATGCAACATAAACAAGAGTTCACTACCTGGCCTAATGAAGGGGTTGGATTATCATGCCACAGAATATTACCCAATGCTTTGAGCTGAGGTCACATCCAAGATTAACAGGAAGCACTACTCATAAGGACCCCTCCCAGGGTGGAAGAGACCATCCACTTAAGGGTGGACTGTGACAGCCTAATAGAGCTGTGAGCAAATGTGTTGTGAAGAAAATGCACTAACTGAAGCACCTGCTTCAATTTCTAAATGTGACTCATACCATGTCAGACTGATCCCTGAGCTTTAGTTTCTTCGTCAGTTTAATGGGAACAACAGCTCTTGCACTCATCTCAAAGGATGTGTTGGGGATTAAAATGAGAACTTAAGTGAAGCAATCAGACCACAACATACCTTCAACAACTTCAGTCTCACTCATGGGAGATGTTCCAAAAATAAATGCTGAACGAGGTTCCCCATACCAACACTTCAAATTATTCTCCACTGAAAGACTGTCATAAGAAGGAGGAGGCTGAATTTCCTGCTGTGCCCTGGAATGAGATCACTGTGTCACTCCATCTAAGTTGCCTGGTCACAACTTCCAATGTGCACCATTGACTACATCCTCCTCATCAGGGAAGGGATAAGAACAAAATGATACCTGTGATTAACTTCTGCCTAGAACTTTATAGTTTATCAATCATTCACTCTGAGAAGACTCTCACATCAACTATGAGGTATTACCACCATTTCCATTTTAGGAATAAGAAGAGTGAGAAAGAGAAATGGTTAAGGGGTTAAGGAATGGGAGGCAGGAAGAAGGCTCCAGCCTTATTCTAAATACCATGTCATGTCTACGTTTAAGATGAGTATTAGCAACTCAAATAAGTAGGTGAACTGTGACAATCAAATGACAATCCTGGGTTCACTGCTACCACTTAGGAAGGGATCAGAGAAAAATGAGTTTTAATTATAGAGGTAGAAATTAAGGATATTCAAAGATGGGAGAGTATACTGATAAGGCAATCGTGCACAGGAATGGGTTACTAATGCGATTATGGGGAACATCTCTCTTGGGGGGAGAAAAATGTGCCTGTAATCAGATAATTTTTATTTGCCAAATTAATTACAAAATACCTATGGGCTTTAGGGAAAACATTAAAAATAACCTTCTCTGTCCCCGAGGCATCATAATATCCCAGATCATATCTGACGGGAGATTAATTTTTCCATGCTATTCAATTTTAAGTCAAATCAAATACTTACCATACACCTAATGTGTACAAAGCATGGTATAGCAGATGACACACTATGCAATGTATTCAAGTAAACATATTAGAATCCTGTAGTGTAAATAATAGCAAAGATGCTATCCTTTGCTGAAAGGTGAAGAGGCACTTCAGAGAGACAAGCTATTTCAAAGAAATGATTTTAAAGAAATGTTTCAAATATCAAAATTATTGAGATGCATGTAGATTTATCCAGGCAAACATTTCTATGTGTTTGTACGTGAATGCTCATATAACATTTAATGCCACCACAACAGTTTCATTTTCTTTAAAATGGTTTTCTGGTCCTTAGTAACAGAAGTCTGTCACATATATCTTTGGTTCTCCATTCTGAACCAAGTCAACTTCATGGACTGTTTATTTCATTATGGTATTTGCTACCACCAAAAGTATCCTCTATCTTTCTTGTTGGGGCTTTATATAGGACAATTTAGAAAGGAAGAGGTGGGCATGTGCACGGTGACTCAAATATATCTGTTTCTATAGGGAGATAAAAAAGATTCACATTGACTCCCACACTGAGATGCATTTTGTCTAAAGGTACTGGAACTCATTAACTCTATCTACTCCCTCCTTTGACCATTATACTAGAATGTGCCCCAGCAAAATGTCCTCTTCCAGGGCAAATTCTCAGATTGGGGAAAAGTCAACTAGCTCTATATAGGGTTAAAATAAATAAAAAGTCCTTGAATATTTATTTTAAATTGTTACCTCGAGACATGACTTTTATACAAAGTTAAAAATAAAATGGCTTCTAGTAAAGACAATGGTGGTTGTGGTAAAGGATCTCAGGAAACAAGGACCTCATAGTTCTAACCCTCTTCTTCATCCTCCTCACTGGACACTCAAAAGCTACAGCAGGCAAATAAAGTCCACACTGGGTGCCACAGGCAGGAAGTTCCACCTGATACGGCCACGACCACCCTCCATGATCTCACCTGAAACTGCCTCCCTTCAGCTCCTTCTTGCCCACAAGTCCTTTCTGGTGCCTCCCACTCAACACCTCCTCCCTAGGGTCTTCACATCTGCTATTCCCTTAGCCTAGAATGTTTTGTACTCCCACCCTTCCCCATCTCATCAGCTCCAGTCATCCTTTATATCACAGCTAAAATGCCATTCCTGGCCAGGCACAGTGGCTCATGCCTATAATCCCAGCACTTTGGGAGGCCAAGGCAGGTGGATCACCTGAGGTCAGGAGTTTGAGACCTGCCTGGCCAACATGCCAAAACCCCATCTCTACTAAAAATACAAAAATTAGCCAGGCATGGTGGTGCATGCCTGTAATCCTAGCTACTCAGGAGGATGAAGTAGGAGAATCACTTGAACCTGGGAGGCAGAAGTTGTAGTTAGCCGAGATCATACCTCTATACTCCACCTGGGCAACAGAGAGAGACTCCTTCTCAAAAAATAAAATAAAATGAAATGTCATTACCTTAGGGAAGCCTTCACTGTATCCTACACAGGTAAGGTTCCTAGTTATGGCCCCATTACATGTTCTGATAGATTCCCAAACACCTCCTTCCAAACCATGTAACACAATTGTAATTCATTGTTTGTGTAGCTGTCTATTTAGGAACTATCATGCTAGACAATTAGCTCTTGAAACCAAAGATTAAATCTGTCATTGTCACTTCTGTATTTATATTAGGACAGTTTCTGGCACATACTGAGATCCTAATAAATTTATGGAATGAATGAATGAATAAACTGAATTGAAGAACTCAAAAATTCTCAAACCAAGAAATTTTCTCCTTTAATTCTTTTTCCCAAATCAAACATGAGCCAGCTGACTGAAAGCCAGGATTAGCAAACCATCAGCTACACTGCCATAAGCCTCAGTGAAGATCAAAGAAGCTTCATAGCACAAAGCTAAGGGAGCCATCTCTTGACCCCCTGATCACCTGGACACTACTTTTATGTCTCCTACAAGGCCTGGGATAAGCTACAGCCAAAAAAAAAAAAGGAATTCTCTTTTGCTCCCCTGCAATTTTACTCCATCCAGTGGCCTCTGACCTGGTCTCCAGCTCACTGCCTTTGATAAGTAGAGAATTTTCTCTACTAGCTAAAAGGCATAAGGGAGGCATTCTCATGAGATGAACTTGCTTGTCCAAGGTCAGCCAACATGCCCATGGCAAGGTTTCTTATTTACCAAAGCAGAAGTGAAAACTATCATGTTGTGAGAAAGAACCTTACTGTAGGCAAAATAAGCATGTTTAACTCTAAATTATCCAGAATAAAACTTTAATGAGAATCTCAAACTATGGAGATGAAATTAATTAATTTTCTTGTTGAAAATTCAACATAAACTCCAAATATTATTAATATTTCAAATAAAACTTTTAGTGAAACTGTTTTATAGGTAACTCCAGTAACATAAAAGCTACTTTACAACTACAGGATGATGAAATCACTGCACAATATATTCTTAGCTAATTCTGACCTGTCTGACTTTTTAACTTTCTCCAAGCTATAAAAATCAATATAATCTAGAATATATAAAGAACTCTTCATACAAATGAACAATTAAAAGACAAATAATCCAATTTAAAAATGGGCAAAAGATCTGAATAAGCATTTCTCCAAGGAAGACATACAAAGGGCCAATAACCACATAAAAAGATGTTCAACATCATCAGCTATAAGGGAAATGCAAACTAAAATCACAATGAGATACCACTTAATACCCCCTAGTACGGCTATAATCAAAAAGTCAGATAATAGCAGGTGATGGCAAGGATGCTGAAAAACTAGAACCCTTTTACACTGCTGGTGGAAATGTAAAAGGGTGCAGCCCCTTTGGAAAACAGTCTAATAGTCCTAAAAAGGTTAAACATAAATTTATATGACCCAGCAATTCCAAATCTAGTATATTAACAGCAGCATTATTCATATTAGCCAAAAAGTGGAAACAACACAAATGTCCATCAACTGATAAATGGATACACAAAATGTGGTATATCCATACAACGGAATATTATCTGGCAACAAAAGGAATAAAGAACAGATACATGCTCTAACATGGATGAATCTTAAAAACATCACACTAAGTAAAAAAAAAAAAGTTGCAAAAAAATTTATATTATATACTCCTATTTATATGAAATTAAATAGGAGTGATTGCCTAGGCCAGGGGGATCTGGGAGAAATAGAGAATGACTGCTAATGGGTGAGTTTCTTTTTTAGGTGATAATATGTCTCAAACTAATTATAGTGATAGTTGGTTATCTCTTTAATTATACTTTAAAAATCACTGAATTGTACACTGTAAATGATTGAATTCCTTGATATGTGAATTACATTTCATAAAGCTATTTTAAAATTTCAGACTCTAAGCTGTTAAAACCAAAGTGCCAGGGTCTTTAGGTACCTTATCTCCAATCTTAAATACTTTAACATTGTCTTTGAATTTGGTCTTCGATTGTAATGTAGTTTGGAAATTTGTCCCCATCCAATTCTCATGTTGAATTTGTAAACCCCAATGCTGGAGGTGGGGTCTGATGGAAGGTGTTTGGATCCCTCAAAGCATGGTGCTGTCTTCGCAATAGTGAGTTCTTGCAAGATCTGGTCATTTAAAAGTGTGTGGCACCTCCTCCCCATTCTCTCACTCCATTGCTCCTGCTTTCGCCATGTGATGTGCCCCTTTTCCTGTTGGCCCTCTGCAATGATTGAAAGTTCCCTGAGGCTTCACCAGAATCTGAGCAGATGCCAGCACCATGTTTCCTGTGAAGCCTGCAGAAACTCTTTTCTTTATAAATTACCCAGTCTCAGGTATTTCTTTATAGCAATGCAAGAACGGCCTCAGACAAAATGTTAAAAGGGAAACTGGAGTTTCTTGTGGCTTAAGAAATTATGCAATTGAAGACTGCTATACCTTGAATGAGATGTCCAGGAAAACACTTCCACCAGTGGGTTAGTATCTCCCTTTTTACGTGAACAGACGGTTCACCAGAGAGGAACTCCAAGTGGATGCTAAGCTAAAAAGCTTGCAAAAAATTAAAGAAATGCAAGTTAAAATGAAATTCAATCTTTTTGGCTTACAATACTGATAAAAAGACCAGGATTGGAAAATTTGTGGTTAATGAGGGAATTCACATGCACTGCTCCAGGAAACAGAAATTTGTACAACCATTTGGAAGGCAATTTGGCAATAGCTATTAAAAATTTTCATGTTCATATCCTTTTACTTAGAAATTCTCTTCTAGGAGTTTATTCTTCAGACATTCTTGCTCAATTGGGTATTTGTAATACTAAAAAACTGGAAACAAACCAGATGTAATAATAAAAGATTGGTTAAATAAAAATACAGTTTGTCCACTCAATAGAATATCTGATGGTTGTTAAAATAATGAATGGAGCCAGGCATGGTGGAGTGGCTTGGAAGGCTGAGGCACAAGAATCACTTGAGCCCAGGAGTTCAAGTTCAGCCTGGGCAACAAAGCAAGATTCTGTCTTTAAAAACAAAAACAAACAAACAATGAGGTGGTTTGACATGTGCTCACATAGAAAGGTGGCCAAGATGTATTGTTCAACAAAAAAGGCAAGTTAGGATTTAGTAGTATGTGCTCACAATGTTAATACATTCATAGGAAAAATACCAAGGAATGTATTCTCAGTTTAATGACATATCTTAGAGTGATGGGATTTCCATTTTCTAAATTACACATATCTTTCAAGTTTTAGGGTTTTTTTGTTTTGTTTTGTTTTTGTTTTTGTTTTTACAAACAATATGCATTAGTTTCACAAGCACAGAAAGGAAAGATTTTTTTTCAAAGGAGAACGGTCCCTTCCCTTTGTGTGGTTCACTGAAGCATGGGGAGGAGGGTGGACAGGAGATAGAAATTACAACTGTTTCCAATAACTAGGAATAGTGGCTGCTTCCTACCTTCCACCATAAAAAGTCTCTGCCCCACTTTTCTCATCTCCCACAGCCCTTCCTTTCTCTACTCTCAAACTTAACGACTCCCTACCTCAAGCCACTGAAGAGTAATCAGTTCCCCTGCCTTTACCCTGTTAGGGCACAAGCTCCTAGAAGACAAAGGACTCTGCCTAGGTTATCTCCACAGCCCAAAGGACAATGTCTGTACACAATGTTCTAGAGAGTTTCAGCAGCATGTCGGGGCTTTTAAGAAACAGTTTTTGTTTTAAAAGTTTTTAAATGGTTTTTGTTTTAAAATTCAAAGAGTACAAAAAGATACAGTTAAAAAATGGGCCGGGCACAGTGGCATGCACCTGTAGTCCCAGCTACTTGGGAGGCTGAGGCAAGAGAATCAGTTGAGCCCAGTAGGCTAAGGCTGCAGTGGGCCATGATTGCACCACTGCACTCCAGCCTGGGCAACAGAGCACATATCTGTCTTAAAAAAAAAAAAAAAAAGAAGAAGAAGAATTCTCAGTTCCCAGTAGCCCATCAATGACCAGTGTCTTGGCTATTCTTTCAGACAGGTCTACACAAATGCATGCATTCCTGTGGCCCCTTTTCCTTATGTAAATTGTAGCATGCACTCTGTTCTGTAGCTTGCTTTTTTCCACTTACATAATGATGCAACTGTTTCATATTGGTACATACAAACATAGTTAACAACACCTTATTATTTTCTTAAATGCTTTCCAATGTTGCATCTTATGGATACACCATAACTTAGCCAGTCTCACCCCACAGATATCAAGTTTGTGTATTATTTAGGATAAGGTCCAGCTGTACTCAAGATAACAGCGGCTTAAACAAAATTGTCTTTCTCTATCACAAAAATCTGTGGAAATAGATAGTACTTTTTTACAATTTGATATTATAAAGTTGCTCTGGTACTTTACAGTATCAAATGCCCATGTCTTGTTACTCCGCCATGCATGGCCTCATTCCCAAGTTCACCCATGGTCCCAGACAGCTGCTCCAACTCCCTCCCAGTGTCCACATTCCAGGCAGCAGAAGAAGGGGGGACAAAAGAGAAGACATGCCTTTCCCTTTAACTGTAATTCCCAGAAGGTGTATACTACGCATACTTACATCCCATTGGCCCTATCTGAGTTATATGGGCATACTTTGTCACAAAGAAGGCTGGGAAATGTAGTCTTTACTCCAGACAGCTATGTGCCCACCATAAATTGAGTTTATATATGTTGCTAGAGTATGTGGGGGAAAATAGAATTGGAAATAATACAGTCTCTCATAAGTTACTTCCAATGCTGTGAAATTTAATCAAAGCAACAAAGAACATTCCTATGTATCTGCTTTTGTACACTTATGTGAGAGTATTTTTGGACAACTTTCTACAAGAGGAATATAAGCAGCTTTAGAAAACCTATTCCAATTATTTCATTTTACAAATGAGGTTTAAGACCGAAAGGGGTAAAGTAACTTGCCAAAGTCAAACAATAGCTCCCAGAAAAGTAGGGTTGCCAGATAAAATACAGAACACCCAACGATATTAGAATTTCAGATAAACAACAAATAATTTTTAATGTAAGTATGTCACAGGTAACATTTGAGACATACTTATACTAGAAAAGTATCCCTTGTTTTTCTGAAATTCAAATTTACTGAGTATCATATAAATGTGTGTATATATACATATATATGTCATATATACACATACATATACATATATATACATATATGTGTTTGTGTATATATATAGTTTGTTTGTTTTTTTAGAGACAGGCTCTCATTCTGTTGGCCAGGCTGTAGTGCAGTAGCGGTATGATCATAGTTCACTGTAACTCCTGTGCTCAAGCAATCCCCTCACCTCAGCCTCCTAAACAGCTAGGACTGCAGGCATATACCACCACACTCGAATAATTTTGTAATTTATTTGAGACAGGATCTTGCTATGCTGCCCAGGCTAGCCTTGAACTCTTAGCCTCAGGCAATCCTCCCATTTCAGCCTCCCAAAGAGCTGGGATTATAGGCATGAGCCACCATGCATGGCTGCATCCTGTATTTTTATTTGCTAGATCTGCCAACTTTACAGCAGAACCAGGTTTAGAACTTAAATCTGCTGATGTTTAGTCCCAGTTCTTCCTCTGTACAAGATGGCCATGTCAAGTGGGCACAGGTAATAAATGAGGTGGAGCCAACAAAGCATACTACAAATCCCCAGGCAAACAAAATACCTTCCTACCGCAGGGCTCAAACATCATGCTATTCATGCCATATGCTTAATGAATTGAATTTTTCTGTCATAGATACATGGGTAACAAACCAGCCACTCTACAGAGGTTACAGTAAATGCTTCAATCCAAAACCATTAGAGCCTGCGTACTTCTATTCAAAATAACATTAGCCTTACATTAATGCAGACTCACAGAGGCTGAAAGTAGGCAAGTCCTTCCAGAGTTCTGGCTTATTACACATGCAGGGAAGGATGCAAGCATGGACTATAGATATGCTAAGCACTCAAAACACCTTTGAAATTCACAGTCACTTCATAGTAGTTGATAATGTCAATGTCGGCATGGGGAACCAAGCTGAAAATCTCAATTACATCAATAAATTATTTCATTACATTCTCTATATATAGCTTAAAAAATTAAAACTTCACTAATAAATTAGAACCTTCCCATATCCCTTCTTCATGATTATAAATATACCAAGACTAGATAAAGAGTACTGCAGAATGTTTCATATAACAAGATTTTACAGGTACATTTTACAACAAAGAAATCAAGAACCTTAGTTCTAAGCACATTTTTTATTCCAAATAATGTATATTATTTCCCTAAAAGAGAACTACCCTGAAGAAATAACTTTCCAAAATTTAGCACAAACCTCTCCCATGAAAAAAAAAGGAACTTGGTTTTTATTCAGCCTCTAGATTCAACCAGAAATTTCCAGGAAACACAAAGAACAGAGTAACAATTTAAACTCTCTGCAGGGATGCAATCAACAAAATCCAGGCTGGAGGGAAACTATAGGACAAACAATCTGGTCTCTTCAATAACTAAATAACAAATGGAAAAAAGTAAGTGAGCCTTTTAAAATATTAACCAACACAATGTGTGGTCCTTATTTGAATTCTGATTTAAGCAAATTTCAAAAAAAAAAAACTATAGCACTTATGAGACAACTGGAAATTGAACACTGCCTGAATATTTGGTGGTATTAAAGAAATATTGCTAATTTTCCAGGGCATGTGATAACAGTATTATATTTAGAACTTTTTTAAAGGTCCTTATCTTTTATAGATAGAGACTAAAACATTTATGGAGGAACTGATAGGATATCTGAAATCTGCTTCAAAATATTAGATGAGGAGCTGGTAGTTGGGGTTTGGATGGTGTAGAAGTGACCACAGGTTGATGGATTAAGGAAAGGTGATGGTTATGGGGGCTGAGGGGGTCACAGAAATAGAAACACTATTCTGTTTATATTTCTCCATGTCCAAAATTTTCCATAAAATTTTTCTAGTACATGCCAAAAAATTAAACTAAAATCTGAGCAGTATAGTTATAAATATCTGAAATATAGTAATACTATATCAGAAGAAAATAATTTAAGCAATTTCACTATTTCATATCCTACTGTGAACAATGCATTAATCCAAAACCCTGTGTGCTGAATATTTTTCAGAAGGAAGGGTCTGACTTGACTGTAATGAATTAAAAGGAGGAAAAGTATTACATGCTAAGGTTACTTCAAGCACATTTAATTTTCCTACAAATCTGCAATATCAAGACCTTTTTTCTAAAAACCAATTACTATTTTCCACCAATAAACTGTAAACAAAACTCTAATGAATGACTTTGCTAATACCTGTTTTTACTATGTTCATTACTCTGTGGCCCAGATTTTAGTCTGATACGTAAGTGGAACATCAATCAAATATCAAAAGAGAAGAAAAATTTAGTCTGACGTATGCTAAGAAATCTATGTTCCAAACTTCTTTTTAAAAAGGGATGCCAATGAGAGAAACCCCAACACCCATACTGTGAAACAATTTGTATCAGCTTTATTAACCACGATCTTGCAAAAAAAGCTACTTTATTCTTGTAACACCCTCTCTGGTTTGTTTTTTCCCACTAGCAATTGCATGAAAAGGGAAAAGCAGGAAAGTCCCAAGACTGTACAATCTAAACAATGCCTAGGGAAACAGTCTGTGAACTTTTCTAGCTCTACTTGAACCTATGTATCACAAAAGCTCGAATAATTTTCAATTAGGCCAGTGCTACCACTACCTGGAGGTATAAAATGCATACTGCCTTTTTACCAATAAACATTGTTTGGTCTAGGCATCTTGTGAAGTAAGTAGACTACACAGGAGTTAGTTACTCTTACTTTACAAATTAATCAACTGAGATTCTGAATTAACAGATTTTTCAAGAAAGAGTAAAAGAGTGGTTGACTTAAACCCAAATTCCCTAAAAACTAGTCCCAATATTAATCCATCTCCCCACATGTAAACATATGGTCATGTATAAATCTTTTTGTATGTAAATTATGCTCTGTAACCCAATCAATATTTATTTCTATCATCAACATCCTTCCATACATCAAAGCCTACTTTATCATGCAGATAGCTGCAGAATATTCCACAGCAGAAATGTGCCAATCTTTGAAGTTGCATAGTTTCATTCCAAATTTCAATGATGTTATCATAAATTTGCAGGTATATATATCTACATGAATCTGTACCATTTATTCTGCAGAATTTATTCTCCAGAATAAATTCTTAGAAGTAGAATAGCTGCTGGGCAAAGGTGATGCAAAACTGGAGCTTAGCCCAGGAGGGTTCTTGCCTTCACCCAGGAAAGATTTCAAGGGCAACCTAGTGGTGTTAGACTGCAACTTTTATTGAAGCAGCAGTGTACAGCAGCAGCAGAAGCAGGGCCACCCCATAGGCAGTGTATTTTTCTGTTCTCACACTGCTAATACATACATACCCGAGACTGGGTAATTTATAAAGGAAAGAGGTTTAATTGACCCACAGTTCCACATGGCTGGGAAGCCTCACAATCATGGCAGAAGGCAAAGGGGAAGCAAGACATGTCTTACATGGCAGCAAGCAAGAGAGCTTGTGCAGGGGAACTCCCATTTATAAAACCATCAGATCTCATAAGACTTATTCACTAATTCACTACCACAAGAACAGTATAGGGGAACCACCCCCATGATTCAATTATCTTCACCTGGACCAGCCCTTGATACGTAGGGATTATTAAAATTCAAGGTGAGATTTGGGTGGGGACAGAGCCAAACCATATCAGGCAGTGTGCCCAGAGTGGCAGCTCAGGGGCAGTTCTGCAGCTATATTTATAATGCACTTTTAATTACATGCAAATTAAGGGGCAGATTATGCAGAAATTTCTAGAAAATGGGTAGTAACTTCTAGGTCTTCAGGTCATTGCCATGGAAAGGAGTGGTAACCTCCCTTTGTTGCCATGGTAATGGAAAACTGACATGGCACAGATGGGCATGTCTTATGGAGAGATGCTTTCATCTCTTCCCTGTTTCAGCTAGTCTTCTATCTGGTCCTGAGTTCAAATCCCCATCTCCAAAGTCAAGTCCCGCCTCCTATCTCAAAGGGTGTGTGCACTTAAGTATTGATTATAACAGCAACCTGCCCCCTAGGAGGGCTAGTGCAACTTACAACCCCACTAACAGTGATTAGGGTCCATCTCACTTCTCCTCCCACCACTGTGTATTAAGCTTTGCATATGATAGCTGAAACTTCGGCAATATGATAGCTAAATATAATCTCATTGTTTTAACCTACACATATTTTATTAGCAGTAAGGTTGAGCATCATTCCCTAAATTTTGTTTGGTTGGTTGTATTTTTTTTCTGGGAATTGTCTATGCTTGTTTTCACTAATTTTTCTACTCTATTTTTAATCTTTTATTATTGATTTATAAAAGCTCTGTATAAGTTAAGGCAGGGTTCCTCTACCTCAGCACTATTGACATTTTGGGCTGGATAATTCTTTGTTGCAAGGGACTCTTCTCAGCACTGTGGGATATTTAGCAGCATCCCTGGCCTCGACCCGTTAAATGCCAGTGGCGCTCCTCCCAACTGTGGTAACCAAAAATGTCTCCAGACATTGCCACTTGTCCTTGGGGAAGCAAAACTGTCCCTAGCTAAGAACCACTGTGTTAAGTAGATTAACCCTCCGTTCCAATTACATGCTACCTCCTCTTGGATCCACCTCCCCACTCAGTAGAAGTGCCCTTCTTCTGTATTCCTTATAGATGGTCATTGACTTAAATACTATTCTAATTTTCTAGATGCCTTCTCAGTACCAAACAGCTATAACTGTTTCAAAACTCATACAATGAAAGTGAAGTCTAAACTCTTTTAAGTTCCAATAGTTTCAGTTGTATCCTCTAGAATTGCATTGTCCAATACAGTAGACACTAGCCACATGTAACTATTTAAATTTAAATGAAATTAAATAAAATCAAAAACTTGGTTTATCAGTCACACTAGACACCTTTCCAGTGCTCAATAGCCAGAAGCGGCAGGTGGTTACCACATGGGACAATGCAGATATAGAATATTCCCATCCCTGCAGTGTTCCATTGGACAGAGCTCCTCTGGAGCCTTGCCACTCACAGTGTGGTCCACGGACCGGCAGTATCGGCATCATCTAAAAACTTCTTAGAAATAAAGAATCCCAGGCCTCAACAGACCTATTAAATCCGAATCTTTATTTTAACGAGATCCCCAGGTAATTAGTGTGCATCCTAAAGTTTGAGAAGCACAGTACCGAAAGACCCAAACATCTGAGGTCACTTATCAAATGTTCACTCATTCTAGAAGTCCATATTTCTCCAGACTAAACATCCTCAGCCTGTCATCATATGATCTGGATTCCAAATCCCCATCAACCCAATTCTTCACTGTTCTCTATCATCTTCCAGTCTATAAAAGGACAGAAGGGAAGGCTGTGCTTCAGGAAAGGTCTGAAAGTGAGACCATCACTTTCTTTAAGCTGGATACCATGCTGCTTTCAATACAGCCTCAGTGTGCATTAGTTTTGTCTACATTTGATAATTTCCCATCGGCCACATCGCACCAGAGGTGCATAATAAACTTGTGATCAGCAGGTTCCTTGGGCCTTCTTCATGGAACTTCATGGTCACAAGTACCACAGACTTTTGCACCCAATGACTGGGGGTCTTTAAGTTTTACAATGTTCTCAAATATATTCCATGTAAATGACTGAATCACGTAAACAGTGAAGAAAAGTATTAGACCTATGACAACATCTGTAAGATTCTCTCTTGTTTTGTAAATCAATTAATATTATTTTTATTCTTCTAAATTAATTCTAATGATATTAAATTTTTGCAGTCATTCTTATCCTTTTCTCATTTTGCTTTATCTTTTCTGTCTCATCCCTAGAAATTCCCTATTCGTATTGCCCTCATCATGCATATTAATTATTCAGTGTGGATAAATGTACAAATGCACTAGGAAAATATATGTCGAATGACTCCTACAAAAAAGGCAACTTGGGTAAATCGAAGATATGCAGGGCATTAGTGGGTACAAAAAATAGAAAAAAATGAATAAGACCCAGTATATGATAACACAACAGGGTGATTATAGTCAATAATAATTGTACATTTTAAAATAGCTAAGAGTATAATTAGATTGTAACACAAAGGATAAATACTTGAGGGAATGAATACCCCATTTTACACGTGATTATTATGCATTGCATGCCTGTAGCAAAACATGCCATGTATCCCATAAACATATACACCTACTATGTACCCATAAAAATTTTTTTTAATTTAAAAAAAAAAAGATATGCAAGACAAGATCTCCTTTTTAAGGGTCTAATAATCCAGTGGAAAAAAGAAGTTTTCACACAAATAATTATAACAACAATATACAGCACGTGCTATATAAGTGATACAATCAACATGCTGTAAAAAATTCAGATGAAGAAGCACCCAATTTCTGGCTGGGATAATTAGAAGGGGAAAAAACTTCTCAGAGGAAGTAGCATTTGTACTGGTTTGATGGATGGATAGGACTTCAACATGTGGGTGGGAAGGTTTGGGAGAATAGTCCTGGCAGACCAAGCGAACGTACAAGCAAGGGAGATGCAAATACAAATAGGTTGACTTTGGCCAAAGTAAAGGATGTGTGGGGAGAAACTAGGCAGAAAGGGCCAAAGCACAAAGGTTGGATACATTTGATGATGAAAAGAAAAAAGAATGGATGGAGGCCAGGCACGTTGGCTCATGCCTGTAATCCCAGCACCTTGGGAGGCTGAGACAGGCAGATCACTTGAGGTCAGGAGTTTGAGACCAGCCTGGTCAACATAGTGCAACCTTATCTCTACTAAAAATACAAAAATTAGCCGGGCATGGCGGTGGGTGCCTATAATCCCAGCTACTCGGGAGGCTTGAGCCTGGGAGGCAGAGGTTGCGGTGAGCCAAAATTGTGCCACTGCATTCCAGCCTGAGTGACAGAGCAAGAATCCATCTCAAAAAAGGAAAAAAAAAAAGAAGGGATGGACCCAGACTGGGCAGTAGCCCTGATCAAAGTCAATGTTCACACAGTATCTAAGCCTGTCTATTATTAGGGTTGACTGAAAGGAAAGGAAAAGAATCAATGAATGTTCATTCATAATATATACCATAAGACACATAGATACATAGCATAGATAGATGGATAGATGGATGGAGATAGATAGATACATAGACAGATAGATAGATAGACAGATAGATAGATAGATGAAGAAATAGATTAAATGTGTTTTAAATTTAAATGTCTGGATGCTATCTCATAATATGATAATACAGATCTCCTCCACTATTGGATATTTAGGTTAGTTCCCATCTTTTATCAATATTTAACATAGAACAATTGTGATGAACATCCTTTTACTCTGTGAACATGTAATTGCTAGAAGAGGAACTGGGTCAAAGGATATGAACTTTTTTTTCTTTTTTTTTTTTTTTTTTTTTTTGAGATAGAGTCTCACTCTGTCACCCAGGCTGGAGTACAGTGGCACAATCTCGGCTCACTGCAACCTCCACCTCCCAGGTTCAAGCGAGTCTCGTGTCTCAGCCACCCTAGTGGCTGAGACTACAAGCGCGTGCCACCATGCTCAGCTAATTTTTGTATTTTCAGTAGAGACGTGGTTGTGCCATGTCGGCCAGGCTTGTCGTGAACTCCTGGCCTCAAGTGATCTGCCCACATCAGCTTCCCAAAGTACTGGGATTACAGGCGTAAGCCACTATGCCCAGCCACGATATGAACATTTTTAAGACTTTTGATATACATTTGCCAATTTCATTCCGGGTAGTAAGTACCCATTTATACCTCCAACATCAGTATGTGGGTTTGTTTATCCTACGTGGCTGTGTCCATCTCACCGAAAGAAGGTGGGATTCTGAACACTATACCTCCTTCTCCAGTGGTGTGAGGAGTCAGACCAGAGTAGGGAGGGGCTACAGTCCCCAGGGATGTACACAAAGGGGTCGAGGTAGAATAAATTTCACCCCCTTGTTGTAATTGTGGTGACTCCTCACACTCATTAGGCTGGCTTCATGGGCATGGCCTGTGGAGCACACAGGGCCCAGACTTAGAAGAGCTCTGTGTTTGCTTTAATAAGGCTCTGCTATCACCATCTTGTAATTCCTAATAATTTTTGAACAAGGGCCCTGTATTTTCATTTTACACTGAGTCTTGCAAATAATGTAGCCAGTCCTGCTCACACCCTACAGTGCCTAGGAGAGCATGATGCACATAAGAGACATTCAAAACTTTCTCTAACTTGAACAGTATTATTGTGTTTATAGGAAAGAGAGAGGGAAAAAAATCAAACTCAATCTCAATAAATGCAAAAACTCTTAATTTTGTTATACAGACCAAGAGAAAAGTTAGATTAATTAGAAGTCAGAAAGTTGCAGAGGAGGCATGGAAAGAACAAACTAAAAAAAGTTTTAAAAATCCAGACAGACAATAATTCAGAAAAACACTAAGTTCAAAGTCAATGAGAATCAGGCTTTTCTATATCATCTTCCCAGTGGATTCTTGAACTTAATAAATGTAATTTCTGCTTGGAAATTTTCCTGGAGGCCATCTGGAAAATTAAGACAGACAGGATAAGTGTCTTTTTATTATTCTGAGCCACATAAAACAACTCGTCTCAAGAGCTGGTAAAGACTATTCCAGAGGAACCCAAACCGCTAATCTCGCTACTCCCAACAACTTTCACCCACCCCCAAATTTAATAGACTATTAGTATTCCTATTGTGAACACTGTCCTTTTTCCAAGTTTTATTTAAAGCTTAGAAGATCAAAAAGTATTAGAATTCTGCAGATGGATTCACAGGAGGGAGGCCCCAGACTTCATCAGGTCAGAAGCATTCTGAGGTTTAAGTCCAAGTCCACTTCCTTCTCACGTCCTCTCTAATTTCCATTCTGACATTCTTGAGAACATGCTCTTAAGTCTGGTCTCAATCAACCACTTCAGAACCACAGAGGGTATTTCTTATGAATGCTGATTTCTAGACCCCACACTGGACCTTCTGCATCAGCATTTCTGGGACAAGAATCAGAAACCTATTCTTTTGACCAACTTTGGGTGAGTCTATCCACAAACCAGAACTTCTCACACTTATTGTACACACACACATCACCTGGGGATGTTGTGAAAATGCAGGTCTGATTCACTAAGTCTAGGTGGAGGGGTGAGAGTCTGCATTTCTAACAAGCCAAGAGCAGTAATTTCCACCCTGACTGCACATTAGAGTCACATGGGGAGCTTGTAAAAATCCTGATGCCCAGAACAGGTCCTAGCAATTGAATCAGAATCTCTGATGATGGGCCCAGGGACCCCCCTGGAACACGACAGCAGGTAGATACACCCTAAACCTGTTTCCCTGTACTCCCATCATACTGCCCGTCACTTCAGATGCACACACTATTCCCCCACCACCAGCTACTCCCTTGGCCTTGCTAAGTCCTACTCTGTCTTCATGCTGCAGCTCAAATGTCACCTCCACAGGGAAGCCTTCTCAACCAGTGTCCCTAGCACAAAGCCAAAGGAGGTCCCTGCATGTATATGGCTTATAGCACCTTGAACATCCTTCAAAGCGTCACACATTTTATAATGATGTATTTTTGTGTCAGTGAAGAAATAATGTCCACCTCACCCCACCAGCCCTTGTGAGACTCGGGATACCTTCAGTCAGAGGATAGCCCTCAACTCAGCACTGTAACCCCAGCAGCTTCCCAGCACTTCATAATAGTAAAGACAAACGTGTGGAGTTGCCTTCCTCCGTGCTGGGCTCTTCTCTCAGCACTTTACAAAGTAATCCTCACATAATCCTGAGGTAGGCACAATTGTTATCCCTATTTTATGGATGAGAAACTGAAGCACAGACAGTTGCTTGCCCAAGGACACAGAGCTGAAGGTTGCCAGTGGAGGAAGCAGGATTTGAACCCAAGCAATCTGGGTTAAGTAAGGGAGATAGGCATAATGTGGGACTACAGAGATTCCCTGGGGACTCCCTCCCCCAAACACACACACACACACCCCATATACGCTCACATCCCCCTTCCCTGACACACACAATTACGCTTCGTAATGGTCACAATGCCTGGAGAGCCATCACTCATCCATTCAAAATAAATGTACTGAACAGTCCCTGGTATAAGAGGGACATTCTAGAAATATATGAGTAATAGATATTTACTTATCTATTATTAGACAGACAACAGACGAATAAGCAAAGACATTGCAATAAGTGTGGCGAAAGAACTAAACGAGGTGGTAAGGTAAGGGCTGGCAGGCTCCTTCAGACAGCGTCAGGAGAGAAGGGCTCCCCGAGTGGGTGCCATCTGGCTAAAGCCTGAGAGGGCAGTAAGCCCGCTGTCCCCCAGGAGCAGCAGCAACGCAGGCAGGGCAGTTGCAAAGGCCCTAAGGCACAGCTCTGCACGCGCGCCTGAGGAACGCACGAGGCTGGCGTGGCCAGGAGTTGGGAGTGGTCAAGACAAAGCAGGTGTGACGGGCAAGGATCAAATCACATCTCCATATCCAGGATCTCTTCTACCCATGTTGTCATCAATCCAGTGACCAAAACACCTACCAGTCATCTCACACACGCTCCTGTGTTCCTGGAGGCCTGCGGCTCCCGTGAGGCACCATGCCTGCTCGCTCACTGGGCCAGAGGCGGCACGTGACCTCAAAGTAGCCCATCCTCCCGGCAACCTAGGGCTTCGCATTGTATCAACACTCTGCTCAGAGTGTATGCGTGTATGCATGTGTCCAGGCTCACCAAATTGTATGCATTAATTATGTGCAGGGTTTTGTTTTTGTTTGTTTGTTTTATATTTAAAAAAATATAATCAAACTAATTGCCAGCCAAGTCAGTCATCCTCCTGGGAATATATAGAGTCCCAAGGTTAGCGTTCCTGTATTAGACTATTTCAATTTTAGGAAAATCATGACTGTGTGGGGAAACAATGACTTTAAAATGCTAAAATTAAAATTTATGCTTTAACTGGGAAAAAAACCATTGCATTGTTTGTTTGCATACCAATTATACCAAACTAAAGCTAGACAGAAAAAAAAAAAAAAAAAACCTCTGCTCACAAAGGGCTGGTGATATTTAAATGAACTGATCAGATTCTCTCAGGAATTTTACCAGAAATATAAGAATAAGGCAGTTGGAGATAGGGAGAAAAGTAGACAGGGAGAGAAAAAATCATAGCTAGGATATTTTAATAACTGACTCTTGAATAAAGATCTAAAACTCTTACCACTACAGCCCCTAGTGACCCCGTGTATCTTCAACTCCCTGACCCCCAGCTATACCTTGGTTCCTATTATCAGATTTCTAGAAGATTCCAGCCCTCTTAATACCATTTGTGTAATAATGGCATCTGTTGAACACGTACTCTGTGCTCTGTGCTGTGGGCTTTCCACGCTATCTCATGTAGTCTTCACTAGAAAGTGCTGAGGCAAGAATCACTATCCCCATTTTTACAGCTGAAGAAGCATCTCTAAGAAGTTGGCTTACCCATAGTCATAAGCTGTTGTGGGCAGACCTGAGACTGCAAAAGTCTGTGCTGTTCCTATTTTCTTAAAATGAAGCCTCATTACCCCAGTTGGCCTGGGTGAGGCTTTTTTCCTTATAACCTGAAACAGAGTTATCTTTTTCAGTGTCTAAGTATTAGTGCCAGTAATTAAAAAGCGATGGCTTTCTTAAAAATTATATGCAAAGCTGTATCCAAAATGTCAAATTTTGGGATATATATAGAGAGCAAACTGATCTTAATTTATGTCCCTGTGATATAAAACATAAATTTAGTAAGTGAACTTTGGTGAAAGATTTAAACACAAGCAATAAAGCATGTATTCATTAAATGTACCACACAATATGATACATAAATATCAAGCCATATGAATAAATTAACAAAATTACTCTATAGAGAGCTCTTCCCACAGCACGATATTCCTGTAATAATAACTAACATTTACTGAGCACTTACTATGTGCCAAATGACGTGCTAAGCACTCTGCTTATAGTATGTCATTTAAACCTCACCATGGGAGAAACAGTAAAATAACGCCAGTTTACAGATGTGGAAACAGAAACTCGAAAAGACCAAATAGCTGGTTAGTGATGTCAAGAATTTTGAGTTTTCTGGGGGGGTTGTTTTTAGAGGCAGTTTTTTGTTTGTCTGTCTGCTTTGGTTTTGGTGTTTGTTTGGTTTTGAGATAGGGTCTCCCTCTGTCACCCAGGCTGGAGTGCAGTGATGCCATCATGGCTCACTGCAGTAGAGGCAAGTTTTAAACACAGGTATGTCTGCCTCTAGAGGCCTTGCTCTTAACTACTCCAAGTATCTTGATTACAGCAGATATCATACTATGTTGTGATAGATTATCTGAAAGTCTGTCTTCCACTATGTTCCCAATTTCAAAGTATTTACATCCTCTCCTTTTCACTTGTCCCTCCTTGCCCAGGATACAGTAGGAATATGATATTTATATGAATCAACTAGCTGATCTATTAGTAACACAAGACTTAGACCAATAATCATTCCTGTTGAATCAAGACTATTGGGTGAATTTTGCAAGGTGATGAATTATCTCAGAAAAAAAAAAAAAAAACAGAATCCAGAAAGCTTAACCTCAATTTAGTTACAAAACTCAAACTACAATCAATTCCCAAGCAGAAGACTGTTGAGTTTTTACCTTCTTATTAACAGATTGATTTGTGACAATTCTGTGCCACTCAGAGGAAAGAGAAAAAAAACTGAGATCTCTGAAAATCTCTCATAAAAATTATCTGTAAATAACAAGAAAGATGTCGAAATATTAACGCCTCCTCCATGAGCACATCAAAATGCTCCCTCTGCCACCTTCCATCTGCTTGCCTGCCTCACCCAACGTGAGCACAGCCCCACTCTGCTTTCAGCTTCTCTTGGATGTCTAAAAAGACTGGGCCAAAAATTGTTTCAGCACGCCGGAAAGTATAATCCTCACATTTCAGACACATTTAGATACCCTAATTTAAAATATGGTGGAAAATAGCATACTTGCAGGCTGTTCCTTGCTATAGTTTAAATGCATCCCTCACAAAATTCATTCCTCTGTTAAAGTCATATGCATAAACTTCACTTCTAAATGGAAGTAACAACAACAATAGCAGCTAACACTTACATAGCATTGTTCTCAGCACTCTATATACAGTGATTCATTTAATCACCTTATGACACTACTCTTTTTAGCACCATTTTATAGGGTAGAAAACTGAGGCCCAGAAGGGTTTGGTGACTTTTCCAAAGTCACAGGGCTGGTGAGTAGCAGAGCCAGGACTTGAAACCAGAGCTATGAACTCCAGATACTATATTCTTAACCACTGCACCAAACTGCCCAGGGGGCTTCAGCCACTAACTAGCTTAATCCTTTCTTCTCCAAGATCCCTGGTTGTCATACTGCAACAGAAAAAAAGCTGGAGGGTGAGTGTGGTTGATTGAATACTGGCCCCAAAAAGCATATGTCCAAGGCCTAACTCCCTGAACCTTTGAATGTGACCTTATTTTTAAAAAGAGTCATTGCAGATATAATCGAAGTTAAAGATCTCAGGATGAGATCACCCTGGATTTAGGACAAGCCCTAAGTCCAGTGATGGGTGTCCTTATAGGAGAAAGGTAGAGGGAGATTTGACACACTGATACACACAAAGGAGAAGGTGATGTGAAGACAGAGGCAGAGACTACAATGCTGCGTCAACAAGCCAAGGGCTGCTGGCAGCCACCAAAAGGAGAGAGGTATGGAATGTATTCTCCCTCAGAGCCTTCAGAAGGAACCAACCATGCCAACACCTTGATTTCAGACTTCTGGCCTCCACAAACTGTGAGAGAAGAAATTTCTATTGTTTCAAGCCACCAAGTTAGTGGTAGTTTGTTATGGCAATGCTATGAAACTAATATAATGAGTCATGGATCAAAATCCTTCAGCAGAAATCCACATCCCCACTCTACAGATCAGGAAACTGAGGCTCAGAGTGAGGACTTCATTGGCACGCTGTCAAGCACACAAGGGGTTTGTGGCAGAGCCAAGCCAGGCTCTAGGCTACATACTGGGTCTTCGGACATCTGGACTAGCCCCTTCTTCAGTATCTCATATCTACCACTTTGAGAGACATAATCATGCAGTGTTCACAGACGGGCACTTTAGAGTCCAACCACCTGGGTTGGCTTCCATGTTTGGCACGATTTGTGAGCTGTATACCTCAAATTTCTCATCTGTAAAACAGGAACAAAAATGACACCTACATCACAGTGTCATTATAAGGAGCAAGTAAGTCAATACATGTGCCTGGTATGCAGTAAGCTCTCAATAAATGTTAGCTATTACTATTATTTTATTCTAATATCTACTTAATTATAGATAAAGGTTAAACTATAAAGTCAGGAATATGGCAGTGCCTAGAAAAAAATGGATAGACATATTAACAGGATTTATCTTTACGGGTGCACATTTGTGACAAATGCTATTAACTAATTTCTTATGTGGGGGTTGGACATCAAGAGGTAATATCTATCACCCTCAACTTACACCTCTTAGCCAGTCCTTACTGGCCCTGATGGAAAAAGGAGTGCCTAATATGACTAGCCAGAGACCAGGACATTGACTAGGACATGCTGTGCTGGTGGACAGGGTCACTGTAGTGCAAAAGGCCCACAGCTGTGCCCCTCACTCCAAGCTGCGGACCCGAACAAGGCAAGCCAGCCCCAAGCCTCCCACTTTCATGCTCTGGCATGGTGACCACTCCTGGAAACACTGCTTCCCCAGGCAGCACTGCCATCCACCCAGTTTTCCAGCCTCTCAGGACAGGGCCTTGCCAAGTCACCTTTATTCTTTCACTTCTGGGCATCCATGTGGTAAGCACACTACAGCCTCCTCTCTTGCTAACCTGATCTCCCCCTGAGCATGGTGGCTGCTTGGGGTCAGCGCACAGCAGGTATGGCCATCTTGGGTCCTGGGAATGGAGGGAGTAGCAAGCTTCCTTACCTAATCAAAAAATCCCTGCATGGAAGGACACTGAGCCCATCCTCAGAATTAATAAACTCATCCTCCGTCTTCCATTTGACTACTGGTCTCTAAGTGCATAGTCCCCTTGGTCAGACACTGGGGAGAGGAAAAAGAACAGTGGCATTCAGACACCAAAACCCCACCCAAACTCCTAACAAATTTATATTACCTTCTGATGGAAAATGTGTATGATAAGCTATATTTTTTCAAAGAATAATGCTCATTGCACAGTGCCTTCTGACTTATTGAATTTCCTAACACTCTTCTGAATGATATTGCAGGTTTGAAGAATAACAAGAACATGAAACACCTCGGGAAATTTCTCCCCCAAACCAAATAACCACCAATCTGTTGTTGTTGTTACTCCGCTTTAATAATAGCACTGGGCCTATGCACACATGTGCACCCATAGAAACCACAGCCCTTGTCTGATCACTTCTACCCCAATATAAAAATCCAAGGTAGTTGCTGGAATGAAGATAAATACTACTGGAATTAACAGTGTCCTTAGGAAAGGCAGGGTTGGGATGCTGATTTCATCACAATTCTGCCTGTACTTTTTCAAGGAAGTTCAAGAACCATGGGCAGCTGTAGAAATCCAAGTCATCAGAAAAGCAAACAAAGGCAGCTCCTCCCCCGCAAAGCATGTTCCCTGGAAGGGCCTCTGCATCTGCCTTCTTAGCATAAAGTAGTGGTGGCACCTTAATCTACTGGGAACTTTTCTGCCTTTCCTTTTGTTCCACTCGAGGCCAGGCACCAGACTTTCATCATTATCCATAATCATGTCAACTCTCTGACTTTTGAGAATTAACCAATGCCTGCTACACCTTACTCTTTTCTCCTTCCCTAGATATCCAAAACAAGGCCCTTTCCCATTTTCTGGTTCTGTGGGGGTAGCTCTTAAATTCCTTGAAGTCAAGAGAATTATTAAGATGTCCCTTCTGGTTGGGCACGGTGGCTCACACCTGTAATCCCCGCACTTTGGGAGGCCGAGGTAGGTGGATCACGAGGTCAGGAGATCGAGACCATCCTGGCTAACATGGTGAATTATTTAGACTCTACTAAAAATACAAAAAAATTAGCCGGGTGTAGTGGCACGTGCCTGTAGTCCCAGGTACTTGGGAGGCTGAGGCAGAAGAATTGCTTGAACCTGGGTGGCGGAGGTTGCAGTGAGCTGAGATCATGCCACTACGCTCCACCCAGGGCGACAGAGCGAGACTCTGTCTCAAAAAAAAAAAAAAGAAAAGAAAAGGAAAAGAAAAAGATGTCCCTTCCACTCTCTCTCTCTCCCTCTCTGTCTCTCCCCCCAGGTACAGAGTTTTCACTCAGGACTCTGTGAGACCAAACAACATCCATATTTTACCAACATTTCGAATTTAAAAATGTTCTTCATTTCACCTTTAAACTAAAAATGTACATCTGTCAACCAAGGGGTGGACCAGAGGAACACGGAGAGACAATGTCCTACGTAAGGTAAGCAGCAATGCTTAGCTCCAGCTCACTGGGCTCAGGGCTACCACATCTTTCTGGTATTCAGGGAAATGAAGAAATGCAGGTTTTTACATGAAGTCCTCCAGTTTTCAATCTTAACAACTAATTCCCCAGGTCACACAGCCAACTTGTAGCAGAGCCAGAATTGGACCTAGGCATCCTGGCCTCATGAGCTCAAGAGGCCTTAGCTCTGTATATATTTGTACCTTTCATTCAACAACTGTATACTAAAAAACTGCTATATTCAGGAATGTTATTTTAATGAGTGGATGGATGGATGGATAGATAGACAGATGGGTACACACCCTAATATTTATTAAGGAATGAAGGGAGAAAGTAAAATATAATTTCCAAATTTACAAAATATTTTTTAAAAACTGAGACAAAACATTAACTCTATAACTATCATTTTTCTTCCTAAAATAATTTTATTTGTAATTGACTCTGAATAGGGAATAGATCACACAGTCCGAATGCTGAAAGTAAGGGAAATATAGAAATTGTATTTAAGCCAGGGCATCTGCCATTTAAGAAAGCCATGAGTAAGGAAGCACTGTAGCTTTGGAATCCACAGGTAAAACCTTTTCTTGGATTATTTAAGAACAACCTCTTTTCCCCTCTGCACTCTTGGGAGGATAGGGTATATTTCTGTAGCATTTCTATAGGGATGGTAATTAGTATAGCTGAGAAATGCCATCAACAGCAAAAGTAAAATTAGCCTTTACTTGTAAAATTTTCTCCTGGGGAAATGCTGGTAGCTCCTGTCTCCACCAAGCATGGTAATGGGCTTGCTGTGTCATCCCATTGCAAGCAAATCACCCCATCAGCAGCGCTTGAATAGAACCACCAGCACAACAAATAGGACAGCCAACACAAATACTTTTGCCTGCTTCAACTACATCTGCCTCACCCTGGCCCCATGCCCTCATCAAATCGCACTCATGAGTCATAACAGCATTGACTTTCTTTTGTCACCAAAGCACTCTTAATTTTCCTGAAAATTTTTGAGTGGCTTGGAGCCATGACACGTTTTAACCAAGTTGAGCCTTGGAAACAATTGTATTCAGTATGATGATGCAGCAGGGGAAACTGAGGTCCAGGGAAAAGACGTGATTTGGCCAACATCACATCTAATTTGGCATCAAAGCCAAGTCTAACTTAATTCCTAGTAGGGGCTTTCTCTTTTTGATGTACCAAGCAGTCTTTTTAGGTTAAAATTTACTTCTACTCCACACCTACTAATGTCTCTTTATCTGGACCTTCTCTGACCACCTCCTCCTGAGGTTTGAAGAATAGAAATCTCACCTCCTGCCCAAAGCTGATCTGTCTCCCTACTCTTCCAGGCTTGGTTCCATGAAAAACCCCTCTTCATACTGGCCCATTCCCTACAAGTTAAAAATATGGTCAACTATGTCACACAAAGAAGGCAGGGAGAGATTCCCCAAACTATGCATCTTGTTCAGTTACCACCCTTCAAAGCTAACCTCCTTGTGAGAAGAGTATAAAAAGCAACATTAACACTTCCAAGCCACTGCAGCCCCAAATCCACCCTAACCATGCCATGATGATGTTCTGGCAGAGACCACAAGAACGCAAATTCCACCAAACCCACCTCCCTACTCAACAACACCACTTGGATAAATGACGCTTTGCCAACAACAAAACATGATTAAAAAAAAAAAAAAAAAAAAAACTCCTGATCTCTCTCTCTAAACTGAAACTGTTTTACCCTTGGTCTTCCCCAGTGGCTCAAGACTCCTTTTAGTACACCCACAAGAATGAAAGCTCCATACAGGCAGGAAGTTTTTTTCTATTACTCTAACCTCTGCACCTAGCTCAGCACATGGTTCCATGTTTATTGACTTAATCCATTTCAGTCATTCAGTCATCATATTGTTTGACCTTCTGGGGTGGCACCAGTGACCTTGCCAGTAGAAAGTAGGTAGACATATCTAAAGGCCGGTGCAGAGATCTAAGTTAGAGAACTTGACTGGGGGGATCATTTCTTTGGTACAAACTATTGAAGTGTCATTATAAGAGTCTTAGCTGGCCAGATATTATGCAGCAGATGGATTCTGTAGACTGAGATGAGCAAAATAGGCCAAAGTTTATAAAAACCAATCAATCAAACATCTCCTCTGAGTCCTATGTTTCTAGCTGGTTGGATTAATATATATAGCTTGCTAGATCTGGAAACCATGTGATCTTTCTTTGGGCAACATAAGCGTCTGCCTTTTCTGAGGATTCAGATAATAGTGTTTACTGGGAAATCACCCTCATCTTTTTTTCTATTACTCCCTACAATGATAGTGAATTTATCGTTTCCATCTCATGCCGTGGGACATATTTCAATGTAGCATACCAGAAAAATGTAATGTGAGTCTTTCCTTTTTTTTTATTTTTTGCACAAGAAAAGCCTAGCTGTGGCTCAGAATTGTCCAGGGCAGCCATCTGAAAATTAACACAAACTGGCTTGGATCCAGTTATGGGAGTCAATACCTATGTCAAGAAAACTCTCCTAGCCATTCCTAAGCAGCTCATCTGAACTTGGTTTCAAGAGTAGGGTATTCTAATTCCACTGACTCTATAAAGGGTAAAGAACAATAGGATAACTTAAACTATTACCACATCTATTTTACAGGTAAGGAAACAAGTGCAGAGAGATAAAGTTAACCAAATTCTCACAGCTAGAAAGGAACCTAGGTAATCCATCTCCAAAGCTGGTGCTCTCGACCACCATCATAGAAAACAAAGCAGGAACCCAGAGGCAGGCTCCACTAACACCATGTTGCCAGTTCTGCTCACAGAAACTCTTTGAACAGGCAGCATATCAGATGCAAAGGCAAAAACTAGGGCTACTAGGATTACAATGTAAGCATCATGTAGTAATGTCACTACATGTCCTACAATGAGGGTAGGAAACATCTGATAAGTGTTAAGTAGGGTTCAAGATTAGCACCAAGTTGAGACTATCCCATTTAGGTTCATCAGAAGTACTGAAATAAGATTTGGAAAGGGGCCGGGGCAGTGGCTCATGTCTGTAATCCCAGTCCTTTGGAAGGCCAAGGCAGGAGGATCATTTGAGGCCAGGAGTTCAAGACCAGCCTGGCCAACATAGCGAGACCCTGTCTCTACAAAAAAAAATTGTTTAATAAAAATATTAGGTGAGCATGTTGGTACATGCCTGTAGTCCTGGCTACTCAGGAGGATGAGGAAGGAGGATTGCTTGAGCCCTGGAGATCAAGGATGCAGTAAGCTATGATTGCCACTGCACCCCAGCCTGGGTGATGGAGCGAGATCCTGTCTCAAAAAAAAAAAAAAAAAAAGGATTCGGAAAGGGGATGACTTCCTTTTACATGGGCTTCAAAGTTGTTTAATTCAGAGTCCTCACCTGTCCTAAGATCCTCTTGTGTACACAGAGCTACTCACTCCATACTACAGTCAATCCTGACACTGGAGACTGACTTTGGAGTTAGTCTGCCTGGGTTCAACCCTAGCTTTGCCACTTGCTAAATGTAACTTTTTGACAAGTGACCTCTCCTCTGAGGCTTGCTTTGCTCACATAAAAATAAATACATATAATAATAACAGTACCTACTTCATAGGGTCATTATGTGGATTAAATGAGATACCATATATGTGGCCTTTGGCTTTATTTCATTTAGGGAAGTACTTTACAAACCACACTGATTGTTTATTATTCTTACTTACCAGGGGAACATATTGTAGTTAGGTGGGTACACTAAATGGGAAAGTGAAGTGATTCACAGACTTTACATGCTGGCCTGAGAAAGGCAGGGGCTCAGGCCTTCCCCAACTCCCCCATCCCAAACACTTCCAGAAGCCCTACACTGGCTGGATGTTAGGAGGATACTGTGCCCACTCTTAGACTCTGGCTAGGCTTCTACAGAAGACAGAGAGAGGTCACATCAATGGCTCTTCCAGAAAGGTAAATAAACTAGGCAAGAAGCTTTCTTCCCTAGACCAAACTTCATGCTCAGGTCAAGTTCCAAGGTAGAGTCAACTACCCATAACCAACAAGATATATCACTGCTTCATTCCTTATTCACAGTCTACATAGAAAAAGGAAATGAACCTCTAAGGATTTTCACAAGATGGTAATGGGACAGAAAGTGCACTTTACACTTCT
Source organism: Homo sapiens (assembly GCF_000001405.40). NCBI lineage: Eukaryota > Metazoa > Chordata > Mammalia > Primates > Hominidae > Homo > Homo sapiens. The sequence continues at coordinate 56,419,139 of NC_000003.12, forward strand.
TTAGTGTCTTCTTCAGCCCTTGGCATATAACTGGGAACATGATAGGTACGTAATTAACCCTCACTTGATAATTCAACAAAATCATTCGTTCCTTGCTCTTATCACAAATGCCTACAGCATAACTGCATTTGTAGTATGAGATTTGAGTTACAATTACAAATAAGTGATATAGAATTGCCAGAGGTAAACTTGGAATTTTCGTACCCAGAGACAAGCATAATGAATGGAAAGTCCTTAATGAAAATATTTAAAGATGTGCTTTTACTATGTGACACCTAATGCTATGCAAACTCTTTCAAGGTAACTTATTCCTGAAGGTAGACTAAAATCCACCACCTCCAGTATATTGTATCTGAATACACTTAGTGAATGCAGTACAGTCCATCAGCAAGTTTCCATCTTACCAATGTACATACCCTTTATCACCAAAATCCTGGCACATGCCCCCTATTTCTCAGCACAAACTGAATAGCAGTGAAATGAAGACATGTCTCATATTACCAAAAGCTCATTCATTTCACTAATCACTGGGAACTATTTACTCCCAACACATGTGCAATATTTTATGAAGTGGTAATATCTAGACAGAGGATCTTGATCTAAATATCCTGAGATGCCCTTCGAGTTTGCAGTAGGGATGAGGAAGTGAAATTTGTGCACAATCCAGATTATGCACACCTTTCTAGGGAAAATTATGACATTTTCATCAGCTCTCAAAGTGTACATGGCTTCCCAAAGGTAAAAACCCCGAAGAGAAATTTAAAATTTTTGAGAAGGCAATTTTATTTATTATTTGGTACATTTCTAAATTTAAGCAAGTTCTAAATCTGGCCATCATGTGCACTGTCCAACTCTCCATCTCATAGGCTTATTGATTTCTATTGGTCTTAGGATTCCTTGGAAACTTTTATATTATTTCACATGGATATTTTAGAAAGATTTTCCAAGGGATGAATCGGTGAGTTTTAATTTCTTTCCATTCCTTCTCAGATAATATGTACTCACGAGCCAATCGTTTTTAGAACTTAAGTGGTTATACTTTTTTTTTTTTTTTTTTTTTTTTGGAGACAGAGTATTACTCTGTCACTCAGGCTGGAGTGCAGTAGAATGAACACAGCTCACTGCAGGCATGACCTCCTAGGTTCAAGTGATCCTCCCACCTCAGCCTCACAAGTAGCTGGGACCACAGGCACACACCACCATACCTGGCTAATTTTTTAGTAAAGACAGGATCTTGCCATGTTGCCCAGGCTGGTCTCAAATTCCTGGGCTCAAGTGATCCTCCCACTTCTGTCTCACAAAGTGCTAGGATTACAGGCATAAGCCACCATGCCTGGCCCAATTATACTTACAACGAAAACCATCAAATTATTACTTACTTCTAAAAGTTTACAGATCCTAATTAGTATCATTTTCCCATCCACTTTGGAGACCAAAGTCTCCAATGAAACTAAGGGAATTTGGGGGCCGGGTGTGGTGGCTCACTCCTGTAATCCCAGCACTTTGGGAGGCCAAGACAGGCAGATCACGAGGTCAGGAGATCGAGACCAACCTGGCTAACACGGTGAAACCCCGTCTCTACTAAAAATACAAAAAAAAAAAAAAATTATCTGGGTGTGGTGGTGGGTGCCTGTAGTCCTGGCTACTCGGGAGGCTGATGCAGGAGGAGAATGGCATGAACCCAGGAGGCAGAGTTTGCAGTGAGCTGAGATCGCCCCACCGCACTCCAGCCTGGGCGACAGAGCAAGACTCCGTCTCAAAAAAAAAAAAAGAAAGAAAGAAAGAAAGAAACTAAGGGATTTTATAGAAAGTGGAGACTGTTTTAATTCCATCAAGGATGCACTCTGATAGTATATAAAAGCGCCATGTGGGTCCACTATGGTAAAATAACATGAATTGATCCTGGTGTTGGTCAATATAACTTCCAGAATTTCTCTAGGGGGCACAATGTAGGTAGGGAGTGAAGAGGTGAGTGTGGAGGTTAGAGATTCCAGGAGGCTACTGAAGTTGTTATTGAAATGGCTAGTTATAGACAGAAGTTAACTAGTTATAGACAGAGGTTAACAGAAGCTAACTATTCAGACTATAAAAGTCTTCTGGATTCGTCTTGGTCCTCCTAATACTAGAACTAAGGCAAGCTTCTAACTATGTGTTGCACAAGCATATTTCCCAGCAATGGCTGTCCTTTCCTCCTCACCACCTTACCCACACACTCCCTTGCTAGAGAATCTACTCATCATGCCCCTTTCTCAGAAAGACCTTTTCCATAGCTCTGCTGAGGGGGCGTGGATGTGTGACTCATTCCCTTGGCCACAGCTGACTGGACCTAGAAGAGACTAGACCCAAGCTAGGTCAATTGGATTATTGGTTCTCTGAATTTGAAGTCGCAACAGCGCAACTCTAGGCTGTCCCTGGTGAGCACTTGAATGAAGAAGATACACATGCTTTCCTTGAGTGCCGCTTTTTCATAAGAGATATATAAAAATAGATATTAAGAGAGAAAATAAGAGTGATAGAGATGTGTATGTGTGTATAGGAGAGACAGAGCAGAGACAGAGATGGAGACTGGCTTTGTTGATATTCCTCATCATCTTCCAACTGACCCCGATTCCCGCTCCATGTGACACCTGGCTGCCCTACTTACCCTTAATGTCTAGTAGGTATCATTATGTGCTCCCAGTAAATCCCTCCTCCCCACTTTTTTTTTCTTAAACTTGAATGGGTTTCTGCTACTTGCAACCATATTCTCCCTTAAATGAGGGAGAGTGGATAACTTAGTAAATAAATGGTCTGGATTCTCAAAAAGAACAAAAAAGATATTTCACAGGGGAAAGTTGCTGGCAGAGGCAGAAATCAGGAAGGCTGGGACCCAAGAGAGGAAGATCTGATTTTGAGACACAAGATGTGGAACAAAAGACAAAGCCTGCATAGTGTATCACCCCAGTGAGGTCAGAAACCAACTGAGGAGGAAGCTGAGAGGTGCCTGTTGAAGGCCCCCTGGACTAGGAGGCCAGCGAGGTACTCTGAAATTCCTGAAGATAGAGGCAAGGACAGGAGGAATTCTAAATGATTAATGAGACCATCCTCATTGAAGTCCAATAACCCAAAGTAAAGAGCTGCCCTGTCCCTGAAACTCTGCTCTTGTAGATTCAGGGAATTTGTCAAAGTCACAACCACCTGAAAGGGTCTGCCAGGCCTTTAATGAGCATCCTGAGAGATAATCTCCCTCATTCCTTTGCCACCTGTGGTTTTAATTTTCCAGCCAGTCCTGGAGTTGCTTCCTCCCATCCTTCTGGATGGGTTTCCAAGACAGGAGTGTTCCTTTGGCATTCTCCTCTGCTCATTTACTTGACAAGAATGTGTTTGCTACCTCCTGCTGGCCCTCCCTCCTCGCCTGTTCCTTGCTTCCTTCTTCGTTCTTGCTCTCTGTCCTTTCTGTATACCTCTTTGACAGCATGCTGAAGATGCTGTCAGGCAACACATTGCTTACTCCACTCTATCTTAGAGCTTCCATTTCAGCCCCAGATTCCTTGGTTTTCAAGCAAGTTTGATGTTTTTCCCTTCAAGACAGTGGAAAGAGCACAATTTTAGAGCTAAGCATACCTGAGATCAAATCGCAGCTCTATTGGTGAGGCCTCAGGCAAGTCACTCAATTTCTCTGTGACCTGTTTCTCTTGCATAAAATAGAGATGCCATGTGTCTTGCAGGGCTGTTGAGCTCACACATGGAAAGAAACTAGCAAATTCTTGGCACATAGAAGGTGCTCAAAAATGCTTACTTCCCCTCCCCTTTTGTCAGACATGGACGAAAACCACCATAAAGTCAGTGAAAGTGTAAAGAAATTATAGTTTTATAAAATAGGTTTATTTCCTTTATGAGTTGTCCATTTCCTTACAAGATTGACACCTATTTACCAAATGTCTACTTCTAAAAGAATTCAAGATATTTGAAGATTCATGATTACCAATCCATAATTGGAAGAATACATTTTTAAAAAGACATCATTGACAATTCATTCTTTCCCACACAATGATGAATCATGTTTTAGTTTTTATATCATCATTTTTACAAAAATACATGCATTTTGATCATCAGTTCACAAAGTGAAAGTAAAGCACTGAGTGAAGGCAAAGCATGATATGCAAAATGAAGTTATAGTAATCATCTAGTTAACTCAGTTTCTCAACCTTGTATCTACTGGCATTCTGAGCTAGACAACGTCAGGGGCTGTCCCGTGCACTGTAGCATGTTTAGCAGCACCCCTGCTCTCTACTCACTAAATGCCAGTAGCTACCATCCCCCAAGTTGTAACAGTCAAAAATGTCTTCAGACACTGCCAAATGTCCCCTGGAGAAAAAACTGCCCACAGTTGAGAACTACCAAGTTAACTTTATCAACGTATGGAGACAAACGAGACAGCTCACGCCCAGCCATGGGTTTGTAAGATGAAAAGTAGCTGCCTCAGTCTTTACTTCTCACCAGATCTTTCCTACTGAAAAACAAAATGGCTACACGTTGCTTCCAAGGCACAATCAAGCACTGGCTTCACAGAGAAACAGAAGAAATTGCACGTGCCAGAATTCGGTTGTTAGACTGCCCCAGCTCTTGGCTGCACTCCCACGCTCTACCTAAAAACCTACTTCCCAAACTTTTGAAATGCTTTCCACAGCTTTCAGAACCTGACCTTTACAACAGCTTTATCTGTGTGTCTGTGAAATAGATTTACAATTTTCTATGTTCCTGCGAGGCCAAACCACTTATTGAGTCCAAATGCCAACTGGGGGTGGTGGGAATTTGCACACAGATGTCAATGGACTCCGAAACAACAACACAAGAGCTCCACCTGCAACTAATTATAGAAACTGAAATTGTGTTCTGGCCAGAATAGGCCACATTCAGAACCCACCCCATCTGCTTTGGCCTGTAAAATCACTCTGTTACTTTTCTGCTGTCAACATAGACTTGACTCTTAAAATTCTCTGAGGATGCTGTCGATAGCGAACAACAGTGAATATTTTGGGGGTGAATGTTTTGGGAGTGACCACTCCTCCTGCCTTTCCCTCTTGGAGCTTGGTTTCAATAAGTACCCTTGGCGCAAGTGAGACTAAAATAATCTATTCATTGAAATACCCTGATTTTTTTTTTTTGGTGGCTTATGTGCTGCTGCAATCCCGTCACCCAAATAAAGTGATCCAGAGAGAAAAATGGAAGATGGAAATCATTTAGGTCTCCCAAGGTCCAGCACACAAGAATGTTTATTTCCCTACCATTAGCCAAGTCTTTCAGAAGAAAACCTGGGAATAAAAATCTGTAAGGCCACTAATGTGGTACACATGGCTGATTCTAGGGCCGACTGCAAGAGATTACTGAGGCCAAAACCAGCTGACATCTGTGACAAAGATGTATAGTTCACTTCAAATCATTATCCTACCTTCTAGCAAACAAAGAAACCAGCTCTTGGCTCTGTGCCATCTCATCTATCTTCAAAACCAAAAGAAGTTTTCACTCATCTCTGAAAGGCATTTAAAATTGTAGTTTCCATCTAAGTAGGTCATCATCTAAGTCTGGACCAAAATTTTTCCAGCTCTCTGGAAAAGTAGACAAAAGCTACAGTTCTCTGAAGAGCTAAGGAAGACTGTTTCAAGATGAGAAGATGGACTCATTTTTTTGTCCTTCTGAGATTCAGCATTCCAAGGTATGTTGTGGTGCTAAACTATATTATCCAGTTCTAAATACGTGTGTTTATGTAACATTGGGGAAAACACACACAAGCACTCACACTTCAACTCGGAATTAAAATGAAACACCTTACACACAGACGCAACATATGATTGACTTCTTAAGTTCTCAGGCCCCACTATGACTGATAAGCCCTTAAAACATTTGGAGAGCAGAGGTGAGTAAGGACAGCTCAAGTCAAGGCAATTGACATCTGTTTTTGTCTTGGAGCATCTGGTCGCCCTTCATCCCACTTCCTTTAGAGAACTGCTCCTCTCTCAACACCTGCAGTTCTAATAGGGTCACCAATCACAGAAACCTCTTCTCACATAACTGCCCCAACCATCTCCCCACAAAACACACACACACATACACACTCACCAAGTCCTGGAGGGAGGATATGACCAAAGCAGGAACAGAGTCCCTCCATGAACTTTCCAAGTAGGAAGTGAAGATGTAAGGCTCTCTTGACCTTTCAATTGTGACCCTAGGGTACTGGCAACCAAGACCGCCCACCACACAGAGGAAAAAATGAGGGTCACACATAGACAGAGGCAGACATTGAGAACCAGAGATGAAGCAATGGTGAGAGACAAAGTCCTGCTACAGTTTAAGGCCCTGGATGCAGTAACCCCAAACTCCACACTTGATCCTTTCTGCAATTTTGTTACAAGAACTAACCAACTCCACCCCGACCCTTTTTCTTTTTTTTTTTTTTTTTTTTGGCTTATGCAGGCTTTGAGCAGCATTTGTGTCACTACTTTGGAGTCTTGCCCAAATTAATTAGTAAGGAAGTTTCTTCATTTGAATGTGTAAGGTCCTTTAAGATTTCATTGAACCTCCCTGAAACATGCCATGGCTTGTTGGGGTGGGGGGAGGTTATCAGGACTGGCAATTACTATGAATAACAGTTATCAATTAACGGTTTCTGATGTTTTATCAATTGGTGAGCTGCAAGTAATAGAATGACCAAACAACAGTGACTTAGACAACTCTGGGTTTATTTTCTCACATGACTAGACATCTAGAGGCAGGTCATTGCTGCTGTTGGTGCAATTTCTCAGAGATGGCAGCTCACACGTCTCTGGACTTGTCTATTGCTTTCTTTCTTTGGCCTTTCTTTCATGGTTATAATGTGGCTGACACAGCTCCACCCATCACATCAACCGTCAAGACAGAAAGAATTTGGGAAGGAGAACTGCTGGTGATATTTGTTCCTTTATCAGGAAAGAAAAAGATTTCCTAGAATCTCCCAGATTTCCACTTGGGTTTCATTGGCCAGATACTTGAGGAAGAGGAGGAGGAGCCTGAAGCTGAGCCAGGATTTCTCAGACTTATACTAGTGGAAAGAAGGGAGCCTGAGAGAAGGTAAGGGATAAGACAGGTCTGAGAAGTGAGTACATCTGAGTCGCTGGCACCATCAGGACACTTTGGAAGGCCCAGACGTGGAAGGAACCACATAGAAAGTGCTCATCCACCTTCACAGATCTCCTTTAAGGTCTCACTTCGAGATGCTCCTGAAGCAGAGCAGCCTTTCCCAAAGTGTGGCCTTATACCCTTATTTCTAGGAATATTTATAATTTGTAACAGATGGGACTGTTGTTAAACATATGTATGTATATTCATTCCACTCCCCCTCTGCCTTGGCAGGGAGTAAATTTCCTCTACATGACTGACTTTGGGCTTGGTTACATCACATGCTTTAGCCAACAGAATGTTGGTGAAAATGATGAAAGCCAAGGCTTTAACCATGTTTGTGGGGTTTAGTTGTACATTTGGCATCTGTGATCCACCATGAGAAGATGAAGCCCTGAATAGCTGCTGTTCTGAGGAGAAGGTGGAGACATGGAACGTACCTAAACCCAACCTCCAGTTTAACCCAACTAAGTTGTAGCCAACCTGCAGATATGTGAGGGAGAGAGATAAACGCTTGTCTTTTTAAGCCATAGGTTTTGAGATGGCTTGTTACACAGCATTATTGCAGCAGTAGCTGCCTAATACGTAGGTGCTTAGTTTAAGTTTTGGCAGAGCGCAGTGGCTCACCCCTGTAATCCTAGCACTTTGGGAGGCTGAGGCAGGTGGATTGCTTGAGCCCAGGAGTTCAAGACCAGCTTGGGAAACATGGCAAAACCTCATCTCTAAAAAAAAAAAAAAAAAAAAAAAAATTAGCTGGATGTGGTGGTGTGGTCCCAGTACTGGGGGGTTGAGGCAGGAGGATCACTTAACCCCAGGGAGGTAAAGGTTGCAGTGAGCTGTGATCATGCCACTGCACTCCAGCCTGGGTCACACAGTGAGATCCTGTCTCAGAAAAAAAAAAAAAGAAAGTTTCACAGTGGAGTAAGATTAGAAAATTGGTGAGTTAAGCAACTTTAATACATATTTTTGTTTTTCAGGGATTTTTTGTTTGGTTGGTTGGTTGGTTGGTTAGTTGGTTGATTGGTTGGTTGGTTTTGTAGAGGCAGGGTCTTGCTATAGCCCCAGCTGGTCTCAAACTCCTGGACTCAAGCAATCCTCCTGCCTTGGCCTCCCAAAGTATTGGGATTACAGGCTTGAGCCACTGCACCCAGCCTAGTAAACATTTTTAACTGAAAGAGAGCATTTCATGTGGTGATATGTTGTAGTAGTCTGCTTATGTTGTGGGTCGAATTGTGTATCCCTACCCTCAAAAAAATACCAGTACCTCAGAATGTAACCTTCTCTGGAGATAGGGTCTTTACAGAGATCATAAATGAAGTCATTAGGGTAGACTCTAATCCAATATGATTGGTGTCCTTATGAAAAGGAGAAATTTGGATGCAGACACAGCCACCCACAGAGGGCAGATTATGTGAGGACACACAGGGAGAAGATGATCAAGCACTAGCCAAGGAGAGAGGCCTGGAACAGACCCTTCCCTCACAGCCCTCAGAAGGAAGCAACCTGCTGACACCTTGATCTTGGATTTCTTCCCTCCAGAACTCTGAGACAGTAAATGTCTGCTGTTCACATCACTCAGACTCCAACATATCTTTTTGTGGGGGATATACAATTCAACCCCCACAAAACGTATGCATTATGAATTTCCAGGATAAGCATATCCAATATGTTGGGTGTTACCATGGACTGACCAGAAAATCCGTTTTGAAAAGTGTTATCTCCCTGCACACACTTTGGAAATACTGGCTTTGAAGGATCCATGGTTTCTTAGACTTATAGTGGTAGAAAAAAAGGAGCCTGGAAGAAGGTAAGTCTGAGGAGTGAGTACATCTGAGTTCCACCCACAAACCTGATGAAATTCTATCACTCACTTCCAATTGGCACAACTCATCATATCTGGACACTCACAATGAAGTTAGTATTTTAATAGAACATAGTTGAATGACCCTGTTGAAATGGCCCTGCAGGCTGGGGGCGGTGGCTCACGCCTGTAATCCCAGGACTTTTGGAGGCTGAGGCGGGCGGATCACCTGAGGTCAGGAGTTCATGACCAGCCTGGCCAACATGGTGAAATCACATCTCTACTAAAAATACAAAAATCAGCCGCGCGTGCTGGTACACACCTGTAGTCCCAGCTACTCGGGAGGCTGAGGCAGGAGGATTCCCTGAACCCAGGAGGTAGAGGTTGCAGTGAACCGAGATTACACCACTGCACTCCAGCCTGGGCAGCAGAGTGAGACTCAGTCTCAAAAAAAGAAAGAAGGCAGAAAGGAAGGAAGGAAGGGAGGGAGGGAGGGAGGGGAGAAAAGAATTATTTGCAGTTATACAAATAAAACAAAGCAGTAATAATAAAGGAAACACAGAAATGTGATCCATCTCGATCTTTTCAAATTTCATGTTCAAAATAAGAATCAATAAATCCTATGTTGAAACTGGATCAAAAACTCATATTAATATTGATTTAGAGTAGATTCTTTCCTAATGTGTTAAGCCAAAAATAGAAATGATCACATAACCATTGTTTAAAAGCTGTAACATTCCCCAGACAGGTTTACTTACACTTCTTGGGTTACGTTTCCCAATGACCTTGTCCCACTTCTGCACACGCAAGATGGGTAAATATTAGATCTAGTACAATCTCCGAGTGTGTGGTGCTATTTATATTCATGCAGAGCCTTGGCTAGCCATGCACAACCTAGGAAAATGTCTAAAAATTGCTTTATGTGTACCTAATTTGGAAGAAATCCGTTAGAAATACAACGTTAACAATTGCACAAAATACCGAGGAATATGAAAAGTCAGTAACTCTTATGTACCAAACTACAACACAGAAGTTTTTATAAACCTTAAAAAGATGTATTCACTCCTATGTTTCCTCTCTTTGATCTCCGTAACACAATAGAATAAAGATATAAAGAAAAGATAAACCTATATTCTTTTAGAGAAAATAGGTTCACTTTACTTCCCAACAGTTGTATCCACCCTCTCATCAGCCCTGCCCCCCATAACACCTATCCCAACAGCACAGGCCACTAAAAATAATAAGGGGCTACCTCGCGTAACAGTGTAGTATGGCAGCAGAACATCCTTTCTCAATACTTTCTCCTCATCCCTCCCCCAACTGTTCTACAGGTGTGACATTGAGAGCATGGGCTATGGGTTCATGGCATTCCAAAGAATCAGCTGTCCATAATCCCTTGCCCCACTCTCCTCCAATTTAAGAAAATATATCATGAAGCAAAAGCACAAGTGACAGCACCAAGATAACACTGCATCTGTGCACCCTGGTTTATACACCAAGATAACACTGCATCCGTGCACTCTGGTTTATACAAACAAGCACATGATTCTAAATTTCAGTGCTGCAACTCTTAGTAGTAGAGCAAATGTATTTATATTCATGTAGAGCCGCGTGGCTGAGAAGTAGGGCCTTGGAGGGAACTGGGTGGAGGAGAAGTGGGAATGGAGGAAGGGGTGGCATATCCATCCAAGAAACTGAGTGTCAACCCTTTGCACATAAGAAATTTGGTCACGGCCACCTACTCATTAGCTCCAAGGTTCCAAATAGTCCTGCACTCCCTGTAACACAGAGAGGGAGTTCAGCATCCTCCCTTAGATCTGGAGTTGGGTTCAGCTCCCTTAGACAGAACCATGAGGACTTCAAAATCTACTGCCAAGAAACTGATGAGCAGGAGCCCTCGACAACGCTGCATATAAGAAGGAAAGGGCTGGGTTAGTTAGCATTATATTTATAAAACTATGAACTTCCTATACAAGAGCATTTCAATCTCCTTACCTCTACCCTGTAATGGACCTGCTTCCAATTTCTCTTCACACAGAACAGTTCAAATTGTTTTAGATCATTAGAACTTAGGTTAGTGAAATTCTAAATATCTAAATACCCCTGAAAGAATTACCTTGATAGATGCAATCTCTGATTATTGTGGATAAGAAACCACAATCAAATGTCCCTTATCCCTTTTGTATTTCTTTCTTCCATATAGAAAAAGTTTCCATGATTTTTCCTTTAAAAGGAAATTAAGTTATGGTAAATGGTGAAAACCCTAAACAGCACAAAAACCATCTCTAGGAAAAAGAAATAAATTCCTAGTTAAGAATACAAATTCTGGCCAGGTACAGTGGCTCACGCCTGTAATCATGCCACTCCAAAGAGTTAGATGTCCATAATCCCTTGCCCCACTGTCCTCCATTTTAAGAAAACACATCATGAGGCAAAAGCACAAGTGACAGTACCAAGATAACACTGCACTTTGGGAGGCTGAGGTGGGAGGATCACTTGAGCCTAGGAGTTCAAGACCAGCCTGGGCAATATAGGGAGACTCCATCTCTACAAAAAAGTACAAAAATTAGCCAGACATGGTGACACACACCTGTAGTCCCAGCTACTAGGGAGGCTGAGGTGGGAGGAGCGATTGAGCCCAGGAGGTCAAGGCTGCAGTGAGCCAGTATCGCACCACTGCACTCCAGCCTAGGTGACAGAGTGAAACCCTGTCTCAAAATAATAACAATAATGATAATAAATCACATTCTTAATCATCTTATCAAAACTAGTCATTTTTTCATCTAGCATGTATGAAGTAGGATCTTCCTATAATACTAAATCACAGCTCAGTGATCTTTTAAGGAGGTAGTGATCATAAAGTTAAGATCTTAGACTTTGGCATGAAATAGACCAATGCCTTAAGACCTAGCTATGCTGCTTACCAACTGTGTGAACTTGGATAAGTTGCTTATTCTCTCTACATTTATGCTTCATCTGTAAAATAAGAAAAGTTCTAGCACCTACCTCAGATGACTGATGAAATCACTAAATAAGATAATGTACACAAAGCACTAAGCACAATGCCTAGCACACAGTTGGCCCTCAACAAATGTCTACTGGTAGCACTAGCAGTATAATAGAAACAACAGCAATAGCAGAAGATTGCTCCCCAAACTTTATTTCACCTAGCTCCATTTTTGGAAAAACATAAAAACCCCACTGGTAGTAATCCACCATATATGTGTCTCTCCTCCCTTTCCTGGACAGAAGAGAGGACTCCACCTCACACTCCCTTCAATTATGTCACTTTCAGTTCAAGGAATTAAAGAACCAATGTGCCATCTCCAGTCACTCTCCTCCCCTGCTGTGGCAACGTTTGAAGCCATGCATCAGGATGCAGAAATCCTGGATCCTGAGTCACTGCATGGAAAAGACCCGTCCCACAGAGTCACCTGACCTGCTTCTTACTTTAAGCAAATTAGAAATAAATCTCAAATATGTTAATCCACTGAGATTTGAAGTTTGTTAGTTACTGCAGCAAAACTTACCCTATCCTGACCAACAGGTACTCCTATACTTCTAAAAGGGATCCTAATATACTTCCAAAAAGAGAAGACAGTTTTTTTAATAGCTTGTTTTTTGTCAATCTTTATATTTTTTACTTTGTAAGACATCATATTGCAAGTAAATTGACTTTTCAAAATCTCTGCGCTTCTTCCTCATTTTACACTTTTTAATCTAAAAGAGAAAATTGCATTTTACTTGTATTAAATATACAGATTAATACTAGAGCTTTCACTGAGTCATATGTCACACAGTCACATTTCACCTATGATACCAAGGTATCCTGTGATCACAGTAAGACCAGAACAAGGAAGGGATAATGGAAGTGCCCTCAAGCATTCACACACTCCTGGCTTATGGCAACCTGAGACGGTTAAGTGGAATTATGGATATCACCTATTCTAAACTGAACTAACCCTCATGAAATGGACAAATGGTTCGAAATGTTTTTAATAAAAGTGGAAAAGGTTTTATATGTCACTAAAATGTATCTCAATGTATTATTTTGCTCTATCTCATCCACATTTAATTCTTCGTGGATGTCATAAAAGACACATAATACACTGGCAGTGTAATGCATCCTGTAATTTATAAATAAATATACATGTATAATTGGGGTCTGTGCTCAAAGATAAACTTAATGAAAGAAGCATGAGATAAGTCACTTTGGAGCTAACAGTTTAAAGAAGAGCTTTCAAACTTTTTGTCCCTGCTTGCACCATTCCTAAACTGCTTTAACCATTTTCCAAAAAATTAAAATGAAGAGAAAACCAGTATAAAACTGGGGGGAAATGTGCATTGTACAAACAGGTTCATAAAGACTTCATGAACCAGCAAAATCAGAAAGAAGCAGAAATGATACCGAAGAGCATCATTTTAGAGTGAAGAACAAACCTTTCGGTTCCAACTACAAAATCACATTTCTACGTCTGAAAACTAGCTTTGGCTCTGTTAGATAATCAAAAGGATAAGGTGATTGTTTTCTACACATAGAATGAAAACAAAAGGCAGATTTTCCTATAGATCACAAATGCTTCTACAGGCGCTTAAACTCCAAAGGAGTGGTAGCCAGGGAAACAGTTAGGAGGGTCAGCAGGTGACTCCAAGAAAGGCAGAGCACTTCGTTAGACCAACATCAAAGCCAGTTATTGGAAAATCACTTGTTCAGTCAACTTAGAGTTATCTCAATTTCCTTCAGAAAGTTAAATAATATCTGGGAATTTTTGAGCCACGTGGTATCACATTCCCTATGCCCCAGCTCTTAGCACTTCTATAAGCACCAATTAGAGATGAAGCTGGGGCCAGGTGTGCAATCCTAGAACTTTGGAATTACTCCTTGAAGCCAGGAGTTCAAGACCGGCCTTGGCAAAATAGCAAGACCTTGTCTCTACAAAAAAAAATAATTTTAATCGGCAGGCTGTGGTGATATGTGCCCGTAGTCCCAGCTACTCAGAAAGCTGAGGTGTGGAGGATCATTTGAGCCGGGAAGTCAAGGCTGCAGTGAGCTATGATCAACGTCACTACACTCCAGCCTGAGCAACAGCAAGACCCTGTCTCTTAAAAAAAAAAAAAAAGAGAGAGAGAGAGAGAGAGAGCAAGAGATGAAGCTGGAATTTAAACCCAGGTATGTCTGATTCCAAAGCGCTTATAAAAATAGCAGCATTTTAGGAAATAAAGTAGGCATTAAAAAAGAAAAGAAAAGAAAATAGCAGCATATAAAACAGGCCTCACAGAATAGGTGGGATTTGGAAATGAAGACTGGCTGAGATTTAAAGGGAGGTGGCAGGAAAAGCAGGTGCTGAGAAGGCCACCAGTGGAAGGGAGCAGCAAGAGCAAGGGCATGGCAGTGCAAAACCTTGGGTGTGTGCAGGAATTACCAGGCAGTGGTACAGAAAGCACAGATGTGGAGGGAGGCAGCACAAGATAAGGCTGGAAATGTTGGCCCAGGCCTTCTAGTAGAAGTGCTATGGGCTCAGTCAAGAAGGTAGACTTTATTCTGGAGGCAATGAGTAATCACTGAGGGCTTTAAAGCAGGAAAATAGCATAACTGCAGGTAGACACCAGGAACCTGTTTTTCCTGTGGCATGAAGGATGGATCAAAGAAGAGTATGAAGGTGACTTACATATAGTAGATAGTTAATTAATGCTGAATGGATGAAGGCAAAAACACCAAGTTAAAAATTTATTGTGTATCTCTAACATAACAAACCCATTTGATCCAATTCCATTTCATATTGTTCAATCTGCTACTTAGAGAACAACTTCACTCATTCTAGTGGGAAATAATGGTGCTGGTGCTTCAAAATAAAAATCAATTCACCAGTCAAATGTGGCCCACTAAATGTTGCTCTTAAAGTCTTTATTCTTACAGAAATTAACATTTTCTTCTTCTATTCAGAAGGAGGTACATCTGAACAGCTGTTGCAACTGCTGAAAAAGAAAACAAAATTAACCAAGTACAAAAGTTAGGCAATGACAAGTGATCCTCCCCACCCCACCCCTCTCCCCATCTGCAACCATGTGAAAAGGTTATCGGAAAATAAGGAAATTACAAGCTGTAATGGTATATTTCCTATGCTCTCTCATAGTGTCTAAGTCAAACACATACTAAGCCATAACCTTCTTGATGATGCCAAACTTTCTTCTGCACAGGTCGTGGTACCATCTGCAAAGCATCAACTACTCAGTGAGAAGCCAAGGCTGAAAAATACTGAGATGAGTCATGACCTACCTGATTTTCTTCATGGGAAACCCTCATCTGCTCCTTGAGGACAGACATCCGCGCTGCCTCTTCTTTCCTCAAGACTCTCTCCTTCTTAAGCTCAGGACTCCAGAAAGTCTTAATACTGTTCATGGAAGATCCCAATTTGCTGTCCTTGATGTCTAGCTCTTTCCGGAGGAGGTCATTCTCTCTCTGCAGTTCTTTCAGCTGGGCCTGAAGATCTAACATTGTGCTGTCTCTTACCTGCCTCAACATGGAGGGGACCTGGTGGTGGTGATGATGGGATGAGCCAGTCAGCCCACCATGTTGATCTGTGTATGAAAGGACATCTGTGTGGGAAAGTCCAGCAGAAGCAATATTGGGACTACTCCCCATGGCTGTGACACGGCCTCCATATACAGCTCGATTTGTAGCCCTTCCCAGAGTCATAGTGCCCTTTGGGTAGGTTGTTGAAGCCACCCCTTCATGATCACTCAGATACATGGGTCCAGACGTAGCATAGGCTGCATTGAGGGACTGGATATTCTCCATAGACAGAGTCTTGCCTGTTCCTCCACCTCCCCCACTACTTGTTCTTCGGTGGCCCAAACGAGGAGACCTTGGCAAACGAGGGGATCTGGAAGGGCTACCTTCCAGATTGGTGATTGTTCTTGCACTTCCATACATTTTTCTTGTATTATGAGGTGTTACTGAAGAGAAGAAATGCTATATTAAGTTGGGGTTTGAGCTAATATTTCCACGATTGTCCAGAATTTTCACCGCATTCTTTTCACAGTCCGTACCAGAAAATAACTCCACTCAGAGATCTACAAAGTGAAAAAAAGAATAATTAAAAACAAATTTCTTTAGAACTCTAACTGCATTGTATTTTTAAATATATAAAGATAATGATAGATGTACCTATGTAGATAGGTGATTAATAATAGACAGATAGAAAGAGCCACACCCATAATGTTGATTTATAAAGAAAAGCAACTCTAGAACTTTACTACTACAGGTGAAAGTTTTACAAATTCCCCCCACCCTGCCCCTAAGCAAGATAAAAATTCTCAAAGTGAAAAATAAGCTCTATTCTTTAAGAAAATGAAGCTCTCTATATTGGTTTGTGCTAAGGTTAGAGTTAGAACCTCTAGAAAATTCCCCATGGAATTGCCCATCATGGAGACCTTAGCTATAAAAAGGCCCCTCCTTTGGGGCATAACCCCTATATGCATGTGACTTGAAAGTGACTCTGAGAAGCTGCTGATTCCTGGGATGTCAAATATTTGGCATTCATGTTGTTACCTTCCCCTCCTGTACTCATTACAGACATCACTAATCCATCACAGTCTTCTTTTCCACTAGGTTCAGAATTCTTCTCAACACAACACTCTAGATGGCTTACCACCAATCAACTGGTATTAACACATGAATTCAAACCTACTGGCTATCCTGGAGATAGAAGAAAAAGAGGTAGCTCAACCAATGGGATGCCTAAACACATAGCCAGATCCTCAATGATATTACCAGAGAAAACAACAGTCCTGTCTCTTTTCCCTTTCACACACATCTTTCAGGCTGGCCTCTTGAGAATTATTTCCCATTTTGGTTGACCTTAATATTCATATTAACCACTTCATGTCTGTACAGAAATGGCAAAGGAGAAGAAGTTCCCATCACGGTTACTGAAGTATACTAGTGAAGATTTTATGTAGCTGGGGCTACAGCATTGTGAGTATCCCTTCAATTTTAGCACCCATATGGCCTTAATGGGGCACATTATGGCCTCCTGTTCTTCCTCTTAGAAAGTCTTTACTGTATTTTCTTTTCCTTCAGCTTTACAACAATAAAAGAACAGATTTGAGAAAGGCAAACAGGTTCAAATGTCCATGCTAATACTAACCAGCTGAGTAACCTTAGACAAATTATTTAACTTGTTATGAGCTTCCACTCTGCAATCAACAAAATGCAGGTAGTACCATCTAACTCATAGTATTGTAAGAAATAGTAAGATGAGGTTTATAAAACACCTAGTTTTGTGCCTAGTACCAAATAGTCAATAAATAGATTTTGAAGGTAAGTGTCTCAATGAGATAAGTACATTAATAGCAGTATACATGGGTATCTTTTATTTTCACCTGCCTATCATTCATCCCTTCCCCCTCTCCCAAATACACACTTTCTGATTATACTGTCACTATTTTCCTTAGAGAAATTGTTCCCAACCCCCTACTCACAGTTCACTGGGTTTAGATAAGGTTGACTCCCTTCACTCCACCATCCTGGATGGTGCAAGGGGTGAGAACATGACCCACGCCTGGCCAACCACCATATTGTATCCTCCAGACATGGTAGCTAGTTTAGTGATGGGCATGTGACCCACATTGGTCCAACAAGACTCCATACTAGGACTCTAGTTGGAACAGCTGGGAAAGATAAGCTCTTCTTCAGCTGGAATTCCTTACTTTCAAGATAGAGCTGTGAGTACTTCAATGTGGAAAGGGCCTCCCTGAGGGTGGAGACAATACAAAGGGAACCACAGCTAAACTTCAAAGAGTGTGAAACCAAACCAGGTGACATCACTTCATACTCCAGATCCAGGAATCATAGAAGTTACCATCATCTATCATCTATACATCTGTTCCCTGGCCATTTTAGTTACATATGCCAGGTGACTGATTGCATTAAAGGTCTCAATCCTTTACTCCTTTTTTTATATATGTCTTGGCAGTGTTTTCCCAATGTGATGCTAGGTTCAGTCATGTGACTTTATTTGTCCAGTAAGGTGATAACAAATGTGAAGTAAGCAGACGCCTTAAGCAACACATGTGTTTACTCTCTTGCTCATTTTCCTCTACCATAGTAATTAGAATATTCCCAATCTAGCCTGATGCAAGATGAGAAATATAAAATAGAACCAAGTTGTCCTAGCCAACAGGCAAGCCGCCCCAAGATGTGTGAGCAAGCCCAGCCAAAGTCAGCAGAACTGCCTAGCCAACCAGCCACTGCCCAGCGGGGCATGAGCGAGCCCAGCTGAGATCAGCTAAACACCACACTTATGCACTTGATAAATGCTTCTTAGTATGTCACTGATGTTTTGTGGTGGACTGTTTTGCCACATTACAGGATCAATGGGTAACTGATGCATTTGTCTATAAATTTCCTTTTTGCTACATTCAATTCTAGATGAGATTTCTGTCACAGATAGTGACACATACAGTATGAAAAAATGTTTTCTATAAAGGTTTCCCCTTTCCCTCAAGAGGTCTTAAAAAATTATACACCTGTTTCTAACTAAAGAACTTCATTTCAAATGTTTATGTTGCTCAGGGCTTAATTTTGTTTTTCTTGGAAATACACAAAAACCATTTTGTATCTAAGATTTTTACATGAATAATCTGTAGTGTAAAAAAGAGGGGATCAATAGTTCTAACATAAGAATTCGGTGACATAAATGATAAGAGAGACAGATAATGGAATAGTGGAACAGGCAGTTACATGAATATTTAATAAGACAGAAAGATGTTCATGACATACTGGTGGCAGGGGGAGCAGACGACAAAACAATTTTGTGATTTACTCACACTGTTGTAAAACACACAAATACACATACACCCTTTCACCAGCAAAGAAGGCTGGAATGACACACATCAAAGTGTTACCAGTGGTGGAATTCCAAGAGGTTTTCATTTTCTTCTTTTTATTTGCATACTCTAAATTTTCTACAATTGAAACTGACTCAATTGTCCCATAGAGCTGATGTCAGTGGTTTCTTTGAAAAAACATAGAAATTGACCTCCCAGTTTTAAAACTTGAGAAAGTTGCATTTGTCTTATCTGAGTTCCTTTCTAAGGAAACCAACCATCAGGCCTCCCAGATAGTGTCAAGGAGCTCAAACTCGCCAGATTACTGCATTTGGGCAATGAGATGTCAGACCCTTCATCTGTCATAATTGCCTTGCCCTATCTGCTTCCTTTTAACCAACTCCTCTTCCTTATCCCTCCCTAATTCCTGTTTTTCCACTCATGATTACATTTCTTCCCTGCTATATAAACCCTTACGTTAGTTGGTCAAGGAGATGGATTTGAAACTGATCTCCCATCTCCTCAGCTGCAGCACCTGATTAAAACCTTCTTCTCTGGCAATACTTGTCTCAGTGATTGGCCTTCTGTGCAGCAAGCAGCAGGACCTGGACTGAACCTCTGGTGTTTTGGTAACATAATAATGATATATACTTTTTTCATTAAAAAAATGATTTTCTTTCTATGGTTCCAACAGTTAAATGAATGTATCTTTTCTGTGCTTACAATCTAGATGTCTGGGTTCTAACTGGGCCACCACTTATAGAGATGTCTTCCTAGAAAAAGTGATGAAATCTAACTTGTCTTCCTCTGTCTGCTCCCTTTGTATCTAGAGATACACATTTCTGAGGTCTGTGGCTAGGCTTGAGGTCCCGGAATGTCATAAAATTTACACGCACACAGATTTAATCCTCAGTGAATTTACCTGCCTACCTGGCCAAGGCTTTGGAGAATCCCAATAACCAACAAACAAAGTTAGTTTGTTCCCTTTGGAAACACACACACATATAACATACAACATGAAAAGATGTATTATCATGTTTGAAATATTGTTTCCTTATTTAAAAAGTAATATATGTTGCCACTGGCCCATAGATTTCTTGGGTTCTCCTTTTCTAGGTTTAATAACAGATGTATGCTAGTATCATAGATAGATTGAGAAGCTTTCCATTTTTCATATGTTCTGGAACAGTTAGCATAATACCAGTCTTCCCTATTCCTGAAATATTTTGTAGAACACACACATAAAACTGAATGGGCTTGGCAGGGAATGTTGACTCCTGCTGTAATGCTAGCTACTGAGGAGGCTGAGGCAGGAGGATTGCTTGAGGACAGAAGTTCAAGACCAGTCTGGGCAATATAGCAAGACTCTGTCTCTAAAAAAAATTTTTAAATTAGCCCAGTGTGGTGTCATGTGCCTGCAGTCCCAGCTACTTGGGGAGAGTGAAGCAGGAGGATCACTTGAGCCCAGGAGTTCGAGGCTACAGTGAGCTATAACTGCACCACTGCACTCCAGCCTGGGTGACAGAGGGAGAGACCCAGTCTCTTTAAAAAAGCAAAAAACACAGAATGGGCCTAGTTGTTTATTATCTTTTCACTTTTTCACTATGTTTACTTGTCTATTTGGGTTTGCTACCTATTTTGTGTCAATTATCATTAAAACGTCCCTTCACAAACAGTCTATTCCGTGTAGATTTTCCAGTCTTATTGGCATTGCTTTGTATAACTTTTCTTTAAAATTTTTTAAATGATATAGCTTTTGGTTTTATTAATATATTTTACTGCATCTTATTTTCCATTTCATTGATATCTCTTTATCTTTAATAAAATTTCTACTTCCTTTATGGTTTTTTTTTGCCCTTTTGCATTGAATGTTCATTTCTCTTTAATCACATTTCCTAATGAATGCATATAAGATTATACACATGGCTGCATATTCCAGAATTCTATGTATAAAACTCTTATTGGCATTTGTAAATACCTTGCTGTTTTTATTTTGAAATTTTTCTATCCCAGGAATTATTGAGAATAATATATTTAAATGTCAAAGTGGATAGAAATTTTATGGTAAACTTTCTAGTTCAAATTGTATAGCATTGGGATCATAAAATGTAACATATATATTTTCCAATCTTTGAAATTTGTCAAGACTTTCTAATTGGCTTATTAGTTTTTCTTAATTATTAAACCAACTAATAGATTATTATAGAAAATTTAGAAAATACAAATATGCATAAAGCAGAAAATGAAAACACTCTCAATCCTGTCACTCATAGATAACCTCTATTAACAAGCTAGCATAATACCAGTCTTCCCTATTCCTGAAATGTTTCGTAGAACACACACATAAAACTGAATGCGGCCGGGCGAGGTGGCTCACGCCTGTAATCCCAGCACTTTGGGAGGCCGAGGCGGGTGGATCACGAGGTCAGGAGATCGAGACCATCCTGGCTAACACGGTGAAACCCCATCTCTACTAATAGTAAAGTACAAAAAATTAGCCAGGCGTGGTGGTGGGCGCATGTAGTCCCAGCTACTCGGGAGGCTGAGGCAGGAGAATGGCATGGACCCAGGAGGCGGAGCTTGCAGTGAGCCAAGATCACGCCACTGAACTCCAGCCTGGGCAACAGTGCAAGACTCTGTCTCAAAAAAAAAAAAAAAAAAGAATGGGCTTGGCAGGGCATGTTGACTCCTGCTGTAATCCCAGCTACTCAGGAGGCTGAGGCAGGAGGATTGCTTGAGGACAGCAGTTCAAAACTAGCCAGTATGTATTATGTTACTTCCAATTCCTTTTAAGTGTGTATGTGTGTGTGTGCAGTTTTAGACAAAGCCAGACAATATAAAGACTATGTAAATCAAACTATATAAAGACTATATATAAGTCTTGTATTTTCCTTTTTCTCCATGTTTTATCTTAACATCATCTCCATTTCCCACTTAACATAGATGCCACAAAGTATTTTTATAACACAAGATTTTTGACAGATACTATGAGCCTCCAAAGATGGCCATCAAAAGTCCTCTCCTTCCTATACAGAATTGTCTGTAGTTCCATTAGTTCCATCAAGAAATTGATTCTATTTCCTTTGTCCTTGAATCTGGACTGGCCTTGTGACCTGCTTAGACCAACAAATGCAGTAGAGGAGACACTGTTCCAGCTCTGAGTCTAACCCTAAAGAGGCTTGACAGTTTCTGGTTTTGCTCTCTTAAAACTCAGCTGCCATGATGCAAAGAAGTCCAAGCTATCTTGCTAAAATTAGGAGCCACACAGAACGGCCCTGGAAGATGAAATACCACATACAGAGAGAGGCCACGTGAAGGAGAACCAAAGCACCCAGCCAAGAGTCAGCACCAAAACACCAATCCAGTGAGACAAGCCATGTTGGAGCTTCCAGCCCAGCCCAGCCACCGTCTTTAATCAGCTGCATGAATAACAGCCATCACTATATGTAACAAGACCACCAATCAACCCACTGAATCAGGTGGGAAGTAAGAAATTATTATTTAAAGCCCCACTCCAAGTTTTACAGATTTTTGTTACACAGCAAAAGAACTGAAACACTTAGGTAATTATTTTTAAAATGGAAATATCATAATTAATATTGTGATTGATAAAGCTTTATAATATTTTGATTGATAAAGCTTTTCAATGTTCCGTTTGAGCAATATTCAGATTGATAAAGCTCTTACTTCCCTAGGATAAATTCTTTTTGTTGTTGTTGAGACAGACTGTTGCTCTGTCTCCCAGACTGGAGTGCAGTGGCATAATCTCGGCTCACTGCAACCTCCGCCTCCCGGGTTCAAGTGGCTAATTTTGGTATATTTAGTGGAGACAGAATTTCACCATGTTGGCTAGGCTGGTCTCAAACTCCTAACCTCAAGTGATCCACACGCCTCGGCCTCCCAAAGTTCTGGGATTACCGGCGTGAGCCACCATCCCCAGCCTTCCCTGGGATAAATTTTAAAAGAATTATAAAATAAAAATGAAACAGCTGGATACAGTGGCGTGTGCCTGTAGTCCCACTGCTTGCGAGGCTAAGGCAGAAGGAAAGCTTCAGCCCAGGAGTTCAAGTCCAGCCTGGGCAACAAAGTGAGAACTCATCTCTATAAAATTAATTAATTAGTTAATTTTTAAAAAATCAAAATGAAACAATTTATACTCACATCCTTACTCTTGACTCTCTTTCCTTCACAGCTTCTACTCTACTCTCAACATATCCCAAAAGCCACCATCTCCTCTTGAGGCTACAAAAAAAATCCCGAATTACGAAACTCAGGATTTCAGCACTATACATTCAGTAAATACACCTAAAGAAGTATTTTTTTATTTATTTTTAAGGCAGAGTATCACTATTGTCACCCAGGCTGGAGTGCAGTGGAGCGAACTCGCCTCACTGCAATCTCTGTCTCCCAGGCTCAAGTGATTCTCGTGCCTCAGCCTCCTGAGCAGCTGGACCACAAGCGCACACCCCCTCGCCTGGCAAATTTTTGTAATTTTTGAAGAAACGGGGTTTTGTCATGTTGCCCAGGCTTGATCTTCAACTCCTAAGCTCAAGTGATCCACCCACCTCAGCCTCCCAAAGTGCTGGGATTACAGGCGTGAACCACCGTGCCCAGCCAAGAAGTATTTATTAAGTACCAACATTGTGCTACTCCAGCTCGGCTTTAGACCAGTACTTCCTGAACAGTCTGACAAATGTTCAGATAAACAAGGCTACTGGGGTTTTCGTTTTAACCCAAGATGTCTCAGAGACTTTTAGGACACTCATATGTATTGGGACTGTCCCAAAATTAAGTATACAATATAGCTTTTCCAAAATTGATTTGACAACCGAATCCTCTTCCCTTCAGAATACCTGAAAACATTTCACTGAACACTTGAATTTACTCATGCAATAAATACTTTTTAAGCATCAGCTTAACTCCCACTGTTGAATGAGGGGGATAAGGCAGTGATTGAGACAGACGCAGGTTCTGACTATGGGAAGTTTGCTCCCTGGAATGGACTTTCTCCATAAGAGCTTTCTTCACCTCAGATATAACAGGATTTGAGAGGAAGGTGATTACAGGACTAGGCACTGCTTTAAGGGCAGGTACATGAAATCAACCCCAATCAGAATTGACCTCTAACAGGAAAAGATAGAAGATCAAAATAATGACTAGTTGAAGTTTCAGCCCTACTAGGCCAGGAAATAAATATAATTCTGTATTTATTTTTCACACCTCGACAAAGAAGCCAGATTGTTAAAAGGAATACAAGTCAGCCATTGACAGGCTGCAGTAAGAGGCTGTGGAAACACGTTGTTGCTTACAACACCAAGATCACAATGGGCAAGAGATTATGTTCAATTCCACTGAACTTATCAAATCAAACAGGAAATTCACAGACCATCAAAATGGTAAAAGGGTAATGTCTTCACCACTGTACATCTGCTTCTTAACAATAAATTTTAGTTAGCGACGTAGGCTCACCACTATTTGGGAATTAGTTTCTCCCACAAAATTTATAAAGAGCAGGGGTGGTTTCCTGGGACCATTTCACCCCCGGCTGCAGCACATAGAGTGATACCAATGTCATGGAAGAAGGAAAGAATCAGTTGACAACATAAAGCAAAGGCAGGTCCCCATGGCTGTCATGTTCCCCTAAGCCTCATAATTCCTACTTGTTCTGTTGAGTCACTCGCACCCTCCCCCATGCCCCACCCAGCTGTGTTTCATTTCCCGATATATTTTAAGGAGCTTGTTTTGACACTTGGGCTTTTTTTTTTTGGTTGTTGTCTCCTAATTTCTCATCTATCCTGATTTGTTTCTAATTCTATAAAATAAATCTCTGAGAAAGAGCAAAAAGATCAACTTTATTGAGCAATCAATAATGCAATCATGTCTTCCATTGCCCATTACTGACTTAAAACTATTTTTAAGCTTTTCCACCCACCTATAAATGGGTTTTAGGAAAAAAGGTAGCAGTTAAGATCTTACAGTTTTAAATACTTATTATGAAGCCAAGACAGGTTCAGTCATTGGACTTTTTTGTGAACTCTTTAAAAATACCTACAATTTTTTTTTTTTTTTTTTGGTTGAGATGGAGTCTCACTGTGTCGCCCAGGCTGGAGAGCAGTGGCCTGATCTTGGCTCACTGCAAGCTCCGCCTCCCGGGTTCACGCCATTCTCCTGACTCAGCCTCCCCAGTAGCTGGGACCAAGGCGCCCACCACCACACCTGGCTAATTTTTTTTTTTTTTTTTTAGTTTTAGTAGAGACGGGGTTTCACCGTGTTAGCCAGGATGGTCTCGATCTCCTGACCTCGTGATCTGCTGGCCTTGGCTTCCCAAAGTGCTGGGATTACAGGCGTGAGCCACCACGCCCCGCCAATACCTGCCAATCTTATATGTTTGTGATGTGCAACTGTAAGAAGGGTAAATTATTAATTAGGTCAAACTGTGTACAGAAACAAATAAATGTTGCTGACATCAAAAAAAATTATAACACCAAAAAAATTAGTTGCGCAACACCCTTCACTTTAAAAGAAACTCATGAATAAAATTCAAAGTCCAAGGGTAAGTTCCGCTTATGGCTCAAACAAAATAAAATAAAAGATGGCTTTATGAACCTATAAGAATGCTTTCTCTAATTGCATAGGAATTCATAAATAAGATATACAGTCATCCACTCACTCTCTTAAAAGGCTTAAGGACTCTTGAACTATAAGCTCAGAAGGGAAAAAGCAGGGGAGAACCTTGATTCCTGTCTAACTCAAGTATCTCAGACTATCATGGTCTGGAACAGTCTATTTTAAGACAAAAGCACTTCCTGCTATCTGCTCTAAATTAGGTTAAGTTTATTTCCACAGATCTCCGCCTCAGCCCATCACCTGAGGCCTGCTGACAGACCGTGTGAGCTGAGATCATCAGTATCTCCCAAGATTTTGCCAACTTAAAATATCCTTTTTTTTCTAATCAGCATCCCTAACTTTTCCAAAATTCTGTGTCACAGACTACTAATTCTAAAAACCTTTCTAAAGGAAGACACAATGGAAAACAGATCTCAAACAAGCAGTGGCCACCCAGGAGCCAGATGTTACCTGCAGATGTGCTGTGTATAGCTAGCACAGTGTTGTTTAGAATTTCTATTAATAGTTGCCAACATAGAAAGATAGACAGTTCATATTAAAATCCAGATTCTGATGCTTCCTTAAAAATCTGAAAATCTGACAATGTCAGGCTCACCTTTCTACATGGCAATAACTGGTTGGA
Source organism: Homo sapiens (assembly GCF_000001405.40). Classification (NCBI taxonomy): domain Eukaryota; kingdom Metazoa; phylum Chordata; class Mammalia; order Primates; family Hominidae; genus Homo; species Homo sapiens. Next base: position 56,445,154 of record NC_000003.12, read on the forward strand.
GCAACCAGCAGCTGCCCCTTCAAGAGAGGACATGTACCCTCCAGTTTGCCACAGTCTCCTCCACTCCCATTATCTTATATTCAGTCTGATTCCTTTCCTGCCTGCTTCCCCCAATAGGTATTTACATTTTTTACCACTCTACTCACATATAAGGTCTTAAACAATTCATTCTTTTACAATTCATTCTTTTACCACCCACTTCAAGTTCTTTACCAAATCTTATTAATTCTACCTCCAAAATTGCTCTTGAATCTTCTCCGTTGTTTCCACTCCTCTTGAACCAATGTGACTCTTGCATAAGCTACTTCATACCTCCTAAAGCTTCTCCTCTTATCGTCCTCTACTCTTATTTCCAAAATATCAGCTAAACTGTTTTAAGATACAATTACGATTATAAAATATCTCCCCTTACCCACTTAAAACCCTTTTAAAGCTTCCTATTGCTCTGTGGACAAAACCAAAACGCTTCCCATGGCCTGAGGCCCTGCAGGATCTGAGTACAGCCAACAGCCCCCGCCTCCCCTCTTGCCACTCTCTCCTTCAAAGACTCTGACAGGGTCTTCTTCCTGCTGCTCCAATGCATCAAGTCCCTTCCTGTCTCAGAGCCTTCACTCCTGCTGTTCTCTTTGCAGGGCTAATTCCTATTATTTCCTATTCCATCACTTACATGATAGTTTCAATAGCATACCCTCTACAAGATCTATCCCATTCAAATCAGGTCTCTCAGTTACATTCTCTCAAAGCGTAATGCTTTTTTTTTTTCATGATGTGAAAGACATGCTATCTTTTTTCTTTTTATAAGAGAAGCTGACTGGCCAAGGGTCATCTCAATGGCCCTCTTGTTTAGGTTAAAGTAGAGTTAGACTAGGTAGCCTGAATCCTCTGGTGAAGGTGTAAGGAAACCCTTCATAACCCAACTGAGGCTGTCCCTCCTCAGATCCCTGGTTTGGAAAATGTGAAATCTTGTAGGTGTCTTTATGCACAATGATCCGGGAACATTCACGGAGGGAAGTCACTGACACCCCAGTCTTAGGTGCCCAGGATTCAGAGTAAGTGAGATCTATGGGAAGGAATTAGCATAGCTCCACCAGACTTAGAGTTCCCAGAAATTAAATAATTACTTCAAGATAGAAGTCCAGGCTGGTGATTGGGACTCAGGACATGTGACCCAGTAGCCATGGAGAAGCCCCTATTGACAAAGTGTGTGGGTAAGGCTAGAAGCTTCTGGAGACCTCGCATGCTGTATGGAGCCTGTACAGTGGGGCACAAAACTGTGCACAGGGTTGTAACTCATGAGGAAGGCTATATGTCCTAGTTGGGGTTCCCCACCGGCAGATGCTGAGACAAGGATGTGGGTGTAGGAGGTTCATTTATAAGGTATTCCCAGAAAGTACTGAGAGGACAATTTGGAACTAAAACAAGGAAGTCAAGGAAGTCAATAGAGGGCGCATTTTCTTCTTTTTTTTTTTTTCTTTCTTTTTTTTTTTTTTGAGACGGGGTCTCCCTCTGACTCCCAGACTGGAGGGCACTGGCACAATCTCGGCTCACTGCACCCTCCAACTCCCAGGTTCACGCCATTCTCCTGCCTCAGCCTCCCGAGTAGCTGGGATTACAGGCGCGCATCACCACACCCGGCTAATTTTTGTATTTTGGGGTAGGGACAGAGTTTCACCATGTTAGCCAGGCTGGTCTCGAACTCCTGACCTCAAGTGATCCTCCGGCCTCAGCCTCCCAAAGTGCTGGGATTACAGGCGTGAGCCACCACACCCGGCCGAGAGTGCATTTTCAAGAAGGTTTCTGCTGCAAGCAACTGGAAAGAGCTTCGAGAAACAGTGGAGAACCGGCCTCATAGGTGCGCCTCCGGAAGGGCAAGAAACTCCATCATGGGCTGAGGGATGCTCCCTGGCACTCCCAAGTGAAGCCAAAGAGAAAGCCCTCATGTTCCCATACAGGCCATGAGTGCTGAGGAGATGCGGGTGGGGCACCAATAGCATCCGCTACACCCCCACATGGCACACTGTGTCTGAGCTTGGCCACGGGGGACTGGGTTGGCCTTCCCTTGCAGGACCACAGAGTGGGGACCACAGAGGGCACGCACAGCATCTTTCAGTCCGAGGGAGAACAGCCTCAACAGCGACACCTTGTGGCATCAAGATGTAATCATGTGATGGGCTGGTCGGACAGATTGATTTCCAGATTTGGATGTGGGATTTATATCCATATCCCGCTCGCTCTGGGGCTGTGTAAGCCCGAAGCAGCGGGGAGGAGAGGAAAGAGAGGGAGACGAGAAGTGGGGAAGGTTGGGAAGGCGGTCTAGTGGAGAGATTCGGAACTTCCAGCTAAACTGGCACATGGGTTCCAGCATTTTGGATTTAATTTGGACAAATGAAACTGGGAGCAAGGGTTGTTTATTTGCAATATATTGTAATATACTAATCTTAGTATATCTGTTACAATATTTATAAAATATAGAGATTATATTATTTACATTTAATATTTAATTTTAATATATTCTCTTTTCATTTATTTTTATAAACTTTATTAAAGCAGAACATATACATGATGAAGGTAGACCTTAATTGCACACGTTAATTGATTTTTTTTTTTGAGACAGAGTCTCGCTCTGCCACCCAGGCTGGAGTGCAGTGGTGTGATCTCGGCTCACTGCAACCTCTGCCTCCTGAGTTCAAGCGATTCTCCTGCCTCAGCCTCTCGAGTAGCTGCGATTACAGGTGCCCACCACCAAGCCCAGGGAATTTTTGTATTTTTAGTACAGATGGGGCTTTGACATTTTGTTCAGGCTGGTCTCGAACTCCTGACCTCAAGTGATCCACCCGCCTCGGCCTCCCAAAGTGCTAGGATTACAGGTGTGAGCCACTATGCCCAGCCTGCACCGGTTAATTTTTATATAGTGAGCACACCTGTGTTACCACTGTCTAGACCAAGACTTAGAACATTATCAGCATCCCCAAAGCCTCTCTCATGTCCAGTAATCCGTATATGACCCAAAAGCACTTCCATACCTTAGAATTTCATATTAATATGTGCAATTCCTTGTTGGGGTCTCTCTTCCCTCCTATTATAAACCCCTACACTGCAACCCAGGTTTTTACATTGGTGCTAACACTCTTAGAGCCCATGGCAAGAGTACAAATGGATGCCCAGATACCATGTGCCTATACATTTAAAGTTATAAACTGAGCTAACAAACTGGTAAACAAAATACATTCTACCTTCCTACCTTGAATACAGAGATGGGGAAGGTGAGATCTGAATTTTGAACTTAGAATACTTAGACTCCTCAGAATTCCACCAAAACATTGTGGCCGGAGGAAGGCCTGCCCCCCACACCTCCGCCAACACCCTTTCTCCCCACCTCTGGCCCAACCATACCCCACGGGCCTCATACACATGAACTCTGCAGCATGCAAGCTAGGCTTGCTCCAGCTATACCAGGGGTCCACAGGCTTTCTCTGTAAAAGGCCAAACAGTACACATTTTAGGTTTTGTGGGCCACTTGATCTCTGTCATAACTACTCAACTCTGCCATTTCAGCCCAAAAGCAGCCGTAGACAATTTGAAACCAAATAGGCATGGCTGTGTTCCAGTAAAATTTTATTTATAAAAACAAGTGGTAGTTGGCCGGGCGCGGTGGCTCACACCTGTAATTCCAGCACTTTGGGAGGCCAAGGCAGGTGGATCACAAGGTCAGGAGATCGAGACCATCCTGATTAACACGGTGAAACCCCATCTCTACAAAAAATACAAAACATTAGCCAGGCGTGGTGGCAGGCGCCTGTAGTCCCAGCTACTCGGGAGGCTGAGGCAGGAGAATGGCGTGAACCCAGGAGGCAGAGCTTGCAGTCAGCCGAGATTGTGCCACTGCACTCCAGCCTGGGCAACAGAGCGAGACTCCATCTCAAAAAAAAAAAAAAAAAAGTGGTAGTTGGATTTGGCCCACAGGTAGTAGTTTGCTGACACCTGATCTGTAACGTCACACATATGTGCCCCTCCACAACCCTAAGCCTAGGATGTGCACAGTGGTAGCCTGGCTTACCCCCAAGAAGATGTACTAGGAAAAAATTTCCAGGCAGATTCTGGAAGACAACTCAGGGTCATTTAGGCAAGGAGGTCACAGGCCTGTAGGTACCCAGAGCGGACTCTAGAATGCCAGGCACAGGCTCCAGGTGGGCACCTGCATTGGTCCCTTGGACTCTTCCTCCAGTGGACGGTGCAGTCAGAGGAGAACCAGAGTAGGCCCTCTCGCCCAAGAGTAAGGGAACACGGGAGCTATGCAAAACAACTTTGAAATAATTGAAAGGATGATGCTGGCACTTTAATATCATGACATTTTCATCATATCACTAAAATCACTTCCATGGCAGTTATAGGACAATTCTGTAATTGTAGCCAGAGAGGAGAGACATAGTGTTTTAAAAAGGAAAAGAGGAGCCTCAAAATCAGATTTGGCTGGAGTCATATTTCTGTCTTCTGGATACGCAATCTTGAACAAAGTATTTTACTTCTCTCATCCTCACTTTTCTCATCTGTAAAATGGGGATATCAGACTTTTCGTATAGATTTGGGAAAGATTAAATGAGATGATATAAGAAAGTACTTAGCACAATACCTAGCACACAGCTAATGATCAACAGAAGTTAACCTTGACAAGCCCAAAGCTACCAGAATATAACACAGTGGCTTTCAGCCTCAAAGTTGCCATAGAATTCTCCCAGTTCACTAAACTTAGCCCTGTCAGACACTTTGGAGTCAAACTCAATCTGCTGTTCAAAAGTGCTGAAGACATCAACCCCAGTTCTCTAAAACTAGAGAGAAAAATGGACATTGCCTTCCCCCATGATCTGCAGGCTACAATATTATGCATCCATAGTTATTCAAAGTCCCAGTAATAAACCATTTCATCTGTGAATGCCATGATGTGAATCAGTAAGGGGAAAGTCCAGCTTAATACAGCAGAGATTTTCAAAATTGCTTTCCCATCATTCTCCAAAAAGCTCTATGAAACTCAAACACGCCTATCCACACATCAGTACTCTCTCCTTTAGTTCCCCCAAACTCATTTTATAATTACTGTTTTCCATGTGTAGATTTAGCATGATTACATGTTCAGCTGCCTTGGCTCATGTTTTATGGCAAGGTACTTGAGTCAAGAGGCTGACTGTCTTCCATACTACAAGGCAAGGGCTCTGCATGCCCAAATATTAGTTAACTGTTCTTTCCATTAACCATTTCCATTATTTAAATTTCAGACTCCATCAATTTATTTCAAAGTGTTAAATTAAGGATCTGAAACCCCTAAAAATTTTGTTAAAGTAATAAACTATTATCTAGTACACAGCTAAATCCACAAGTTAAAAATATAGCAAAACAGCCAGGTGTGGTAAGCTCATGCCTATAATCTCAGCATTTTGGGAGACCAAGGTGGGAGGATCACTTCAGGCCAGGAGTTTGAGACCAGCCTGGGCAACATGACGACACCCCATCTCTACAAAAAATTCAAAAATAAATTAGTCAGGTGTGGTGGTGTGCAGTTGTAGTCCTAGCTACTTGGGAGGCTGAGGCAGGAGAGTAGCTTGAGTCCAGGAGTTCAAGGCAGCAGGGAGCTATGATCACGCCGTTGCGCTCCAGCCTGGGTGACACAGAGAGACCTTATCTCTAAAAAAATAAATAAATTTTAAAAATGGCAAAATCCCAAACAATAAACAGTAAAATTAAGAAATAATTTGAGATGTTAAATAAAATTAAAATAAGTGACGTTTAATAAAATATGCTGATTATAACAACATTATTCATCGCCCCATAAAGTCTCATAAATAGAACAAATTAAGTAGTTGCACTGAAAGAATAAATAAGGTTTTCAGATTCGTTTTTTAAACATCTATGCATTTCCTTTCATCTGCAAATGTAAAATGTCAATTGGCAAAGCTTCAGTTATAGTATACTTAAAAAAAGAATATTCAGGAATTATTGGGTCTTACACTAAAAAATCTTCTATCTGTCAACTAACAGACGTTTCTGAGAAAATGATAGAGAGATAGAATAAAAACTCTGCCCCCTTGGCCCTAAAAATCCAATCACACAAAATTTTGCTACATTTATAATGGCATAAGGATTACGTGTAAATAGCTTTTTACTAGAAAAGAATATAGGCATAATCACATACGTGAGGAAAAATTTTAGCAAAGATTGTAAGCTATTAAAAAAAAAAGACCACAATCAATGAGGGATGAGGAATGGCTCCAATGGGCAAATTATGGAGACAAGCATTCATCTATGTATTCTGGAAAGAAGAGAAAGAATAAACGTTACATCCTAAATCTGAGGTCTCTCAAAAATATGACTGATAACCATGAAAGAGTCACATTGGAGGCTTTAACAAGGATCAAGTTCAGGGTGCTGAATGGTATACAGAAACCCCCTTAACAATGGAAATTAGAGTAAATGAGAGTCAGTAAGTGCAGTAAGTAAATCAAGTAATTGAGTCAAATCTCTTGTCTATGAATGGATAATGGTAGGCTTATCTAACATAAAAATAAATAAAAAGGGAAATTACAGGACATAATTCGGATCTATTCAACAAATACTTCTGGAGAACAAATCTGTAATGTGGTTTCTGACATGATAGAGGTCCAAAGCCTTCCATTTAAAAGGGGGTCACAGCCTCTTTACTCAGGTTCACATTAACAACTCTAATTGTTGTGCAAGGCTGCCAGTTGCTGTGAACACCAGAAACAGATGAGGGCCTTTCTGGGAGTGATAGAGTGTGGTCTCAGATGGAGAGAGTCCTATGGAAAAAAGAGTGTAGTAACAGACAGGGAAAATCCAGTTTTTTAACCTGGACAAGAACTAAGGAGGGAAGTCAGATCCATAGTTATGCATATTAAAGAATCTGCAAATCTCATGAGAATTTAAGGCTTGTTTTTATTTCAGAAATCTGAAAACAAATAATGTAAGGATATTCTTGATCAGCACAGCACCATGCCCATTGACTTTGAATATCAAGCTGTACCCTAAGGAATCACTGAGTCAATGTGAAAGGAAATAAGATGGTCTTGGGGATCTAAAGGATGTGTTCTCACTGGGTGAAAGGTAAGGATTGTCAAGTTCCTCAGAAAGAATGAAAGTTTCACAGAAGTTGACTATGATGAATATGGTGGGAAAATTGAATCATCACCCAGTGCACAGCAGGGTAGACCAGATGATGCCAAAGAACCTGTCCAGAATAGTCAGCATCACATTCTAATTATAAGCAGCAATTTAGTTAATGCAGTTAAATTAATGTTATGAATTTGAATTAGTAATGTCATATGACATATACTCTATTTCTAAATTGATTTAGGTTTTAAAAAGGTGTAAGAGCTTTAAAATAAAACTCACCAGCTTTATGTTTATACAATTTAAAGTATCATTACATAATAATAATTTAAGCCAACCCTGGGGTTCTACGAGAAATTATTTTCATTAAAAAAGATATCATCTAAGTCTGAGAAACCTTGGTTAAGTGATTAAGCATACACTGGATTTGAGACCTGAATCTCACATTTATTATCTGTTTAACCTTGAGCAAGTTAGCAAACCTCTCTGAGCCTCAGTAAGTATCTGAGTAACAATGGCCTCAAGTGTAACAATGGCTACTTCACAAAAATAAGGTGAATAATGATTAAATCAGAGAAGGCAGAAGTACTTAGCACAGTGCCTGAGGCTTAGTAAATACTCAGTACAATCCTCATCATCATCAATATTGACCACAGGCTCATTGTGTTGTTTTCTTACATTAGACCCTTTCTTCCTCATGAGTAAAATAGAAATAACAGCGTTAAACATCTTGCAATGGGTCTAAAAAAAGTAGTTGATTAAAAAGGTTGCCAAAAAAAAACTTTGCACATGCAAGTAAAACTTTAGCCCATGCATTAAATTGCATCATGTGTTCAACATATTCACCATCCCCCTAGCCTGCCCATCCCTACAGTCTCCTTCCTGTGGGAAGATAATCTTTCCTGCTCCAATGACATCTGGCTTGGCCGTATGACTTGTTTTGGCCAATGAAATGTGAGCAGAAGTAACAAATGCCATAACCAAACAGTAGCTATCAGAGCCCTCTTGTGGGTAAAACATTCTTTTTTCTTCTCTACCATGAAGATAGGCTGTCCAAGAAAGGCTCCTTCAGCCTGTGTCCCAGAATAAAGATAACATGGAGCAGAATCACAGACAACCCCTGAGAGAAAGAAGCCACTGAGATTTGGAGGTCCTTTGTTAGCCCAGCACAACCTAGCAATATCTGACTAATAAACCCAGCTACCACAAACACAGTGCTAAAACCAAATATGTAACATTTAGATTAAAATATAGGACAGTGCTTTCTCACTGATTTATCTCTCATTTCTCTCTTCCTCTGCAGATTACCAAACTAGGAAATATCATCCATTCCATGACAGAATATCTTCTGTTAGGTCTCCAGATAGATGCAAATCATTTGTAAATAATTTATTTTCAGATACAGATGCATACAACCAACTATTTTAATTGCCTCCAAATGTATTCTCTTTATCATTCCTGACCACTGATTTCTTTACTGACAAATAGCTGCTCCTGGTGCTTGGACATCGAGATGAAGGCAATCACTGGAAAAGCCGAAAGGAGGATAAATCCTGCTAGGAGGTGACATAGTTGTACAAACAATCCAAATAGTGAATGCCAGCGAGCATCAATGGGCGTGGGCTGGACCTCGTATGATCAGTACACATGTGAGTGCCTGTCCTGGAGCACAGCCCTAGGAAGAATCCAGCTGTAACTGACCCAAGCATGCCTCCACACCAAAAGAAAGGCAACACATGCACCCACCTCCTGCTATCGTGATTCCATCTTATAATGGCTGTGTGACTTACAGATTGCACCAACTGATGACCCTGTCTTCACTTGAACCTTTTGCAAAACAGATGATTCAACCCTGTACCTTCCTTAAAGGCAAGAACTATGTCTTCTTCATCTTCATATCTCAGCACTAGTTTACACTTGCAATTAAAAGGCAACTCAATGTAGAGCAGTTTAAAGCATGGGCTCTGAAGAGTCCAAATTCCAGTTTCTCCACTTACTTAGGTTAAGATCTTGCAAGCAGATGCTCTAAGTGCCTATCGATGTCCCTCTGACCTGAACATTTTAGAGTGCCCCAAAGGCACTGCCAATATCAGAATCTCTGCCTGAGAGTATCTTTTAAACCTGGATAAGCTAGTCTTCCCTTGCAGGGTGTAGAAGTCCCAGGGTTAACCACCCTTAAAAAAAAATCTGACAGCTATTTATACAACAGTGTTCACAACCGCATTATTCATGATAGCCAAAAGGTGAAAACAACCGAAATGTCCACTGATGTTGAATGCATAAAGAAAATGAAGTATACACATAAAATGGAATATTATTCATCCTTAAAAAAGAAATGAGGAGGCCAAGGTGGGTGGATTATATGAGGCCAGGAGTTCAAGACCAGCATGGCCAACATGGCAAAACCCCATCTTTACTAAAAAATACAAAAATTAGCCGGGCATGTTGGCATGCACCTGTAGTCCTAGCTACTTGGGAGGCTGAGGCACGAGGATCACGTGAACCCGGGAGGCAGAGGTTGAGAGGTTGCAGCGAGCCAAGACTCTGTCACTGCACTCCCACTTGGGCAACAGAGTGAGACTCTGTCTCAGAAAAAAAAAAAAAAAAAAAGGAAATGAAATTCTGATACGTGCTACAACATGAACTTTGAAAACATTATGCTAAGTGAAATAAACCAGCCACAAAAGCTCAAATATTGTCTGATATCATTTATATGAGGTACCTAGAATAGTCAAATTCATAGAGACAGAAAGTATAATGGTGGTTTCCAGGGGCTGGGGGAATGTGGAGTTATTGTTTAATTAGTACCTAGTTTCAGTATGGGATGATGAGAAAGCTCTGGAGATTGATGGTGGTGATGGCTGTACAACATTGCAAATATACTTAGTACACCAAACTGTGCACTTTAAAATGGTTACAATGGTAAATTTTATGTTATGTATATTTTACCACAGTAAAAAAATAAAAATAATTAAAATAAATTTAAAAAAAAGAAAAGAAAAAAAAACAACTGACATGAACTAGTGGTGAGACATCCCTACTCTCCTAGCCTTTGTGTAAAAATACCCTAAGGCAGGTGTTTTACACTATCTCTACAATTTCCTTATGGGATTAAACACTAGTTGCCATTGCACAACTCGCTTAACAATGCACCATCTATTGGCTGCCTTCACTTCCCTGTCTCATATCCTCATTCACTCACTAGTGACCCCCTGTAAGTCCCAAGTAACTATTTGTCTCAGGGTCTGCTTCTGTGGGAAAGTCAACTAAGACACCAAGGCAAGTTTCTTAATTTCTCTAAACATTACTTTCCTTATCAATAAAAATAATACTTAGATCATGAAGTTATTGTGAAGATTAAACGAGATAATTCTTCAAAGTACTTAGCACAGTGCCTGACTCATAGTAGATACTTAATATGATCTTCTTGAATTTCTGGTCTAACAATTATCCACCTTTTTTATAGAAGATAAACTACGTCTCTCAGTTTCAGGAAGAGACTAAAAAAATCTAAGAGCCAATTCTTTCCCATCTTCTATTTAAATAACATCTCTCATGACTTAGCACTCATCATTCAACCAACCACAAGAGGTATTAGAAAGAACTGGAATTTTGTATCCAGCTCAATCTTTTGCCTAGAGGTGGGCTGAGCCCACAAAAAAAGTTAGATAAGCTCCCCAGATAGCAAGAAGACCCCCCCAGGACAGACAGATAACCACCACTCCCTCCTGACCTAGGGAATTAGAGGGCTGTGGGGTCAATTGTAAACAACTTTGATCTGGTAAATTTTATGCGTATCCCTTTCTCTCTTTGGTTACAAATGTACCCTCCTAAGGTTTATGGCAAAGACTAGAATTCATTTAGTCTTTTTCTAGTTCCACAGTGCATCATTTTAACAAATGAAACCATGGGATCATGAAATTCCCAGTGAGGTGAATCCTTTGCCAAATGCCATTTTATTTTGCTTTGATTTCTCGTTACTTGTTTGCCAAAATACACAGAGATTTTATCACAATAATCACCTATTCTGACTAGCAAACCAAAGGATTAGGTTACATACTCTGGTGGACTCATAAATAAGACTGATGAGAAATCCAATTTCTGTCTCTTGCTTTTGTAGAAAACACCTTTCTGAATATGTACTTTTTAAAAAGCTGAACAAACAAAACTTACCTTGACTTACATGTTAAAAAGGGAAGCTCTGTTCCCCAAAACAAATAAATGATAAAATCCCAAATTCCATCTTGCTCTTTAATATAATCCCTAAAGCTTTTTTCCAACATTTCATACATACATAGCCTTTAACTTCACTCACAACTATAAATAGTTGGCCAATTTAAGTTCAAAGCATCTGACTAAAGCTAACCACTAGCCATATTGGGCATGCCTAATGGTTTCAATGTTTGGCTCAATTACATTATGAGCTAAATAGTTCTCCCTGTATTATTGCCTACAGTTTTCCATTTTCCACTTATAAATTAATGACAAAATTCAAGAAATATTCAGGTGATTGCACAAACTGTTGTACAAATATGGTGATGCTGATGAACTAAAACTACTTGTCGGCAGGTAAGGTCATGGTACAGTAGCTCAGAATGGTGGTTCATAAGCTACAGCACAGAAGATTAATGTATGAAAGGCAATTTAACAGTGCTACTGTATAATGTACAAAAGTGTAAATCATATCGAAGTAAAGTAAGAGGCAGACACTATGCACGGGATATTGAATAGTGTTCTAGCCCATAACTCCCAATCTTGTACATTTCAAGGAATAATGAAACTATTTCCATTCATGAACTTTCTCAGACCCCTTTCAGAAGCTGTACACTATGAATTACTTCAAGTATTTCCCTCGATTAATCTAACAAAGTCAGTTTCATTCTGCCCATTAAGTACAAAGATTTTGAAACACAATGTGTACTCTCTGTGCTCTGCTTAAAATTTATTGAAATGAACTTTGTCCTAGGTGATATTGGGAGAGAGTCTCAAAACCAACAAGTGATGTGGAGTCCCACTGCAGATCTTTCACCAGCAGATATTTTTCCTCACCTGGAAAATGGTCTTTCAAAATTATTAAGGCTGTATAAATTGTGTTTGGTCAATGAATCAGAATGGACATTGCTAGGAGTCCCAAAGCCATAATAATCAATCTTTCTATTGTTCTTCAGGTCATCTTGCCACCCTCTCTTCCCAATGTCAAGTCCCACACTCCCACAAGCATCAAAAGTAGGTAATTATTGCCATGACGGTGAAATAAAAGGAGAATAAAGAGAATTCAGAGTCCTTGATCGTATCCGTCCCCTACTTGAAATCTCTTGAAGTTTTAAGCTTGAGTCCCATCTCCTCAATGGCTCACAGGGTCTTATGCCCTGTCACACTCTCTGGCTCCTCTCACCATCCCTCATCCTGAGCCAAGCTAAACTCCAGCTCTACAGTTCTACCTACATTTACCTCCGTGAACCCTGAATCTCCCATTCTCTCGCTTACCTTTGGACCTAGTGCATGCTATTCCCCCTGTTATTTGTACCTTCAAATCCTCCCTCCTCTGGCTAATTCCATTTACCCTTCAGTGACACTTTAGGTGCTACTTTCTTCAGGAAGCCTTCCTTCATTCTTCATCCATGACTCTCCTAAGTCTTCCATGATAGCCTGGATGTTCCCCCAAAGAGCATCCATTATTGCCTGCTTACTTGTTTGGTGCTCCACTGGATACTACAATCCCTGAACTCCCCTACAAAATTACCTGCTCTATTATGGTCCTCTTGACGTGTACACACCCTATTCCCAGAAGAAGACTGGCACAAAGCAAGCATACACTTTTACGACGACTACATAACAGAATGGCTTAATTCTTTGTTACTAATGTCTATTATGAAAGAACACCAGCCACTCCTGTTTTCCAGGTTAAAATAACTAATAAAATGATAATTACTTAGTTGAACCTTTGCATGAAGAAACTGTTGTAAAAATATATATATAATAGATCTAGAAGAGTGCCTTTGAAGCAAATTGGACTAGATGATAGAGAAACAGAGATCCCAAATAAGGAGAAAGCTAGTGGCAAAGCCAGAAAGGGAACTTAGGGCTTGTGACCCCAGGTCAGTGCTATGTCTCTGTATCCAAAAGAATCTGCTCTGAAGTTATTCTAAGCAACTATTCATGTTGTGAATTCAAGGTGGCCCATGAATGCATTCAAAGCCCATGTATAAAAAGAGAGTTATTTCTCAGCTTTAACAAAAAAGGTGAAGAATTCCCCTTGCGTGCCCACACTAACTGCTCCACGCTCACAAGCCTGATGAACAGCAGCCACTAAGACCCAGGTGCTTTTGTATCCACCCAGCATCAAACAGGACCTATTTTCAACAAGCCCATACGAATGCCACGCTGTTATCCCACTCACTACCCAACCTCCTGCTTCCTGTCAGGGAGAGGCTTCATGAACAATACGAATAAAGGGTCAAAATGCGAAACAAAGAAGGGGGAGGAGGGAATGTTACAGCCTTAGAAGGGAAGGAAAAACATACATCACCAGAAGGAAAGAAAAGACATCAAAAATCCTCTCCTGAGATGTCAATGTAAAAAAAGAGTCAACAACCCTGCTCCTCTCGGAACCCGCCCCTTGAACCACGACTGCTCCTCGAGGTGATGACAGCTGGAGCTGGCTGACAAAACGGAGCATGGCTAATCTGCCTCAAGCCAGGCACAAGAAAGACATCTTGGTAGAAATTTGATGCCCACCAGTATCACTGAGAAAATAACCAGTGATCATGGGACCGCCCTAACCTCACATCTGGCAGAGCTGCTCAACTCTCACTGCCAGAGCAGCTCCCAGACCCCAAACCCACCTTCAATCACCTCAGGCCCATAGAGGATGAACTCCTGACCACACCTATCTTATTATAGAGAAATATGCCACATAAGAACTGGTAACCACAGTGCACAACTAGGTTCAATTTCTTATAGGAAACCCTGCTCTTTCTTACTGCAATTAGTCATACCATTTAGCAGAAATCTTTCACGGTTTGCATAAGGATCTGAGCATATTCTTAAAGAACAGTCACATTGCTCAATTCCCATTCAAGCTCTTGTCTTCTGACCCACTAAGAAGTTGCCTTGAATTAATAGTTTGCTCCTAATGCATTTAGGGTAAATGCACTTTGCTGCCTGCAACTCATTCATGCCCTGAAATCACAGAATGACAACTACCTTTAGGGGTGGAAAGTATTAAGACAGGAAAAGAGAGCTAATGCTATCAGACCACACACACACACACACACACACACACACTCACACAGGATAATTAAGTGAGCAAAATGTAGACTCTGAAAAATAAACCATAGCAAAACTAAGTTGCTGGTATAAGATGTCTATGAACATTGCGGCTGGCCTTTGGTTTTCAGGTATATCTCACAGATGCCCTTCCAACTCTTCATCCAGTGGGGCTATAATCTCACCATTGACTTCCAGGAAAAAATAACCACTTAGTTCCTTCCTGAAGGTTCTTCCTGCCTTTATTTATTTTCTTCTCTTCTTCCATGCACACGCACTCTCTCTCTTTTTAATTTTGTTGAGTGCTGATTAGGTGCCAGCAACTAGAGATTCCTGGGCTCTGACCAAGCGAACTCTGCTTGGCAGAGTCAACATGAGTTCAAGAACAGAGGAAATGCAACTTCAAAGCAACAAATCTGGAAGATGTAAGTGGAGAAGTAATGCCCAAGAGGTTAAGAGCAGAACTTTGAGGCACGCCCTGGGAATTGGCCAGCCAAGTGCTGAAGAAATTAGGCTGGAGTAGCAGATGAACTGGCCCAAGAGAAGGGTAACCAATTATATTAACAATTAAGTCAGTGATGTAGTGGCCTTGGACTTCCCCAGCTGAAAGAATGAGCAGAAAATCACAAAGAAGGCTCGGCCCTGGCTGTGAAAGTGAGACAGCTTAGAGCTCCTGGTGCTTTTGGCATTGACAATGGTTAAGGCTTGTTGGTTGTTTCTGTTGTAATTGTGGGGCCACTCATTGTTTCTACTTTCTCTAGTGATAATTTAGCAGCCTTGAGAGTAAGGCAGAGGTGGATTCAAACTCTGGCTCTGCCACAGCATTAACTCTGAGCAAGTTTTTCTGTTCCTTCAGTCATTTGACAAATACTTACAGAACATCTAGGCACTAGGGATACAGCCAAAGGCAAAGCTCCTGCCTTTATGGAACTTATCAAATTATTTGAGTCTCAGTTTCCTCACCTATAAAATGGGATAATACATTTACCTGTATAGGTAATATGAAATGAGCAATATAAAGCACCTAGCACAGTGCCTACCACATAGTAAATGCTCAATAAATGGTGCTCTTCATATAACAGAGCAAACGTATCCATCACTTCCAACTGGAGTATTAGCTCCAAGTAGTAAGGAACTATCTGTTGTTCATCTCTGTACCCCCAGTGCCTAACACAAAGTAGATACTCAATAAATACTTCACAAATCAATCACTACTTAATAACAGCCATTGTTATGGTAACTTATAGTCATTATTCCTCTCTAAGCCACAGAGATTCTATACTTGAAAAAGCAACATGGCGGCCTAGCGTGGTGGCTCACGCCTGTAATCCTAGCACTTTGGGAGGCCGAGGCGGGCGGATCACGGGGTCACGAGATCAAGACCATCCTGGCTAACACGGTGAAACCCCGTCTCTACTAAAAATACAAAAAAAAAAAAAAAAAGCAAGATGGCATAAAGGCTTTTTTTTTTTTTTTAAAGAACAGTGAGGTGCACTATACAATATGTCTTCAGGAACTTTTTAAGCATGAAAACAAATGTTATTGAGCATAAAGCTTTCAATTCAAAGAATCTATTAGCACAGAGACCAGCACGGACAGCGGATGTAGATGCCAGCCCACTCTTTTCCTAACTACAAAGTAAGGACAAGCTGGCCAGGCTTCAGGTTAATCCAGAAGGCACCCAAAAAGTAAGTTACATAAAGTTTAGCAGATGTGCTCAAAGATGGTGTATCAGTAAAGATAAGCAGAAAAGTGCTGCAGAAACCAAAAATCACAAAACTCTTCATGGCTTAAAACAACCAAAGTTTACTTCTTGGTCTATATGTCCAACTCCAGTTGACGGGAAGCTGTGTTCATTTAGTGACTGAAAGGCCCAGGCAGATGAAGGGCTCCATCTCAACACACATTTCCGTAATCATTGCAGTAGAAGAGGGCACTGGGTGCTCTCACACTGGAAATCAAATATTCTAGCATGGAAGTGATGCAAGCCACCTCCAACATATGCCTGGAAGGAAAGAAAAAGTGGCTATGGGGAACATTAACAGTCTCTACCACAGATGATATTAAGACACAACCTGTGGAATAACAAAGGGATTTGTTAAAGATGATGCACAAATAAAACATCTGAACAGCTATAAGATTCACATAATCATGAACCAGGAAGGGTGTGTAGGTGTCATTTTAGAGCAGTGGCCTCAACATAAAGACACTTCATACAACATAAATCTGGACCCTAAATTTCCAGAACAGCTCTGCTTTCTATAAATATACTGAGGGTCCAGATAAATTTTTATTTAGGAAACAAAGTTTTAACAGCTGAAAAACATTTGAAAACTATGAATGTAAACCAAATCCTTTATTTTACAAATTTAAAAAGTAAAGAGAAGAAAAAAAGGAGACACAGACAGTTAAAGTAACCCCAATCTACCCCTCAAGGAAGGTCTAGAATGTTTAGCAGAAATAAGTCCATGGACAGAATCTAATGTACCACTGCAGCACCTTCTGACCTTACCCTTCATCTCTGCTACCTTTAACTGGCACAGTGGAGCCAGACCCAGACCAAAGTCATTTAATACAAGGTCGTCAAGGGCTCAATAAATGGTATTGACAATGAGTAGAAGACCCCACCCCACAGCATGAAATAGTGATTCATATCTCATTAGCAATTCTCTACATTACTCATTCCCTACTTCTGGGCAAATGTGAAGCCATCAGTAGAAGTGAATACTAGCCTTCAGGAGACTTTCATTTTGCTCTCAGATGATCATAGGTTAACAGCAACTATGATTTGGGTTCACTCAATTCCATTATCTTCTCATGTCCCCAGCTCTGTTTCATGCCCAGTTTTCCCTCCACCTTCACTCGTACTAAAGCATGTATGTCATGCACTCAAGCCTCAGTGGTCTCCCAACCTCTGGTCTCTGTCTTTTTCAATGGCTTTATACTCACTAGCCCATGAAATCAAACTCAAATATTTCAACCAGGAATCCAGATGCCTCCTAAATCTTAATCCAGCCTAATTTTCCAACATTATCTCCACTATGGTACTTGTCCTGCACAGCCAGAGGCAAGATGATGATCCTGAAAGTCAAAATGATGTTGTTTTGAACCCCCAATGCTTCTACTTACTGGTTGGGCAAGTCCTTAACCCCTCTAAGTTTTAATGTTCTCACCTGCAAAATAGGTGATAGCACCTACTTTGAGGGTTTTCTTGAGAAGGTATGTATCAGTGAGGAGTATGTGCGGCTGCAAGTAATAAGTAGTGGCTTACAAGTAAAGAGCTTTTTAGTTTTATGCAATAAGAACTACAGGGGAAGGCAGTCTAAGCTGGTACTATGAATGAACGATGTCACCAAGACCAAGATCCTTCCAGGCTCCAGCTTTGCCATTTGTAAGACACGATTTTGGCTGGGCATGGTGGCTCACACCTCTAATCCCAGCACTTTGGGAGGCCAAGGCAGGCAGATCACTTGAGCTCGGGAGTTCAAGACCAGCCTGGGCAACATGGGGAAATCTCATCTTTACAAAAGTATACAAAAATCAGCCAGGCATGGTAGTGCGCACCTGTAGTTCCAGCTACTGGGAAGACTGAGGTGGGAGAATCACTTGAGCCGGGGAAGTCAAGGCTGCAGTGAGCTGAGATCGGTGCCACTGCACTCCAGCCTGGGTGACAGAGTGAGGCCCTGTCTCAAAAGCAAACAAAAAAAAACAAAAACCATGGCTTTATCTTCATTGTTGTAGTTGGCTGCTGCCCCTCCAGGCATTGCACCAATGATCTCAGCAGCAAGAAGTTAAAGAGCTGAAAAGTTCTTGGAGTATACCACCCACGTGTGTCTCACTCACTACATTTTCAGGAAAGCCTCCACCCAAAAACTTCCACCTATGCCATTATCAGACCCAACTCTCATGGCCACTCTAAGTCCAAGGGAGTCTTGGGAAGGTGAGGTGGGCTTATTTCCATCTCAGACAAAATTGGGGTTCTTTTAGTTGGAAAGGAGAAAATGAATGTTGGGTAGGCAACCAGCAAGCCTACCCAATATTAAATATCTTATGGAAAGTGCTAAGCACAGTGCCTAACACATAGTTAACTGCCCAATAGAAGTTAAGCTATAAATACTAGTGTTATAATTATTATTGTTGTTGTAATTCACCTTTCTTACTCTCTGGCCAAGTGGAATAACTCATTATATCCATGTGTGCCCCTACATTTTTATGGTATCCATTGCTCTATCTGCATCTCCAACTCTCTCCCTGCTTTAAGGTCCAGGAAAATGCCATTGCATCCAAGAAGTCCTTCCTTACACCTATTCCTAATGATAAGTTTCATGGTGGCAGGACCCACATCAGAATAAAACTGTGTTCACCACTGCACTGAACATTGTCTCTTGGAACACAGTAGGTTCTAATAAATAGTGCCTTAATAATTTAAGTAATTCATGTGTATACACAAACCTGTTTTATAGCCAGCCCTCTAAAATCAAACAGAGAATATTCCTGAAATGCAGAAGTTAAGGACCAGGTTTATATGTCACGCAGCTAGCAATGGGAGTGAGGGGATGAAAATTGCATTCCCCAAGAAAAAGAAAAAATTAGAAAATCCTCTAACCATAATTTTTACATGCTGTTGGAAGCTGGATGATAGTTCATCAAATATTCGCTCCCTTACTGTGAACAGAGTCTACGTTTACAGACAAGTGTTGTCCAAAATAGTACTTTTCCAAAACAGGTTATTAGTGAAAGTGACATTTGCTCGTGTAGTTTGCCTCTTGGCTCCAGTGATCTGCCAGGAGAAAAGCATGCCCCAGGTAGCTGCCATCCCTTCAGCCTGGGCCCCAGGACACATGTGGAGGAGACTGGAACCCAACCCACAGCCTCTACACAGCCACCCCAAGGAGCCCAACCTATACCAGCCAAATCACGGTCAACCTGAAGACCCATGAGTGTGAAAATAAATACCTGTTGCTGTAAGTCAGGGAGTTTTGTTACACTGCCAAAGCTGACTAATATATCTTATCATTTGATATATGTTAGCATGTCTTATATCTTCATTCATTTTGTTCCTTTTCTTCACATAAGAAGAAGAGGTTGTAGAGTCTCCATGTTTTGTACATCCAGTGAGTTCTACCTTTGGATCAACTATTTTAAATTTATGAGATCTACATTACCATGAATATTGGTGCTTTTCTGTGCTTTCCATTCATCCTATCTTTCTAAACTAAGAAAATCACAATAAAATATAAAGGAATAGTGTAAACATTGCTGAAACTGAAACTGTTGGCTGGCAAGTAGATGCCCCACGGACCAGCCAAAATGTTAACTGGTTAGAGGATTTTAAAAAAAGAAAAAAGAAAAAAAAAAAGGCTAGAGGGTGTCCTAGTAAAACAAGCAAATGCAGATTGTACAAAAGTCAACCTAACCAAAGTCAAAGACTCTTTAGGTAAATTTGTGGACTGCAATACCATTCACCTTATTTTTCAGGATACCTGTTTTGGCAAACCTTCACCACTGAGTTTCACCAATGGGAAGAGACTGATAAGGCTTACATCTTGTAGCTTTTCCAACATAACAAAACAAGAGGGGCCGGTCATGGTGGTTCACACCTGTAATGCCAGCACTTTGGGAGGCCAAGGCAGGAGGATCACCTGAGGTCAGGAGTTCAAGACCAGCCTGGCCAACATGGTGAAACCCAGTCTGTACTAAAAATACAAAAATTAGAGAGGCATGGTGGCGGGCACCTGTAATCCCAGCTACTTGGGAGGCTGAGGCAGGAGAATCACTTGAACCCGGGAGGCAGAGATTGCAGTGAGCCAAGATCACGCCACTGCACTCCAGCCTGGTGACAGAGCAAGACTCCATTTCAAAAAACAATAAAAAATAAAATAAAACAAGACGGTCATGCTATTACAAAAGAATAATTTTAAATATCATTATACCTAATCACTAATGGAAAAGGGTCTCTGTAAATAACAAAGAAAATAAAACCCTAATCCCTTGGTGGGGAGACAACTGAAGGATGTTAAGAGCATTTATTCAACCAAGATCTATTTAAAACTCTAATTGGAAATTTAAGGTGTCAAGAAAAATGGAAGAGTGTGAATTTTGTTTTGTTTTACCTTCTTTTAAGTCATCATCATTAAGTTTGGAACCAAATTTTTATCGAGCCAAAATTTTTATTTTATTATGTGTTATATTTTTTATATTTTATTATGTTTCTACTGGAAATATATAATAAACAGAGTTACTAAATTTGCCTATTGGCCCATGCCACAGCCTTCAAATGCAAAGGCAAAACAGGCTGATAAAAGGACTGTCAGAATCACAGTGGACTCTTAAAATGGTTAGCTCTACGTATGCTGGGAGAACCCACACTTCAGACTGGACACATGCAGACTACACAACCAAAATTTGAAGTCAAGGCCACGGCCAAGGTCATGGGCTCTGGGTAAGACGAACCCGGGCTCAGGTTCTTGCTTTCATACTAAACTGTGGCAAGATACTGAATTCCTTCTAGTTACTCATCTATAATTTGGGCGTAAGAATAGTACCTACCTCACAGGGGCTCCACAAGGTTTAAAAAAGATAATGCATATAAAGTACTCAACAAAGTGCTTGCCTATGCAATAACAATGATGATGATAGTAATAGTAATAATACTGCTTTGACAAACCCGGCTTCTACATGAAAACCATTCTAATCAGTATATTCTGGCTCACAGTCTGTTTATGAAAGGCTTAATTCACAGAATTATGTTCACATCCAGGTACAACTTCTATAAAGTGACAGCTCTTTGGATCAATCAGTAATTTTTCTAATGAATTCAGGGAGAAGGGTGTTGAAAAATCAGGCTTTCACTAGTAGTGAGTTGAGATGGATCTGGTCCTTCACCCATGATTCATCCACCCGTGAAAGTCTTGCTGGTGAAAACCATGACACCATCACCTTCCACACCCCTCCCTGCCAAAACTGTAAAAGTATTTTATTAAAGCACAGAAGCAAACAGACAAGATGGCTTACATGAGAAAAAGGCAAACTCTACTACTCCCCGGAAAGAAAATGGCTTGACCCCACCACCACCGAACTGACATTCTGCAAAAGAGAACAAGGCAGCCCTCACTTCCAGAAGTTGAGTTAACTGTCAGAACTAAAAGAATCCCTTCTATTCATGTGACTCCCCATAAAGAACGTTTGCCGGCTCCAAAAATACCTTATAAATCCATCCAGTAGAGCCAAGCCCCAAGTACTGTATACTGAGAAACAATGTGACTTTACAAGGACAAGAGTGACCATAGGAGACAAAGTGCCACACCCTTTTCCCGGATAGCTCAACGGTACATGTTGTCTCTTATAAAGACTGCAATTCTGGAGAAATAGGTGGGCAATTCTAACACCCCCTCCCCCAATTCCTTCTTTACACAGATTCATTTTCATTTTTAAGCCAGTGGCCTCGGCATCCGCAACTACTACAACTAATAATCAGGGGGGTGGTGGGTAAGGGATGGGGAGGACAAGGAAACACAGGTCAAATATACTTGCTTCTAAAAGTCCATTTTCAAAGAGTTTTCTTCCCGCTTGTCTGCCTCTCACAGCTGTATCCCCATACCAGGTGGAAACCAATGGTTAAGTAAAATCACTGATTTAAAGAGCCAACCAGGAAACTAACCATGACAAGTGGGAGCTGCCCTCCTCTCCCGAGCATTGATTGGTTCTTTGGGTTCCACCGGTCCCCATTCTACCCACGTAAGTGGCAGGTGTGGCTGTCAATCACAGAGGGAACCGACAATTCACCGCTCGGGGAGTAAATTGCCTTTCATACAGCAAAGGCAGGTAGCCGCCTAAAATCGATCCACTCCTAAAAGAGCGGACCCTCCCTCTCTGGCAAGGAGAACAGAGACCCTTAAGTACAAAATAAATAAGGCAGGGCCGAACGGAGAGTTTACGAGCGCTATTTTATTACCCCGAACCAAAGCAGCTCTTAATCTTCACTGTCCTAAGACGATCTTTCAAAGGCTCGTACGGTATTTTTTTTAATTAGGTACACCTTCGTAAGTATCCCTTTTTTTGTATAATTAGGAGATGGGGAGGAGGAGAGAAGGGATGCCGTTCAGTTCAATTTCACATCGTATTCCTTTTCATACACCATCCCCTAGCCCTCCCCGATAAATCGGCTTCATTTTCCCTGACACGGGTTTTTTAAAAAAAAATATGCTCCCCTCTGAACCCACCCAGGCGGCCAGCCACCCCACCCCCGGGCGGGGGCTCCACCTTTCTCCACTTTGTTCTGCTTAGGATTGCTCAAGACCCCCGACCCCGCGAACACCCCACCCCTCGAGGCAAGAGGGGACGCCAGGCAGAAGAGGGGGATCTGAGAGAAGAAAGGCGATGGCAGTGAGGGTGGCTGCCGGAGAGGGACTGCGGGAGGTGGCCCGGGCAGCCGGGGCTAGCGAGCGGCGCCCGCGCGCTGGAGGAAACCGTGCACTTGTTCCAATCCGGGGGTTTATACATCAGGGCAAAGCCTCCCTTAGGCCGCCCCATCCCTCCCCCCGCCCAAGAAAGCCCCGTAGGAGGCGGATGGTTCACCCTTAGGCTCCCCACGATAACGCATTGCAGCTCCCCACGAGCGAGGGGGACCCGGCACGAGGAATGCCCGGGCACGGGCGCCCCGAGGGAGCCGGGCACCAGGCGGCCCCGGCCCCGGCGTCGGCGTCTCACCTTTCCGATGCTCGCCCCGGGGCCGTCCCACATGGATTTTTACAACCTCTCGTCGCCTTGGCCCCGGGCGGCCAGGAGGAGCAGGAGCCGGCGCCGGAGCCGGAGACCGAGCGAGCAGGAGCGGGAGGCGGAGGAAGAGGAGGAGAAGCGGGGCGGGGAACAGGGAGGGAGGAAAGAAGGGAAGGAGGAGGACACTGCTCGGAGGGCCAGGGCCAGGCGCGGGGCCGGGCGGGGCCGGCGGCCGAGGGGGCGGCACCCGCCGCAGTCCCGAGACGCGCGCTCGCGCGGCGCTGCCAGGCGCTGCGCTCGGCGGGGCCCCCACCCGGCCGGCCGGCACGCTCGCCCGCTCGCAGAGGCCCTGACTCACATTCCCAGCATTCCCGAGGAGCCGCTAGGGGGGACGGGGCTGGGGCCCGGGCGCCTCCGCTGGGGGCAGCAGAAAGCGCCCGGCATGGGCGGGGGTCTTCGCAGCGCCTCCTCCCGGCAGGCCGCGGCGCGAAGCACCTGTCCCCAATCTTCCATCCCCGACGCCCCTTCCCGGGTACCCCCCTCCAAAAGCTGCCAGGCACACTGGGAACTTGTCAGGTGGCTTTGGTGACAGGGGCAGGGATGGCACTTATCTTTTAAGTTAAGCATTGGAGTAAGGGGTCGTGGTTACCATACCCTGGCACCGTCCATCAGCTTTAATGTTCCTTAGGAGGTTGAAAGAATTTCATAAGATCTTCACTTTATTGTTCCCCCAAAGAAAGGACAGAATGAAAGATAAAGACAGGAACAAGAGAAAAGATCGCATCCGTCATATTCACTGGGTGCCTCTTCTGTGCCCTGAAATGTGCTTGCATTGTCCCAATTTAAGGTAGAAAGATGATGTCTGAGTTGATACGCGCGCACACAGGCAGATACACACACACACCTCAAGGTAATGAGCAAGAGGATTTGGACAAGTTTTTCATTGGAAAAAGCTTCCACTCAACAAGTCTGGAGCCCCAGCTGCTGCCATTTTATATTAGGGAGGGTACTGGGATAGCCATGGGCATCTTTAAACTTGGTCTCTTTCACTGAGTAGTCAATTTGCAGGGATAGAGCAGTCATTTCCTTCCTGTCCTGATGAGTCTGCTTCCAGCAATTTCAGTGGCCAGATCTAAATTTCTCCTGCTGGGAAGCTCAGACAAATAAAGCAAATCCAGCCATGGGATGTTTGGGTGCGCAGAGGCATAGAATTAGTACAGCGATTAGAGGATGGATCCTTCTTTCCTCCCCGATAGGAATTCAATTTTTTTTTTTTTTTTTTTGGAGACAGAGTCTTGCTCTTTCTCCCAGGCTGGAGTGCAGTGGTGCCATCTCAGCTCACTGCAACCTCTGCCTCCTGGGTTCAAGCAATTCCCTGCTTCAGCCACCTGAGCAGCTGGGATTACAGGAGTCCATCACCACGCCCAGCTAATTTTTGTATTTTTAGTACAGACGGGATTTCACCATCTTGGCCAGGCTGGTCTTGAACTCCTGACCTCAAATGATCCGCTGACCTCAAGCTTCTCAAAGTGCTGGCGTTACAGGCGTGAGCCACCGCGCCCCGCCGGAATTCAAATATTAAATGATTCCTGCTCAGGGAATCAGACTCTGAGAGACAAGGATGCCTTCCTGTTCCAGCCCAAATGCCTGTTCCTTAAGCCTGTACACCTCTGGTAGCTAAGGTTTTTCATAGACTCTCTTTGCCCTCATCCTCTTCTTTCTCTCTCTGAGAAATCAACACTCATTCTCCTGACCTAGATGCTCCAGGGGCAAAACCAAGCTCCACCTATTGTGTTTTGTTCCCCACATACATCCTTGACAGCCTCTGCTCAAAAGGCTTGTTGTATATGAGAGCCTTGTTGAGAGTCCTTTGAGAATTCCTAAAATCCCACATCTTTTGAAACGTGGCCAACATTTTTTAGTACCCCCCTCTGTGCAGGCACTTACATTTTCTCAACTATTCTCACAAATATTCTATAAGATGTTTACCAACTTTCAGAAAAGTTGGGTAACATACCAGGGTGATCCCATGAAGAATTTATTTAAATCAATGCCTGAGGTTCACTCTGGTTGGCCACCCATTCTCTTTTCCTTTGATCCGTGGGTTTTAAAAGGAACCCTTGACATTCAGGGGATCAATTTATTATGTACATGCTTATGTACATTTTTCCCACAGAGAGAAGATTCATGGTTCTCAACAGATTTCTTTCAAATTGGGTCCTTGACCCAGAAAAGTTAAGAATAATTACTTTAAATAGAAAGTGACTCTACATAGTAAAACGAAGAGTGGAAGTTATAGGAATCTTAAGCAAGTCATCTTTATCCTCTCTGGGACTTAGTTTTCTGAAAATAAAAAGCGGAACTAAAGAATCTTAAGATTGCTCTCAACTCTAACATTTTCTAACTTTAGGTTAAAATACACATATATGTGTGTATAGGTACACAAATACATACACAAACACACACACACACAAACAAACACACCCTCGCAATATGCTAACAAGTAGCCATTGTGAGATCTAACCCTTCAGGACAGAAAATTCTAAAACATATTATATTTTCTAAAACATGGTCTGTTGCTCCAGGGTTTTTTGTTGTCGTGGTGGTTTGGTTTGGTTTGTATTGTTTTGACAGTTATTGATGTCTTTCTTCATCTTCACAAGCTCTTTTCAAGCAAGTCAGAGAGAGCATACTTTCATGGCAGATATTTTTTTCTCACATATTCATTCATTCATTCAACAAATACTTATTGAGCATCTACTTTCTCCTAGGTCCTGTGGGTTCAGAGCCCCTGCCTCAAGGACTGTACAGTTTAGTGATGGAGACAGACAAGAAGCAGGCAATAACAATACTGCCTATGAAGGGACAAAGTTCTGGGAACTGCAGGAACATGCAGGAAGGATAACCAACTGTTCCCCTGGGGTTCAGAAAAAGTTTTCCTGAGGAAATGTCAAATTTGCTGCCACATCCAACTTTGCTGCCCTATGGTGTGCTCAGCCTGGAGTGGCAGCTATCATAGATGGGAGCTGTGGTGGACACCTGCCCCTGGATGAGCCATGACAGGCTCTCCTTCCAGTATTTCAAACTGAGCTTGAAGAATGAGTCAGTCAGCTGGCATTGAATGGTGAGATTGTAGACTGTGGTGGCCCAAATTAGAACAATGGCACCAAAAACCATGATGCCAAAGTCATCAGGAAGTAAGTTCTAAGATCCTTGCCAAGGAAGTTGGTCTGTAAAGAGGAGAACAGCCAGCCATGTAGACAGAAATGAGATTTCTAAAGACCTAAAGGCCTTGGATATCTACCTGCTTATTTGACTTCCCCAGTGTGAGTATTTAACCCACCAGTATCTCAAACTTGATTTTTATGCACCAAGTCTCCTCTCTCCCAAGGTCACCCATCAGGATAATGACATCACCAATCATCCTGTTGCTCAGGTCCAAACCTAGGAGTATCATTAATTCTTCCTTTTGCTTATACCACACGTTTACACCATCAGCCAGTTCTATCAGCTTTACTTGGGGCTGAGCCAAGCCATATCAAACCCTGAAGCAAAAGAAAAACTCTGTACCCGTACATATTTTTTGAACCAAATAGAAAAAGTTAAGCTCTACAGTGAAAAAGCATGACTATATATAAAAGCACCGTAATGCCCAATCAGTTTTCCTATGATTGTCAACCCTCACAAGCCTGCCAGTGTGGGAATATGAGAGCCAAGTGGCCTTGGAACTGAGCACAGGTTGGAAACAACTGTTCTTCTTGCACAATGATGCAGGGTCATAAAACAACAACCTGTGTTGGTTTTGTTTTTGTTTCTTTGGGTTTTTTGCATTCATTTTGAATATAGTAACAGCAACAAAGAACAAATACCAATTAGACAAAATCAGTACTATGTGCGAGGCCCTGTTCTAAGCTCTTTGTGTGCATTAACTGACTTATTCCTCGCAATTGACCTAAAATATACCATTATTACACCTATTTTACCAACAAAGGCACTGAGGCACCTCTAGGTAAGGTAATTTACCAGGGCCACACAGCTAAGTCATCGCAGGGCTGAAATTCTAACCCAAGAAGTCTGACTCCAGAACAAACGAGGTAAAATAAACTGGACTTGGTGAGCAATTGGCTATGTGCAAGAGAGAGGAGTCAAAAATGTTCCCAGGAGTCTGGTTTGGGCAGCTAGGTGGATAGTGTGCCATTCACTAAAACTGGAAATAAAGGTTGGGGAGGAGTACAGGTTTATGGAAAGTTTATAGATCATATGGGAAACCCAATTATGAACAGTTTATGGGTTCAATTTAAGGCTTTTCGTATTTGAGATGCCAAGGACCTCATGGTAGAGATGTCCAGAACATGGCAGTTTCAATGTGCTTTGAAGTCAGACAGCAGATACTTGATGAAGACAGTATATGAGAGTCACCAAGTTTGGTGATTAGAGTCCTGGGCATAGCCGAGTAACCCAGAACAGTCATTAGCATGTCCACAGGAAGAATCTAGTTGAATAAGAAACAAAATCCCTAAACAACTTATAATTGTCTGTTCTTCTTAGGCATGAGGTCATTTGCGCAAGTCTTAACAGGGTAGATTTTAGCTCAAAAGAAACATGATTGAGCTGCCACTTTAAAACAAAACAAAACACCTAATTAACTGACCCATCACCACAACAGTTGGACTGGAAAAAAGTCACCTGATCCTTTGGAAGCCAACAATTGGTGCCGTTAAACCATTCAAATTATATTTGCCAGAAATGTTTTAAGACCTTTGTAGGTTTTAAGCATCATAGCAAAGATATCAAAATCCAGCACCATCAAAAGTATATATTTTTTTGGCTGTGCATGGTAGCTCACATCTGTAATCCAGCACTTTGGGAGGCCAAGGCAGGAGGATCACTTGAGCCCAGGAGGTCAAGGCTGCAGTAAGCTGTGATCACACCACTGCACTCCAGCACAGGTGACAGAATAAGACTCTGTCAAAAATATATATATATTTATACACACACACACATGCACACACACACATTTGTTTTTCTGTGAAAATGCTTGAAAGTTTTTTAAATTATTTGAGCAAGAACCATTCATTTTACTTACTTGTGGCTGTGGTTGTCCAAAATCATTAAGCATACTCAGAGACTATTATAAGGTGAGAAGAAAATCTAACATACAGTTGTTTGCAAATGAAAGGAAATGTTTATAAATATGAAAACCCATAAAGTTATATTTTGTAGACATTTATTAAACATTTAATTCTCAATTTATAATTTTCTGTAAATCTGTCATCTCAAGGCAGGCAAGTCTTTCAGGGCTTTGCAAAAATGTTGATTAAATGTTCATATAATGTAAAATAACATCAATTTCTTTAGTTCCTTGGCTTCCAATAACCTCATTTCCTGACTTTAATCACTCATGAAGTCTGACCCCCCCCTTGCTATCCTTGGGTTCCATGACAGGCCTCTATGTTTTTTCAGTAGATACCTTCTTTTTTGTTTGTTTGTTTTTGCCTCCTTAAGTATCTTTAGTGAGTTTCTCTTCCTTGCAACCACAAGTACTGTCGGAATTGAAAGTCAGCTTCCTTCCACCTAGGCAAGCCCCCCACTCTGGGCTCTGTGTGTTTCTCTGTGGTATTTTCCATGAACTGCTGCCCATTGCTTGGGCCTCCTCTTCCTTCCTCATTCCCTGGCTTGGCTATTTAAAGGTAGTTCATTAGCACCTTTTAAATTATGATAAAAGCTGTAAAATTAGGAGAATTTTTAACATACCCATTTTAAAATAACTCCAAGGTAGAAAAGACCTGTTTGAAGCTCTCGAGGAGAGAAATAACCACAGACACAGGCTTTAAAACCTCCACCATGCAGCAGACTCACGTAATCTTATTTGTCTCACTCAAACCCTGCTTCCTTTAGTCTTGTGCTTTTTGCTACCAAAGGATTTATATTCAGACACCACGCAGTTTTCCTTCTAAAGCTAAAGGCTTACGAGAGAGTTGAGCTAGCCTAGAAACCTATGAAGAGTTCTTACCTTGAATCTTGTCTGCATTTCCATCCATGCAGATACTGAAAAGACCCAGGCAAAAAATTAAAGCAAGCTAGTAATAGGATTCACTACAATCAGAAAAAAATAACAAAATTCAGGGGAGGTATTGAAATATGAAAGGTGTATAAAATATCAATTACACAGCAAAGCCCACCTTTTTACAGTTTTCCTCCACAGTGGCAAAAGTTCAGAATTTAATAGTTGTGTGTCTTCAGACAAATTACTTACTTAGAGATTCTTTTCCTTATTTATAAAATAGGACTAGTCACAGTTTCTTTTCAACATGACTGTGATGAGGATAATCATATAACTATTCAGGTAAAGTCCTTAGATCACTCAAGAAATGGTGGCTTCTGTGCTCATAATAATGATCATGAAAAGAGTGTAATTTACATACAACATTCTTAGAAGGTTTAAATTAATCTGTGAAACTTTATAATAAATGGCCAGGACTAGGGTGAAGCAAGTGAAACCCTAGCCTTGGGTGCACAATTCAAAAGGGTACCAAATTCTCAGTAATCAAGATGCATTATATTTTAATATAATATTTTTGAAAAACAAATTCGTAAACTACAGCCCATGGACCAGCTACTTGTTTCTGTAAATAAAGTTTTATTGGAAGTTTTGAGAAACAATAAAGAGAAAAAAGGACCGGAGCTTCCTTTATAGGAATTTTACACCCTGAGGGTCCAAAGAAGAATTTCTTATACTAGGGCTTTTAATTAACAGCCAAATTCCTAGTGCTAGGAGTGCTGCTGAACACTTGCATTCATCTATTATCTTTACAGCCTAGACTCTCTGTGGGCAGGAGAAAAACACCTGTTCAAAAGGTGGGTTCTCATTGTGAGAGGAAGGGTAACAAGCTATTCAGCAATTCTTGGAACCAAAATGAACTTGTTTACCCATTTTAACAAGAACCCAAGGTCTACAGAATACCTGCTTTTGACTATATATTGGAAAAATCAATGAGATAAATATCTGAATAAACACACTGAATACTCGATAAATATGAGTCATTTTTTAGTAATATGAGAATTGTTAATGTAATTTGAAGAGTGGAATCCACAGTTGTACTGCAAAGATATAAGTGATGGGTCCATCAATCAGCCTGCTGCAGAACGGGGCCAATGCTAGATAAAGGGAGAATGGGGCATCAACCCAGAAAATGGGATTGGGTGCTGGTTTTTCTTCCAAGCATGAGGTATATATCCTATCACCTACAAAAGTGGCTCAGATTACTGAATGTTCTAGCACTAAGCAATTCTTATAGACAGTACAAAGCCTCATAACTTAAGTTGCCAAAAATTTATCCATTTCTTGAAACAGGTTTTGGATCAGCTCTGAGAAAGAGTTCTTTTCCAAACAAAAGCCTAACTACACAATTAAATGAAAGGGAATTCATTCACTTGGAGGAGAATAATGAAAGAAAACAAGTTATTTTAAATGATAAAAAATATGAACCAAATTGGCAACACCTTTAGAATGATTGCTGCTGGGTTTGATTAATGGGATACATTATCAGCTGAACAAAAAAAGAGTTTATCAGTTTAGTACATTTTTTACTTAACCTTTCAATGAAAATCTTAAAACTTTTTTCAGCATACAAAAATAGGAGGAATGGCTTAGAAAAGAAAATTGAAATGTTCCAGAAAAAGCAAAAATCTACCCTCTGAGATAACTGACCACCACTTTTAACAGCCTGGTGTTTATTCCCTTGGATTTTTGAATGTATATATATTTTTAATTGGATCCAACTATGGTTTTTGTCTTTCAGTATCCTTTATCTCCTTCTAGCTTTACACTTTGCCCCTCTGGCTTCAGAAGTTGTCGCACCACTTTTCCTCCTTGGCCACAGTGATTGCTCCAAGCACTAGACACATGAACATAGCCAGGCCAATGAGAATCCTTTCCTTAGATTTTTCAACTACTGGAACTCTGTTCTTCTCTAGTCAAGGAGCTACAAGAATGTAGTAACAGGCCAGGCTGCAGTTGCTCATACCTGTAATCCTAACACTTTGGGAGGCCGAGGTGTGAAGATCGCTTGAGCCCAGGAATTCAAGACCAGCCTGGGCAACATGGCAGGACCCCATCTCTACAAAAAAAATGAAAAATTAGCCAGGCGTGGTGATGTGCACCTGTAGTCCTAGGTTCTCGGGAAGCTGAGGTGAGAGAATTGCTGGAGCCCAGGAGGTTGGGGCTGCAGTGAACCATGATCATGCCAGCCTGGATAACAGAGCAAGATCCTGTCTGAAAAAAAAAAAACAAAAACATGATAACAGAGTTGGTGGCAACCATGGCTCCACTGTCATGGAAAAGCTGCAAACAGTCAGCAGCAGAGACAAAAGGCAGAGAGAAAGTCTTGGCCCTGAGAGCATTCAGGTTCCTGATTCCATTGCTAAGGACCCTGATGTCCCAGTCATTCCCAAAGCTCTTTTGTGCAGTTCTTTCTTCAATTCTCTGAGTGACTCCAGCATTGTTCCAGTTCTTATAACTGTCTTACACCCATAGTAAGTTCCATTTCTTACTGAAGCTATTCCCCATGATTGTCTGCCACTTGCAGCCAAGAGAATCCTACTATACATACTCTTCTGCAATTTGATTTTATTCAGTTAAAATTGTACATAGCATGGACAATTTCCATATCAATGCACATCTCCCTCTTCCTTTTCAATGGCCGAATAATAGTCCTTTGTATGGATGAATGTTTATGACCTTTTTCTAAAGCCAGAAACACAAGAAGGTTTTAAAAATGGTAAACACAGAAAATTATACTCAGCTTGAAGAGCTGCAGCCACATTAGGAGTGGTGATTGTTATGGAAATGAGAGGCCAGCATTGATGAAGTTTAAGTAGCACTTATTCCCCAACCACCCATGTAGTACTCATCAAACCTGTCTTATGCAGAGTAATTTTTGGCATTTGTTATCACCTCTGCAGATTTCTAAAAGTTATGCCTTGTATATGCACCCCAGTTTCCCTGCTTCACCCAGCATTGTAACCATAACTCAACCACTCATTCACAGGGTCTTCAAACCTATTTGTTATAGATGAACAAATATTTGAGTGAAGTTGAGAGGAGGCTGTGTTTGCATGAGTTGTTGAGACCTGGAACCATAAGTACAATTAGTACCAAGTTTGAATCCATCTGAAGTTTTGAAGTCCACTGTTTCTGCCATGCAGTTTCCAAGACATGGATCAACTTTAATAAAGAGTTACACTTGGGCTTCACAGTCATACAGTAATGGGGTCAAGTTCCAGTTCCTCCGTTTGTACGTTGTGTGGTCTTGAGCTAAGGCTCCCCTCTAAGCTGTTTTCTCATTAGAAAAAAAAAGAGGGTTGATTAATAGTACTTATCTCATAAATAATTTGAGAAGATTAAATAAGAAATTGTGTGGAAAGTTTCTATGACTGTGCTGCATTCATAGTAAATGCTTAATAAACGGAGGCTAGCATCATCTTCTTCATGATATTCAATACATTCTGTTGTCCAGGGCTGTATACCGCTTCCACCTTCCAAGTTTTTCAACTGCCAAAGTGACTTTCAGAAACTGTTCTTTAAAGAGCTGGGTGCTAGCCAGGAAACATTTGGAAGCAAAAATAGTCCTAAAAATAAGGAAAGGACGCATGACTTTTTAAATGTTGAGTTTTCCTTTAAGAGCAAAATTAAACTGTGAGTAAAGATCAAAATTCATTCTTTCTGTGACCTTGTTCCAAAGTGAGGTTTATTGGAGCATAATACATGTCAGATGTTGTTTAGAGTGGCATGTGCCCTTCTCAGGATATGTTGAACATACGCTGTGTGTCTAGGGGTTTTTCTAGCAGGTGTTTTGGGGCTGAAGAGAGAAGAAGGGTTCATTTGACAACAACATCCACAGCCCTCAGGTTCACCCTGGATTATGTTCTTCAAAGTACAAACAGGTATAAAAAGGATAATTTCCTAGATCCTTAAGGCAAATAGTTTGTGAAATCGAATTCAAGGGACTTTCCCCTGATGATATTATGGCCTTGGGAATTCAGATTAATTGTTCATATAAAATACAGAAGAGGAAAAAACTGCAGCATGGATTGGGATTCAATTTAATACCTTCCAAGAAATTGTCCTCTTCTTGCAGTTTCCATTGCTTAACACCTTCTTCTCCCACCACTCCACCTTGTTAACTTCTGTTCTTCCTTCTGCCACAACTCAGATGGCATTGCCTGCAGCAGCACTCCCTGAGTCCTCTGTTAGGTGCCGTGCTATCAAATCTCATTGCCCACCACACTTCTTCATAGCACTTACCAAGACCATCATGGAATAACTGACTCTTGGACTCAGTGCTTTCTCACCCACACAACTGTATGCTCCAGTTTCACCAGGAATGGGACCACTTCTATCACGTTGGCCCCATTGCCAGGTCCTTTGTAATGATATTATAAATATCTGAAAATCTTGAGAAAAAATTTGATTTATTCAATAAATTTTGACTTTAGAAAACCCAATGAGTAGCTAATTTGCTAAGGAGTTTTCCTTATGATGGTCAGAAGAATGTCTTTATTCCATGTAATGAAAAAAAAACCCACTATAGCTATTTGATATTGTATTATCGACATTCTCTGAACTTATTTGGTTATCAGTTTCAGGAAAGAAAGTGATAATTATAATAATTAGCTCTAATTGGATGTGTAAATGGCTACATTCAAAAAGGAATTGAAAGAGACTCACGTAAAAGGGGTCTTGAAAGCCATACCTTACCTACCTGCATAGTCATGCTACACAAGGGTGGCAGACAAAAGCCAGAGTGAACAAAAGACAAAAGCCAGAGGGTTATTGATGACACTGCTCACCCCGCTGAAGCACCTGCAGCACTGGGTTTCAGTACGTCGACTGGAAGAAACTTCTGAGACAGCTTCCCCTTCTCAGAGCCAGCTAGCCTCTGCTTGGATCCTCTCTGTGAGAAGGGACTCACTTAACACCACGAGGCAGTCCATTCCATTATTGAATGGTTTAAAGGATTGGGTAGTTTCTTCCTACATTAAGACAAAAATGTGTTTGGCTCTAATTCCACCCATCAAAATCATTCTGCATCTGGCAGATGCACCAAGGCTAACAATTTTAGTTCCAGCATAAGACAAACTCATTTTTGAGTATTACTAGCTGTGTGATCTTGGGCAAATTGCTTCACCCCCTCTGAGCCTCAATTTCTTAAACTAGACACTAAATCTTAACCTGTAGTCAAAATTAAAAAATAAATTCATGTCAAGCACGTAGCCCCGTGCTTGATTCATATAAAGAGAGAGCTGTGAACTCTCCATATTCTTTCTTCTACATGGCAAGCATTCAAATATCAGAAGACAATAGCCCCATTTAGCCTTTTTTTTTTAATTTTTTTTATTATACTTTAAGTTTCAGGGTACATGTGCACAACGTGCAGGTTAGTTACATATGTATACATGTGCCACGTTGGTGTGCTGCACCCATTAACTCATCATTTAACATTAGGTATATCTCCTAATGATCCTAATGCTATCCCTCCCCCTTCCCCCACCCCACAACAGGCCCTGGTGTGTGATGTTCCCTTTCCTGTGTCCATGTGTTCTCATTGTTCAATTCCCACCTCTGAGTGAGAACATGTGGTGTTTGGTTTTTTGTCCTTGTGATAGTTTGCTGAGAATGATGGTTTCCAGTTTCATCCATGTCCCTACAATGGACATGAACTCATCATTTTTTATGGCTGCATACTATTCCATGGTGTATATGTGCCACATTTTCTTAATCCAGTCTATCACTGTTGGACATTTGGCTTGGTTCCAAGTCTTTGCTATTGTGAATAGTGCCACAATAAACATATGTGTGCATGTGTCTTTATAGCAGCATGATTTATAATCCTTTGGGTATATACCCAGTAATGGGATTGCTGGGTCAAATGGTATTTCTAGTTCTAGATCCCTGAGGAATCGCCACACTGACTTCCACAATGGATGAACTAGTTTACAGTCCCACCAACAGTGTAAAAGTGTTCCTATTTCTCCACATCCTCTCCAGCACCTGTTGTTTCCTGACTTTTTAATGATCGCCATTCTAACTGCTGTGAGATGGTATCTCATTGCATGGTACTGGTACCAAAACAGAGATATAGACCAATGGAGCAGAACAGAGCCCTCAGAAATAATGCCACATATCTACAACCATCTGATCTTTGACAAACCTGAGAAAAACAAGAAATGGGGAAAGGATTCCCTATTTAATAAACGGTGCTGGGAAAACTGGCTAGCCATATGTAGAAAGGTGAAACTGGATCCCTTCCTTACACCTTATACAAAAATTAATTCAAGATGGATTAAAGACTTAAATGTTAGACCTGAAACCATAAAAACCCTAGAAGAAAACCTAGGCAATACCATTCAGGACATAGGCATGGGCAAGGACTTCATGTCTAAAACACCAAAAGCAATGGCAACAAAAGCCAAAATTGACAAATGGGATCTAATTGAACTAAAGAGCTTCTGCACAGCAAAAGAAACTACCATCAGAGTGAACAGACAACCTACAGAATGGGAGAAAATGTTTGCAATCTACTCATCTGACAAAGGGCTAGTATCCAGAACCTACAATGAACTCCAACAAATTCACAAGAAAAAAAACAAACAACCCATCAACAAGTGGGCGAAGGATATGAACAGACACTTCTCAAAAGAAGACATTTATGCAGCCAAAAGACACATGAAAAAATGCTCATCATCACTGGCCATCAGAGAAATGCAAACCATTTAGCCTTTTCTAGGCTAACTCCTGGTTTCTTTGGCCATTTATTCTATAAGGTGCCTTGTGACATCTAGCTAATTAGGTTACAATGAACTCCCAGAATTGAATCAAGTTCTGCAGGAGATGATTAATTCAAACTCGTAGAGCTACTGCTCCCAGGTACTCTGAAGGCTGAGGCAGGAGGATCACTTGAGTTCAGGAGTTCAAGATCAGCCTGGGCAACACAGCAAGGCCCCGTCTCCAAAAAAGAAAAAAGAAGAGCTACTGCAGTGGGGAAAGAAGGTAACAGGGGAAACACCTCAGTTTGTGCAGGTGCACAAGAGGCATGTCTTTCCCACGTCTGCACCCTAACATTCTATGTATGTAGGGAAGATTTCAACCATGTTAGCAGTCCCCTCAGACTAGTGACTTAGTACAACCGAACTCTTTTAAAGGTAAATTTTATTGTTCTTGTGTTCTAGTTTTAAGAGCAGCATATGTTCAATACAGGAAATTTTTGCAAACTCTTGAAAAGAAAGAAGAAGAAAAATCTTCCATGATACTATATCCAGAGATAAATTGCCATTAGCACTTATTGTGTCTTTTTTCATTTTTAATTTATAGGTGAGTTGATATTCAGCAACTTCCATTTACATCTTATTGGTTTAATAAGGTAACCTCTAGCTGCAAAGGAAACTGGGAAATATAGTTTCTTTTAAGGGTCACTCTGATGCCTTGAATAAAATTCCGGTTTATTAATAAGGAATATGGGGAAATGAATATTGGGAGGGCAACTGGCAGTGTCCGCTGAACTTGTCTTTTTGAACATTTCTCTTGTTTTCAATTTGTCTGTATTATAAACAATGTTTTGATGAATGCCTTGTAGGAAAATCTTTGTACCTATCTATGATTATTCCTTAGGGCATGTTCCTAAAAGCAACTGTAGGGCTTAAGGATATGTGTCTTTCAAAGCTATTGTTTCATGTTATGCAATAATTTTTTAAGCAAACACAGCATGCGACATTTGTTGTTCTTAAATTTTATCTGTTAGATTTTAAAAGCTTAGTTATTTGGCATTTTAGTGTGAATTCTGATCTCCTTCCCAGATTTATCCTATTTAAATTACTAATAAAAAGTCTTGGCTGAGTGTAGTGGCTCATGCCTATAATCCCAACACTTTGAGAGGTTGAGGCAGGAGGATCACTTGAGTCCAGGAGTTTAAGACCAACCTGGGCAACATGGCGAAAACCCGTCTCTACAAAAAAAGTACAAAAATTAGCCAGGTGTGGTGGCACATACCTGTTATTCCAGCTACTCAGGAGGCCAAAGTGGGAGAATCACTTGAGTCTGAGAGGTTGATACTGCAGTGAGCTGAGACCACGCCACTGTACTCCAGCCTGAGTGACAGAGCAAGACCTTGCCTCAAAAAAAAAAAAAAAAAAAAAAAAAAAAAAAAAAAAAAAAAAAAAACAGCCTGGGTAAAGGGTTCTGTGACATTCCATGACAGACCTACCTTCAGTCTAACACTGAGCCATTAAAAAGCCTTCTCGGCACAATTGTTTAAGGAGCCGTGACTTCATTTTACGCTCAATTGACAAATGTTTTCTGAATGCTTTCTATACACTAAGCACTGAGCTAGGCAACATATGTACAGGATGGGTAAGCTCTCATTCCTGCCCTCAAATGGCCTAAAACTACTGTCCAGCTCACATTTGCCACCTTGTCCCTATGGATGCGCAAGATACTTTGTCAAATGCTTTGTCCATATCAGGATATATTTTGCCTATAATATGCCTGTGAAATTCTGGTCTGATAATCCAACCCAAAAAGGAAATAAGGTCAAGTTGGCTTCATTTGGCCATACCATCATACATAGACTTTGCCACTCAGATCATAAGCAATCATACATTGCATTTATTTTGTACTCAACCCTTAGCTAAGCACATGCTCAATAAAGATCTGTTAAACGAATTAATAAATAAATGGATGTGTGAAAAAGTTCATATTTACTAATTCTGAAACCAAATGAGGCTTACTGCTCTATTAAAAAGTACAATAAACCTCTGTCTTCATTCTGTGTATGAATTGTGAGCAAGTATGTGTGAATGTATTTGTAACTGTGTGTGGGGGTGTGTGCAAGTATATGTGTGTAAATATATTGTGTCACTTCATAATAAAGTAGTGGTTTTATAAAATTCTGGAGGGTTACTCCACAGTAGTTATTTTATACCCTCTTTGTTAATTCTAAAAGTCATCGAAAAGCAAAACATTTAAATAAAGTAAATTTAGTTATAGACTAAACCCATAGATCCACCTCATTTTTTAATATAAAACAAGAGATGGAAAATAATCTAATGTTTTGTCTATTTTGCCAAAACCCAAAATCTTTCTCCTTTGGGCAAGGAAATACTCACACCATAAGGAGTAATTCTTTAATTGCTTCTAATTAAAATAAATGCCCATGCACTCTGGGTCTCTGGGAACATGACTAACACTTGCCTCACCTTGCAGATGAAGCGTGGGTAAGGTTGTGAAAATAGTGGGTATCACCTCAACACCACCGCCTCCTCTAGCCTTACAGCTGAAATCAGGCACCCACCAATATCAGTAGGCCCAGGGCTCTTTCCAACAGCAAAGTATGTGAGACTATCAAGGAAGCTCAGATATTGAGTCAGTTCTTGAAACAGATTTTTGCGGAAGTAGCTTAGTAATTAGAAGACCATGGCTTTGGAGACCAAAAGACCCCTCAGCCAGGTGAGGAAAGACAGACAGACAGAAAGAAAGAAAGAAAGAAAGAAAGAAAGAAAGAAAGAAAGGGAGGGAGGGAAGGGAAGGGAAGGGAAGGGAAGGGAAGGGAAGGGAAGGGAAGGGAAGGGAAGGGAAGAGAAGAGAAGAGAAGAGAAGAGAAGAGAAGAGAAGAGAAGAGAAGAGAAGAGAAGAGAAGGAAAGCAAAGGAAAGGAAAGGAGAAGAGAAGAGAAGAGAAGAGAAAAGAAAAAGAAAAGAAAAGAAAGAGAGAAAAAGGCTCAGAGAGATGAGGTGACTTGCCTAAGCTCACACAGCTAGTAAGGTCAGGCTCTAACTGGGTCAAATGCCTCACAGATTCAAGCTCTTGACCAACTGCTAGACAACTGAGCCTCCTACCATCTGACATATTTAAAACAGCTCCAGAATGCCCACCCCAACCTTCAAACAAGCAGCTGTCTCTTCAGAAGGTGCTGCCCACACAGCCATAGGATATAAATTTGTACCAGCCTACTCGGAGTGGGCTGTGGTTGGATGTTCCAGTTTTAATCGTCAACAGCAGTGCCCA
Organism: Homo sapiens; assembly: GCF_000001405.40. NCBI lineage: Eukaryota > Metazoa > Chordata > Mammalia > Primates > Hominidae > Homo > Homo sapiens. The sequence continues at coordinate 56,484,316 of NC_000003.12, forward strand.
AGTAGTTCTGGCCATTCAGTCTACTTTGTGGGAGAAAAGGCAGCTGGCAGTCTGTCAAAGCAAATGCTGAACACATAAAGGCAGAGGTTGGGGAGCAGATGTAGTCTCCGCTAGTAACAAAGATTAAAGAACATATTTCTTCCGTGAGACCAGCATCTAAAACATAAAATGATAAATGAACCTCAGCTTCTGAGCAGTGGAAACTTTTTCCAGGTTATCAAGAATAACAGCAATATATTTAATATGTTTTTGAGTATCTGTATGCTTCTTCCTTGCCTTGATCATTAATTTGAGAAAGTACATAATTAAAAGTAAACCTATTCATAGCATCTTCATCCCAAGGGGCTGAAGCACTTTAATGTCATAAGTAAGCCAATGAGATTTATGGCTGGTCTCTGCCTTTAAGACTTGCCCTTTGACCTTAGGTGAATAATTGTACCACTGGGAGTTCATTAGAGGAAGTAGAAACCAGGACTGCTGACCCTCTCTCATTGGCTGTCCACAGGGGAAGACCCAGCAGCAAACAGATAAGGCTTTAATCTGTCACTGAGTTTCATTATGGTCTGACACTGTTCCCTGTTGCAGAACATGTCCTTTGTAGCATTTACAAGCCCACAAGAAGCTGACGTTAATGACCGCTGGTAGCACATTTTAGCTTTCCATTTGTTTGATTTATTTCATCCTCCTAACAACCTTTTGAGGAGCTTAGTGCTGATATTATCCCTATTTGACAAATAAGGAAAATGAGGCACAAGGCTTACCTAGTTTACATGACTGGGACCAGAATTGGGACCTGTGACCTCTCCAACCTATTCACAGCCAACCGTGCTTATGCAGAGATTGACTTAGAACCCCCATCTTGAACTCTTTTTGGAAGTAGATGTGATACAAGCCTTAAATAAATGAAGGTGTATATGAAAGCTATGGGTCCAGGGGTGGGGAGGATTAAACACTGGAGAACTCTTCAGCTGAACTTGAAGGACTCCCGTAATAATAACAGAGCCAGCCACCACTCATTGAACAATTGCTGGGTGCTGGGCACTGAGTCAAGAACTTTACATGGATACATCTTCTCATTTAGCACTCGCTACAACTGTGGGAGGTGGGACATTATATTCCCCATTTGCAGGATAAAGGACTGTATCCCACAAAGTAGCTCTCCCCAGATCTGGACATTCCTTATATCAAAGCCATTACTGCTCACCAAAACCCCATGCTGTTTTCTGTAATTAATAGATTGGGGGAATGAAAGGCATTTCTTAAAAGTAACTCAGTGGTCTGAACCTTAAAAACGCATTATCTTAAGATTTTGCATGCCAAAAAGAAAAATCAGTCAAGTGTGTTGAAGGGACATTTAAGTTATTCTTACATTTGTCATTGTTATATACAGCATGGCAGAGTATTTAACCAGGATGGCCAGCTTTGAAGCATGAGAGCCTTTCTAAGCCTCAGTTTCCTCATTAGAAAAATGGGGATAAAATTATACCACCTCATAATGTTGTTTTCAGAATTAAATCATATAATATATAAAGCATTTAGCACCACTTTTTTACATATAGGCAATCAATGAAAGGTGGCTGCTATCACATCATAGTAATATAATGATGTTGCTTAAAATAAATAGGACAGATACTATAACAAGCAAAAGGTATGGAATTCAGATGATAGCTTTTTAGTCTATTCTATGCTAACAACTATTTATTTCCTATTGATGGGTATTTAATTGGTGCTTTTTACTGGAAGCTTAGATTTGTGATTTTGTTTGGTGAGGAGGAGTCTGCAGTGATTGTATATACAATGATGATTTCTTCTGCTTGATAAACAGAAACCCAGAACAGCACCAACAGTGGGGTAGAAAAATATGACTTATTAGCTATTTTACTAATGCAAAATCAGCCTGGGGAATGCCAATGCATCAGATGAGGACCATGCAGGAGATGCCAGCTTTTCTTCATTTCAGAAAATTATATCAGAGCATCTACCAAACGGCATCCAAATGTTCATAGGGTTGGCCTTGCTTGTTTAAGGTAAGAAATAAGTGTAATGGGCAGTCCCAGGAGCATCCCAAGTCTCTCAGTACCCAACTATGTTGAAAGTCTATATCCCAAGCCTCTCAATACCACCACTATGTAGAAAGAAACAGCAGCAGCTCCAGCTAGCTGTCTCCCTGTCATGACTTGATGCCATTGGAAAGTTCTGGATCACCAGGACTTACCGATATTCATCAAGAAGCCAGACAGAAAAGCCCTGCTTGTCTATGTCAATGTTCTGTCAACAGTAACTTGTCTATAGTCATCTATCTTTTATGGTTTGAGATCCCATTTTCATACCCATTGTCTTCATAACTTTGGGCAAGTTCTTTCCCCCGAGTCTTGATTTCCTCATCCATAAGTTGGACAAAATAACAGAAAACTCAAATTCCGTTTAGAAATAACTCAACTTTGGGCTGGCAGCCAAGGCTCATGCCTGTAATCCCAACATTTTGGGGGGCCAGGGCAGGAGTAAGGTTCGATCCCAGGAGCTCAAGACCAACCTGGGCAACAAAGCAAGACCCCTCTCTACAAAAAATTTAATAATTAGCTAGGCATGTTGGTGCACATCTATAGTTCCAACTACTCGGGAGGCTGGGAAGGCAAAGGCAAAGATTAGGAGAGCGTTTCAGACTGAGAATGGTGAAGTTCTGGCTTAGGGATGGGGCAGCTCTCAGTTTGTCCAACAGCTGAAGGGAGGCCCCTGCAGGAGGGGTTAGATTGGAAGAGGGAGTGGATGCTGTGATAAGCCATCCCAATGCCCCCACCTATCACCTGCTTCAAGACTGAGGCACTCGATCCCCTGGCTTCTGCTAGCACTGGCGACTGACTGCTCAGCTGATCCTTGTCTGGGAATTCACTTTGGCTGAAGAGAGCTGCCTAGCCTAAGGACTTGGTCCTCCCTGGGGGAAGCCTGCATGCAATGACAAGTCTATGATGTATGTGGAATCGGGGGGCAGGTGTTGGTATAAAGGCCTGACCCCTTCCTTGCTGTAATTCAAGACAACTTCAGAGCTTCCTGTGAGATCAGCTGAGGACTTTGCCATGAGTGCCTCACAATGCAACTTCTCCATTGGCCCAGTCCTGCTTTTCTCACTGCCCTTCCATGAGGATCCTGTGCACTCCCTGCTAAGCTTCCTGCATGCAAATCTTCATCTCAGGTTCTTCCTGGGGAACCCAGAGCAGAAGTGGAAAGGACATTTGCAGGAACTATTCCAGTAGCACAAGCAAAAAACAAAGAGGGGTTGGACTAGAATAGTGGTTTTGGGGATGGAGATAAGCAGACAAATTTTAGATGAGGAGGTAGAGGTTGGAGAATATAAGGTTATTTGAAGGTAGGGAAGCTGAAAGCAAGACAGGATAACTAACAATGCTGAGTCTGAGGCAAAAGGAAATATCAGTAATAGCGATCTTATGTTTATTTAAAATTATTGCATTTTGTTCACCATGGGGGTTTTTTGGCATTAATTTTGATTTTTAAAAATATTGCTTCTCTTTCCTGCTGAGTGTTTTGGCATCCCCTTAAATTTTGCACTCCAGACTTGTACCTCACTTACTTCACCCTAGTCCTGGCCCTGAAAATGTTTATCTTAAGACACTAAGTTTTGGAATTATTTCATTTTTTTTTAAATTTAAGGTTTCTTTTAAGAGACACATGTCTCACTATGTTGCCCAGGCTGGTCTCAAACTCCTAGCCTCAAGCAGTCCTCCTGCCTCAATCCCCTCCTGCCTCAATTCCCACTACACCTGGGTCTGGAATTGTTTCTTGCATAGCAATAGGTAACTAATGTGCTAGCAAGGAGTCCTTTGGAAATTTACTTAATCTCTCAAAGCCTTGGTTTCCTAATCTGTGAAACAGGGATAAAAGCATATTTCCTATGGTTATTTTAATGATTAAATGAAATATTTCAGAGAAAGCCCTTAACATAGTGACCATCACACAGTGTTTCAATTCAATGTGTCCACAATTGTCATCAATGAAATCACAAGAGTGAGATCCTCATTTTAAGATCCTGGAGTAATATTATCATTTTTTTCAAAATACTAGGCAGAACTTCCTGTTCTGTTTCTTAAATAAGTTTTTCTAAATGTTCTCTCTTCTAATGGTCTTTGTGGGCATAAATTTAAGTATGAAAGATAGTGCCTAGTTGCTTAAAAGGCAACTGGTAATGCTTACTACTCTGAACGGGAACAGGACACCCTGAGTTACTCTTTTAATTACTATTCACGTTTATTGAATACTCATGAAGTGTCAGGGCTCTGGGACAAGGGCATCATTCATTTTGATATTTAATCCCACAGGCCACCTACAAAGTGAGCATTCCCCATTTCCCCCAATTAATCCCCATTTTACAGATAGGGAAACTGAGGGAGGCCTAGAGAAGGTAAACATTTTGTACAAGGTCACAGCTGGAAGGCATTGTTCTCAAGGTCTCTGCAGCCTGTGTACAGTTTGCAAGTGGAAGTATTTCTCTCAATTCCAGCTGTGCCCTTGATTGGGCAAATTACTTTTCCATGACCCACAGCAAAAATTACATCTGGGTGTCTCACCCAAATGTAATAAGGGTGTTTCGCCCATTAAGGGTTAGTCCTTTGAAGGATTTCTCTATTAATAATATGAATTGTAGACTGACACTGAGTCAGCACGTTGAGTCTTACTGGTATCCCCGCTTCTGCATGAATAACAGCATGTGCTGAGTAAGAGGTTCGGAGCTGCTTTAATTCCCTCCCTGTGGCTTTCGCCTCAAGAATTGGCTTACTCCACTGCTGTGGCCTGATATGCCAGCACAACACAGCAGCCTTCTTGGGTTGCAGGACTCCAATTTTTTCAGTACCTTATGGTCTCCTTTGCCCTTGAACTATGGATATCGACTTTTCACTTTAATGCACATTATCTAGAGAAATTCAAAGCCAAAGAAAAACATTCCACAAGACCTGCCTCTGTAGGAATTGGAATAGAGTAGGAAATAGAAAAGTTTGTGTGAGGGCCATGTTTGTTCCCACGAGTCCAGACTTCCTTGCACAGCTGGAGGGCTTCTCTTGGGGAGACTCAACATGAGCCAAAACATCTGGACTTTTCGCTTTAAAAAATCTGGTGTCTGCCATCTACAAGCCATAGTATACATTTTTGTTCTTTATATTTAGTAAAATAAGAAACCTTTTGGGAGAAGAGCTCATTGTCTTAGTGCAGGTCATTAAGTATTTGCTAAGCACAGACTATGTTGCCTGCCAAGCACTCATCATTTGTCTTGTGTTCCAGCGTTTCAAGAAGTTTAAAATCAGATCCAATTAAAAGTGATGCCCCTCTAAAGAGGCATAAATGTCCTTATCCAAGAAAACAAAACCTTTGACCTTCTGTGTTGTAGAAATCCTGCACAGTGATAGAAGCTTATGTACAACACTATGCTTATAACAGGGGGAAAGGAATTGTTTATGCACATTGAGGTTCAACTTAGCATCAGTGATTCATTCCACACTGTCAAGAGTGTTTACCAAGCACTCTTCCTGAAAGGTCTCTGCCAGCTGGAGAAGTCTCTGGCGTATAATTCACAGAATCTTATACCTGGACAGGGTTTTTGAGGTCATCTCATCAAATACTATCCCAGTGCAGGGCTTCCTCCCTGACCTTCTGACAGATGGTGTGCACATTCAGCCACTACTCCAGCAGCATCTTTCCTCCAACCTTCCCCTGGTCCTGTGCACAATCCACTGCTACCCCACTGAGTCTCTGTAATGTGAACTGAATTATGTCCCTCCCAAATTCAAATTATGTGGAAGCCCTAACCCCCAATGGGACTGCATTTGGAGATAGAGCCTTTAAAGAGGTAATTAAGGCTAAATGGGTTCATAAGAGTGGGGCCCTGATCCAGCCTGACTGGTGTCTTTGTAAGAAGAGGAAGAGACACCAGGGGTGTGCACACACACAGTAAAGACCATGTGAAGAGGACGCAGCAAGAAGGCAGCCATCTGCAAGCCGGGAGAATCCGACCCTGCCAGCACCTTGATCCTAGACTTCCAGACTACAGATCTGTGAGGAAATGGACTTCTGAGGTTTTTTGGGTTTTTTGTTTGTTAGTTGGTTGGTGGGTTTCAGACGGAGTCTTGCTCTGTTGCCCAGGCTGGAGTGAAACAATCCCGGCTCACTGCAACCTCTGCCTCTTGGGTTCAAGCGATTCTCCTGCCTCAGCCCCCCAAGTACCTGGGTCTACAGGTGTGTGCAACCATGCCCGGCTAATTTTTGTGTTTTTAGTAAAGACCGGATTTCACCATGTTGGCTGGGCTGGGCTCAAACTCCTAGCCTCAAGTGATCCGCCTGTCTCAGCCTCCCAAAGTGCTGGGATTATAGGCGTGAGCCACTGCACCTGGTGGAATTTCTGTTTTGAAGCCACCCAATCTTTGGTATTTTGTTCTGGCAGCCCAAGCTGACTAAGACACTTCCTTCTAGAGTTTTTTGGCCTTCTACCCAGCCTGCCTCTTTGGTAGTTTACACTGTCCTGTTTTTAGTCTTTATATGAGATTTAAGCCTATTCTAATAATGCTCCCTTGTTCACACTTTGCTTTATCAGTATGTGTCTCATCTCCCAAAGCACATTATTAACTCATAGGAAAAAACAATCAGGTTAAACAAGCCTCTTTTTTTCTGAAGTGCCTAGAAGGAAGCAGTATAGACTCTGGGGATTTAATAAATCTGAATTGCTTAAATAAATGGTAAACTACTCCTGCTAGTCGGCAGTTACGTTCCTCAGATACATTAATCCTCAGTTTTCACATCTGTAAACAGGTAATAAATTCTGTCTCTTAAATAGAATGTATCTGATGAGATTGCAGTGAAGATTAAGTTAGATAAATTTGTCTGGCATATAGTAAGTGCTCCATTAAAAGAGAATTATTATTATTATTTTATTGTAAAGCCACACCTGGGAAAAGGAAAGTGATCTCACCCAAAAGGTATAAAATCGCTGCGGATTCAGTTCTGCAGTATATGAAGAAGTATATGTCTCTTGCCTTTCACTTTTTCTTGTTTTGAGATGAGCCACACAGCATTGTACTGGTTAGAAGAGATAAATGATGGAACCCAGGTTCCCCTCTCTCTTCACTGGCACTCCAGGGTGGAATGCTTTTTACCTCAATAATGTTTTCTAGCCCCATTAGTTGTTACGTTTCTGTTTGAATAGCAATGTGATGCATCCAAAGCATCAACTACACTATGTTCTATTTACTAAATGCATTAAACGTAAGGATGAAGAAACGTTAAAAGATGGACTTGCCAAACATGATTCTGAGCAAACTGTACCAAAAGACAACTAACATTTTATTAGAAAACTTCTAATTACCACATGCAGGCAATCCTGTCACAGGATTTCAGCCTTTGTGGTGATTCATTCTCCCCACCCCATGACACAAGTTGGAGGAATTATCCAGTGATTGTACAGTTTGCAAACATTAATGAATCTGGTGCCTTAGATCATGTTTATGAATAATCTGTTGCAATACTCACCCTTTCATTTGGAATCTTTGCAAAGGATTCCTTTTGTGTCTGGTCCAGGAATCCTTCCAATGCTAAACAGACTTTCCACTTCCCAAAACCTCACTATCCCTTCTGATATGGTTTGGCTGTGTCCCCACCTAAATCTCGTCTTGAGTTGTAGCTCCCATAATTCCCATGTTGTGGGAGGGACCCAGTGGGTGATAATTGAATCACGGGGGTTGTTCCCCCCCATACTGTTCTCATGGTAGTGAATAAGTCTCACATGATCTGACAGTTTATAAGGGGAAACCCCTATCACCTGGTTCTCATTCTCTCTTGTCTGCCACCATGTAAGATGTGACTTTTACCTTCCACCGTAATTGTGAGGCCTCCCCAGCCACATGGAACTGTGAGTCCGTTAAACCTCTTCTTCTTTATAAATTACTCAGTCTCAGGTATGTCATTATCACCAGGGTAAAAAAGGACTAATACGCTTTCTAAGGTCAAGAGCTTAATCAATACAAATTGAATTTTGCATAAGTCAATTTAAAGATGACTCTTATAAGTTAATACAGACCTAAGCTATGTATTCTCAGATCTTTGGATTCAATAGACCAGTATCTAAAGCCTTTGTTAGTGGTTTATATATCCATAGCTGTCTGTTATGATAACTTTTGCAGAATTGACATGCGAACTGATCGATTAAGCTGCCAGGAGACTTTTGTGATTTGATTCTCAATGAAAAATTTTGGGGGTAATATCCATCTCACTTTTTTTTTCTGAGAGGGAGTTTTACTCTTTTTGCCAAGGTCGGAGTGCAAATAATGGTATGATCTCAGCTCACTGCAACCTCCGCCTCCCGGGTTGAAGCGATTATCCTGCCTCAGCCTCCCACATAGCTGGGATTACAGGCATGAGCCACCACACTCGGCTAATTTTTCTATTTTTAGTAGAGACAGGGTTTCACCATGTTGTTCAGGCTGGTCTCGAACTCCCGACCTCAGGTGATCTGCCCACCTCAGCCACCTAAAGTGCTGGGATTACAAGCATGAGCCACCATGCCTGGCCCCATCTCACTTTTAAAAAATATTCTAATAAAGTCCTTGGCTGGCAACCAGAAGGATAAAATAAAAAGAATCAAATTATCTAGTGGTGTTAAATATAAAACGGAAAGGAATAAAAATTTAAAAGGATACAGACACAGGGAATAGTAATATTCCCTGCCTCAATATTTTGGTTTACACAGTTCCTTTTTATCTTTTTAAAAGTATAAATAGTACATGCCTATTGTATGATACAAATGTGTACCAAACAGTGAAAAGGCCCTCCACTTTCCCCTGGTAGATCAGTCTTTCAATAAAACCTAATGTTAATACTTTAGTGTATGGCCTTCTAGATTCTTCTGTGCATACATCTACAAATGTATTTGCCTCAATAGATTATACTATGCATACCATTCTCTGCCCTATATTTTTTAATCCAACAAAATATTGTGGATATGTTTCCTTGCCTATTCATATAAATCAATGTTCTGAATGACTGCATAGTAATTGCTGAACCACAACTTATCTCCTACTGATAACATTTACATTGGTTCTAATTTTTTTACCATAACATCAGTGGTATAATTTCTGCATGATTGTAATAAAAAGATGCTTCATATTTATTTATACTTCTTTAAGTTAAATTTCTAACATAGTTTTGCCGGGTCAAAAAGAATACCCAGGTCAGACACAGTGGCTCACACCTGTAATCTCAGCACTTTGGGAGACAGAGGTGAGAGGATCACTTGAGCCCAGGAGTTTGAGACCAGCCTGGGCAACATGGCAAGACCCCATATCTTAAAAAAAAAAAAAATGGCTGGGTGTGGTGGCACATGCCTGTAGTCCCAGCTGCTTGGGAAACTGAGATGGGAGGATTCCTTGAACCCAGGAGGTCAAGGCTGCAGTGAGCTGTGATTGCACCACTGCACTCCAGCCTGGGTGACAAAGTGAGGCTCTGTATTAAAAAAAAAAAAACAAGAATACCTATTGATATTTTGATAGATTCTGCCAAATTGCCCTCTAAAAGGTTGCAACAATTAAAACCCTCAGGAGTAATATACATCCATACTTATTTGCCCAATCCTTCAGAAAATTTGGGCAACGTAGATAATTTTCATTTTTATAGATTTCTTATTTTTACATTTGAATGTATAATCTTTTATAAAATAGTAAGATGAAGAGATGAAGGGCCTTGCTATTGTTTACAAACTATGTGACAACAGACTTTAAAGTTTAGGTTTTTTAAGTTAATTCAGGCAATAAATCTTTAAAACAAAAAAAAAAATCTCAGGCCAGGTGCAGTGGATCATGCCTGTAATCCCAGCACTTTGGGAGGCTGAGGAAGGAGGATCACTTGAGGCCAGTAGTTTGAGGCCAGCCTGGGAAACACAGTGAGACCCCATTTCTATAAAAAAGATTTTAAAGATTAGCCAAGTATGGTGATGCATGCCTGTAGTCTTAGCCACCCAGGAGGCTGAGGCAGGAGGATAGCTTGAGCCTAGGAGTTGGAGGCTGCAGTAAACTGTGATTGTGCTACTGGACTCCAGCCTGGGTGACAGAGTGGGACCTTGTATCTTAAAAAAAAGAAGTTAAAAACAAACAATAAAAAACATATTATCTTCTCTTCCTAGACCACATCCTTTCGCAACCATTTGAGAACTAGGTAAAAATTATCAGTCTCTATTGCTAGCTGAAGCTTTCACCTTGACTGGGCTTCCACCATCACCAGGTTTGATTGCAAAGTGTCATTTCTTTTCTTGGGTGAGAAGCATATCAAAATACTATCACTTGCTTACCCTGCCCCGACATGCTAGGTTTGATTCATGTTGGAATAATAGAAAGGACTAAAGAATTCAGAGCAGTTCTGTACTCTCGCCTGACACCTAACACCAATCGGTTTCCAGCCCACAGAGCTGTGCAGTGGAATCTCCAAGGCACATTCTAGATTCCCTAGTGTCACTCCAGTGAGCAACCTTTCTACACACTTCAGCACCTGGACAGCTCTCTTGGCACCACCTCTAGAGGGCATGGTAAGCCGCTTTGTTGAGCCCTCTAGTGGTTGCTTTAGTTATTGCACAACTGTTTTTAAAATTTCAGGTGTACCTCGGAGATATTGCAGGTTGGGTTCCAGACAACCACAGTAAAGCTAGTATCAGAATAGCTCTGGTTCTGCAGTGCATATAAAAGTTATATTTGCACTGTACTGTAGTCTATTAAGCGTGCAATAACATTAGGTCAAAAAACAATGTACTGACTTGGCAAAGTGGCTCACACCTGTAATTCCAGCACTTTGGGAGACAAGGGTGGGAGGATCACTTGAGCCCAGGACTTTGACACTACTCTGGGCAACACAGTGAGAACTCATTTCTTTAAAAAAAAAAAAAAGATTAAAAATTAGCTGGACATGGTGCTGTGCATTTGTAGTCCCAGCTGCTCAGGAGGCTGAGGTAGGGGGATCACTTGAGCCTGGGAGATTGAGGCTGCAGTGAGCTATGATCATGCCACTGCATTCCTTCCTGGGCAACAGAGTGAGACCTTGTCTCCGGAAAAATGTACATACCTTAATTTAAAATATTTTATTGCTAAAAAATTGCTAATGATCATCTGAGCCTTTAGCAAGTCATAATATCTTTGCTGGTGAAGGTTCTTGCCTCAGTGTGGATGGCTGCTGACAGATCAGGGTGGGGGTTGCTGAAAGTTGGAGTGGCTGTGGAAATTTCTTTAAAAAAGACAACAATGAACTTTGTTGCATTGATTGATTTTTCCTTTCATGAAAGATTTATCTGTAGCATGTGATGCTGTTTGATAGCATTTTACCTACAGTAAACTTCTTTCAAAATTAAAGTTAATCCCCTCCAACCCTGCTGCTGCTTTATCAAATAAGTTTATGTAACATTCTAAATCCTTTTGTTGTCACTGCAACAATGTTCACAGCATCTTTGCCAGGAGTAGATTCCATCTCAAGAAACAAGTTTTTTTGCTCATCCATAAGAATCAACTCCTAAACCATTCAAGTTTTATCATGAGATTGCAGCAATTCAGTCAGACCTTCAGGCTCCACTTCTAATTCTAGTTCTCTTGCTAATTCCACCACATCTGCAATAACTTCCTCCATGGAAGTCTTAAACCCCTCAATGTCATTCACGAGGGCTGGAGTGAACTTCTTTCGAATTCCTGTTCATGTTGCTATTTTGGCCTCCTTCCATGAATCATAAATGTTCTTAATGACATCTAGAATCCTTTCCAGAGGATTTTCCATTTATTTTGCCCAGATCCATTGGAGAAATCATTATCTATGGCAACTATAGCTTTATGGAATGGATTTCTACAAATAATAAGGTTTGAAAGTCAAAATTACTCCTGGATCCATGGGCTACAGAATGGATATTGTATTATTAGCAGGCAGGAAAACATTAATCCCTTTGTACGTCTCTGTTGGGATTCACTCAGGATGGTGGCAGAAATATTAAAGGGAAATATTAGGGAAAGTTATAGGGAATAGTCACAAACCTCTCTGGAAGGCTGAAAGGTTACATAGCTTGTAATAATTGAACAGGCTGAAGGCTGCCGGTTCTTACCTTAGAGCATTAAGTCATAGGTTAAATACTAGGGACAATAGAGGCTTCCCCAGTTAAGTCTGTTTACCCTACCTCCATTAACTAACCTTTGAGCCAGATGGCCCTGGGGGGGTGGCGGGAGAGGTCTACCAGGAAAATTGCCCCCAATGGTATTTACTTTAGACCACAGTACCTGAGCTTTAATCATTCGTAGAACTACTCTCTTAACCATGTTAATTATCCACAAGTGTGTTGACTCAAAGCTTCCATTGTTAATTCTACACTAAATAAATGCCTGGAGTGCGAACCGTTCAGGGCAACACCTGCCATTCTTTACAGGACTCTTCTTGGAGTCTGTGAGTGGCCTCGGACCCTCAGCTGGACTGGCAAAGCAGAATATCTGTGTGTCAGTGTATGTTTATTCATCCGTCACCAAATCAGGGGTCTGCAGGAACAGACCCTCTGCAGCTAGTGCTCCCAAGAAAGGAGCGCTGCCTCACATCTCCATCACAGCTCATGGGTAACCAGATGCTTTGTGAATGAGTGGTAATATTTTGAAAGGAATATTTTTTTCTGAGCAACAGGTCTCAAGAGTGGGCTTAAAATATTCAGTAAACCATGTTATAAACAGATATGCCTTCATCCGGGCTTTGGTTTTCCATTTGTAGAGCACAGGCAGAGTAGATTTAGCTTAATTCTTAGGACTTTAGGGTTTTCAGAATGGTAAATAAGCATTGGCTTCAACTCAAAGTCACCAGCTGACTTAGCCCCTAACAAGAGAGTCAGCCTGTCCTTTGAAGCTCTGAAGCCAGGCATTGACTTCTCTTCTCTAGCTGTGAAATTTCTAGGGGGCATCTTCCTCCAATGGAAGTCTGTTTTGTCTACACTGAAAATCTGTTTTTTAGTGTAGCCACTTTCACAAATGATCTTAGCTAGATCTTCTAGAAAACTTGCTGCAGCTTCTCCATCACTTACAGTTTCACCTTTCACTTTCGTGTTATAGAAACAGCTTCTTTTCTTAAACCTCATTAGTCAAACTCCGTTGGTGTCAGACTTTTCTTCTACAGCTTCCTTACTTCTCTCAGCCTTCATAGAATTGAAGAGAGTTAGGGCCTTGCCCTGGATTAGGTTTTGGTTTAAGGAAATGTTGTGGCTGGTTTGATCTTCTATCCAGACCACTCAAACTCTCTCCATATCAGTGATAAGGCTGTTCACCCTCTTATTTATATGTTCACTGGAGTAACACTATTAATTTCCTTCAAGAACTTTTCCTTTGCATTCGCAACTTGGCTAACTGTTTGGTGCAAGAGGCCTAGCTTTTGGCCTGTGTTGGCTTTCAACACGCCTGCCTCACTAAATTTAATCTAGATATTAAAGCTAGAAATAGTTTCTGATTTGAAGCAAGAGATCTGCGACTCTTCCTTTCACTTGAACACCAAGAGGCCACTGTAGGGTTATTAGTTGATCTGATTTCAATATTGCTGTGTTTCAGGGAATAGGGAGGCCAAAGAAGATGGAGAGATGCAAGAAGACCCGGTCAAACTTAATTTACCAATTAAGTTTGCCATCTTACATGGGAGTAGTTCATGATGCCCCAAAACAATTACAATAGTGACAACAAAAATCACTAATTGCAGATCACCATAACAGATAAATCATAATGAAAAAGCTTGAAATATTGTAAGAACGACCAAAATGTGACACAGAGACATGAATTGAGCACATGCTGTTGGAAAAATGACAACAACAGACTTGCTCAAGGCAGGGTTGCCACAAACTTTCCATTTGTAAAGGACACAGTATCAACGAAGCTCAATAAAGTGAAGTGCACTAACATGAGGGGTGCCTTTATTCAGATAACACATGAAAATGTTATAAAACATCCAACCATTAGGGCTGGGTGCGGTGGCTCACGCCTGTAATCCCAGCTCTTTGAGAGGCTGAGGTGGGTGGATCACGAGGTCAGGAGATCGAGACCATCCTGGCTAACATGGTGAAACCCCGTCTCTAATAAAAATACAAAAAAATTAGCTGGGTGTGGTGACGGGCGCCTGTAGTCCCAGCTACTCGGGAGGCTGAGGCAGGAGAATGGCGTGAACCCGGGAGGCGGAGCTTGCAGTGAGCCGAGATCGCACCACTGCACTCCAGCCTGGGCAAGAGAGTGAGACTCCGTCTCAAAAAAAAAAATAAATAAATAAAGCCAAGCATCTTAAAAATACAGAGTAAATGTGCAAGTTCCTATTATCCTTCCTCTCCTACTTTCCTTGGAAGTTAGCACTGATAAAACACAAGACATACATATATTTACTTACCAACACCTTTTGTTTTGTGAATGGACTCATTCTAGGCCCATTTGCTTTTATTTTTAGTTAACAAAATTCCTAGGCGATTTTTTAAAATCTCAGTATACATATCTCTTACATATTCTTGTAAGACATTATGGAGAAGCGGCTGGCTGTGTGTGCTAGCCTCCGACTAGTCATGATCCTGATTTTGCCACTTCCTAATTGTCTGATCTTGACCAAATCCCTTAAACTCTGTGTGCCTCAGTTATTCATCTGTGAACTAGGGATAAAAAAAGTATGCGTCTTAGAGTGGTGGAAGGGAAGAGAAATGATAAAATATAAGTAAGCATTTAGTAAATTTAGCAACTTTTCTTCTTTTAAGAGACAGGTTCTCGCTCTGTCAACCAGGCGGGAGTGCAGTGGCATGATCATGGCTCACTGAAACTCAAACTCCTTGGCTCAAATGATCATCCCACCTCAGCCTCCCAAGTAGCTAGGACTGCAGGTGAGCACCCTGCCAAGGTAATTTTTTTTTAGAGACGAAGTCTTACAATGTTGCTGAGGCTGGTCATATTATTATTTTATTACTATTAATTATATATTAGCTGGTACATAATATTCCATAGTGTTCTGGGCTACATATTTGTGTACCCTGAGAATTCCTGTTGAAATCCTAAACCTCAATGAGATGGTTTCAGGAGATGGGGCCTTTGGGAAGTGATTAGTTCATGTAAATCCTCATAATGGGTTTAATACTCTTGTAAAAGAGACTCCCCCGCAAAAAAACAGAGACCTCAGAGCTCTTGGCCCTTTCTTTAAGAAGACAGCAATATATGAACCATAAAATGGTGCTCCCCAGCTACCAAATCTGCTGGCACCTTGAACTAGGACTTCCCAGCCTCCAGAACTGTATGAAGTAAATGTCTGTGGTTTAAGCCACCCAGCCTATGGTACTTTTGTTATAGTAGCCTGAACTATAACAGGGATTTTGTATCATAACTTATGCAACTATGTTTCTGTAACTAAGAAACATAGTATGGATGTATCATAAATTATGTAGTAACTACCTTATTAATGGACACTTGAGTTGTTTTCTAGTTTTCTCTATTGCAAACAATATTGTAATGAACACTCTAGCATATATGTCTTTATGTCCATATTTAAGCAAGTTTTTTAAGATCTATTCCCAGCAGGAGAGTGAAAATCAGTTAACTTCCAAAGTCTCCTGGAGTTCACAGCTTTGATTGATTTGTACATGGGTGCTAAATTAAGAGAGATAAAAACTGAGAGACAATCTCTCCTAGAGAGATACACATAGTGTTGGCATAAGTACTATGAAAAAAATTAAAAGCTGTGTGAGTGGATAGGAGGGAATTGGGGAATGATGTGTGGGACACTCTAGATAACAAAGACTTCTCCATGGGGATGAAATTAGCAAAGGGACCTGAATGAAGTAAAAGACTAAACACAGCAAATGATTTACAAAATATGTGGGACCAGCAGCCAGGCACCGTGGCTCACGACTGTAATCCCAGCACTTTAGGAGGCCAAGGTGGTCAGATCATTTGAGGTCAGGAGTTTGAGACCAGCCTAGCCAACATGGTGAAACACCATCTCTACTGAAAATACAAAAATTAGCCAGGCATGGTGGCACATGCCTGTAATCCCAGCTACTCGGGAGGCTGAGACAGGAGAATCACTTGAACTCAGGAGGTGGAGGTTGCGGTGAGGTAAGATCTCGCCATTGCACTCCAGCCTGGGCAACAAGAGCAAAACTCTGGCTCCAAAAATAAAAATAAAAATAAAAATAAAAAATTAGCCAGGCATGGTGGTGCATGCCTGTAGTCCCAGCTACTCAGGGGACTGAGGCAGGAGAATTGCTGGAACCCGGGAGGTGGAAGTGGCAGTGACCCCAGATCGTGCCATTGCACTCCAGCCTGAGTGACAGAGGGAAACTCCATCTCAAAAAAAAAAAAAAAAAGTGGAACTAGGAAACAATCCTGACTTTCTGGTCCTTTCGTCCCATCCCCAGGGGAAGCAAATCCTGTGTCTACCCCTCTGCCTATCCTACTTCACCTATACGTGGTCTTGCCTTGTCTTGGGGTTCCCCCACATGTCTGTCTTATCCTACCTTGAACATAATCTGTTTGCAGGCAGGGCTTAATTCCATATGCTTAGTAGTCCCACAGTTTCCCACCAGGACAGGGTCCTGGGTTGTATATTCCATAGGCATTCAAATGTTAAATGGCTCAGATGAGGCAGCTGCTCTAATTAAATAATCCCTGAAGTTCTTATGCAACATGGCCCTTGGGCTCTTGTATTCACTGAGTAGAACTCAGTGACAGGGGAACCTGACTGGGGGGCATTCAGATGTGTATTCTGCAGTTATCAGTATTGTGAACAGAATGAATTTTTTAACTAGCACCTATGCTTTAGCCAAAGAAGGCTATTTCATGCTGGAGCAGTCTGTTAGATGTGGAGTCCATGCTTTTAGGTAGAGGCCTAGAGTTATCTGAGGGTTTATAGAACGTATTTTGCACTTGTGTGTTTTGTTTTGGGTTTCAATTGTACCAATTCGGATGCTTTGGGCTCCAAGCAAGGAAAAAACAAACTTAAACTGGCTTAAAAATAAAGAAACTGTATTATCTCATGAAACAATTCTTCAGGTGTTTGACTCCATGGGGGTAATTTATTTGGGTATTCAAAGACACCATCGATCCAGATTCTTTTTATTTTTCTGCTTTTCTGTCCTCCATAAGGCAAGGTGGCCCTCTGATCATGAGATCAGGTCAGCTTCTCTCATGATCTCAAGGTGCTACCACACTTAGGCAGATATGACAATATCCAGCAAAAATATAAACCAAACGAGGGACTATGCCTTAGGGTGTATCTCATCCTCTAGGAAAACTTAGAAGCTCTCAAGATTTTTCACTTCTGATTACCCATAACTGAGTCACATGTGCATGTTTAAGTCAATATCTGTCAAGGGAAGGGGCCTACCACCATTGGCATGGGTGACAGGGATTCAGCCCATTTCTCACGGAGGAAGGTGGATACCTAAACCAAGCTGGAGTTTCGTTAGAGAGGAGGAAGGCATAAAGGTTGTTGGGGTTTGGGTACTACATTAGCTTGCTAGGGTAACTGTAACAAAATACTAGAGACTAGGTGGCTTAAACAACAAAAATTTATTTTCTCACAGCTTCAGAGGCTAGAAGTTTAAGATCAAGGTGTCGGCAGAGTTGATTTCTTCTAAGGTCTCTCTTATTGGCTTGTAGATGGCCATCTTCTCTCTATGTCTTCACGTGGTCTTCCCTTTATATATGTCTGCGTCCAACTTTCCTCCTTTCATAAGGACACCAGTCCTATCAAATTAGGCCCACCCATATAACCTTATTTTAACTCAATTACCTCTTTAAAATTGCTATCTCCAAATAATCATATCCTGAACTCCAGCATGTGAATTTGGGGAGACATAATCAGCACTTAACAGGTACCAGTGATGACTGCCACTAGTTATTTGCAGAGCATATAAAGAACCAAAAAGAAGAAAATCCAAATTACTTGTAATCTCATCACCCATAGGGACCCACTCTATATACCTTCTAGTCATTTCTTATGTGTACACAGCTAACACAGACATACGTCCTTTTTAACAAAATAGGATCCTACTGTGCCTACTGTTTTGCAGTCTACTTTTTTTTTTTTTTTTTTTTTGAGACGGAGTCTCACTCTGTCGCCCAGCCTGGAGTGCAGTGGTGCACACAATCTCAGCTCATTGCAACCTCCGCCTCCCCGGTTCCAGCGATTCTCCTGCCTCAGCCTCCCAAGTAGCTGGGACTACTGGTGCATGCCACCATGCCCAGCTAACTTTGGTATTTTTAGTAGAGACCACATTGGTCAGGCTGGTCTCGAACTCCTGACCTCGTGATCTGCCCACCTTAGACTCCCAAAGTGCTGGGATTACAGGCATGAGCCACTGCGCCTGGCAGCAGCCTACTTTTTTATTTCATCATATCTTGAACATCTTTCCATGTCAATTATATTTTTTAACATATGGATTTACCACTGTTTTCTTAACTAATATGTGTTCTTAGGTACTTAGGGGGTCTCCACTTTTTATTATAAACAACACTGCAATGAACATCTTTATAACTAGATCATGTTGCATCTCTATCATTACTTTTTATAAGATCAATTCCTAGAAGTGGAATTTGTCAGTTAATCTTCCCTGAAATGCTGAGTCAGGAAGCCCCAGGCTTTACAGTTGTCGTGTCACCACAAGTTACCTTCACCACGAAATAGAGACCCAGAAAAGGCAGAGAAGACCCCAGGGAGTTGCTCCTCTGCTCCACAGGATTCTTTTAGCCCCCAGAGAGTGAAGGATCTGTCATTCATTTTTTCACCCCACGTTTTGCTTTATAATTAAAGAAACATGTACAAAAAATGCATGTTTTAGGGGCCAGGAAGCAAAGAGCTTCACATTCATGCTACTTTATCATCATGCTTTTATAAATAAGTTTCTAAGTCTAAAAAGAAAACAAAATATACACACATCCCCATAGAAAAATCTTCCATGCCTGGGATATAATGTGAGCACCAGAATGGGGTGATGTCTTAGTCCATTCAGGCTGCTATAAAAAAATACCACAAACAGGGTGGCTTATGAACAACAGAGATTTATTTCTCACAATTCTACAGGCTGAGAAGTCCAAGATCAAGGCACCAGCAGATTTAGTGTCTGGTGAGGGCCTGCTTTTTCACAGATGCGACCTTCTCTCTGTGTCTTCACATGGTGGAAGGAAAGGCCTCTCCAGGGCCTCTTACAAGGACACTAGTGCCATTCATGGGGGTTCTACCTCGTGACATAATTACCTCCCAAAGGCCCCACCATAATCACCTCGAAAAGTTCCCTAATACCATGACATTGGGGGTTAAGATTTCAACATATTAATTTTGAGGGTAGGGAAGACATAAACATTCAGTCCATTACACAGAAAGCACACAGGGCAGGGTGTGGGTTAATTTAAATGGTTGGCTCTGGCTCTGTGATTCTATACACTGGTTCTCTCATATGTCACTGTCAACGACATTCATTTGCACAACAATAAAAATGATATTTGACATAAGAGGCTTTCTGGAAGGTTAAGTCTTTACATCCATATTAGGTTTATTTCCAAATATTGAAAATGACCATAGAATAATGTTGTTATTTATAAAGTCTCTTTCTAATAATTCTTATTTGAATTTTTAGATCAGTTCTTACAGTCATTTTTTCTGAAAGGACTTTTACGTCTGCAGAGTCAAATGCGCCCTCTACTTAAAACCGCCTACCATCCTCAAAATAATAAAAACTGGACGTAAGCTGTCTGAGGGCAGGGCCATTTCTGTTTTGTTCATTGCCTGGAGCATAGTTGATGTCTGATGAATATTTGTAAAGAGAAAAAATAATGATGCATAGGTAGCATTTACAGAGCACTTGGCATGTGCCAAGAACCGTGCTAAGACTGCACATACATTATCTCATA
This sequence comes from Homo sapiens, assembly GCF_000001405.40. NCBI lineage: Eukaryota > Metazoa > Chordata > Mammalia > Primates > Hominidae > Homo > Homo sapiens. The sequence continues at coordinate 56,504,223 of NC_000003.12, forward strand.
GCAGTCCCATAAGGGAAGGGCTATCATTTCCTCCAATTAAACATAATGAAATAGAGGCTGAAAGGGGTTTTTAAAAATTTTCTCTTGGCTGGGCGTGGTGGCTCATGCCTGTAATCCTAGAACTTTGGGAGGCCGAGGCGGGCAGATCACGAGGTCAGGAGATGGAAACCATCCTGGGTAACACGGTGAAACCCCATCTCTACTAAGAATACAAAAAATTAGCCAGGGGTGGTGGTGGACGCCTGTAGTCCCAGCTACTCGGGAGGCTGAGGCAGGAGAATGGCGTGAACCCAGGAGGCGGAGCTTGCAGTGAGCCAAGATCGCGCCACTGCACTCCAGCCTGGGTGATAGAGCGAGACTCTGTCTCAAAAAAAAAAAAAGAAAAGAAAAGAAAATTTCTCGAAGTCAGATTTTTAGTATGCAGCAGAGTTGAAATTACAATCATGGTCTGAATTCTAAATATGTACTCTTAACTATGAGTCTATGAAGAAGAAATTCAAAATACTAGTAACACTCAGCACCTTAACAGAGGATAATCCCAAAAAGAAGCCATAGAATTGAAGATTTTGAGTGCTATATGTCTATCTGTATTTCCAAGAGCATTATGAAATGAATCATCCTCACCAATCATTGGACAATTCATTATTTCAGTCATTTCAACAAGGCAACAACCAATTGGCATAGTACATTTATTTTTAAAATAATCAAGGATTATGTAAAAATTCTAAATATATATGAGCACCTAGATATATAAAGCAAACACTATTAGAGCTAAAGAGAGAAATGACCCTAACGTAATAATAGCTGGAGACCCCACTTTCAGTGGGGTAATAATAGCTCAACACCCCACTTTCAGCATTGGACAGATCATCCAGACAGAATATCAACAAAGAAACATTGGACTTTATCTGCACTATAAACCAAATGGACCTGATAGATATTTATGAACATTTCATCCAACAGCTGCAGAATACACATTCTTTTTTCTGTTTGTTTGTTTTTTGAGACAGGATCTCACTCTATTGCCCAGGCTGGAGTGCAGTAACACAATCACAGCTCACTGCAGCCTAAATCTCCTGGGCTCATGCAAGCCTTCTTTTTTTTTTTTTTTTTTTTTTTTTTTTTTCCCCTGGACAGGGTCTGGCTCTGTTGCCCAGGCTGGAGTGCAGTGGTGCTAGCTGGTTCACTGCAACCTCTATCTCCTGGGTTCAAGTGATTCTCATGCCTCAGACTACCAAGTAGCTGAGGCTACAGGCATGCACCACATGCCTGGCTAATTTTTATATTTTTAGTAGAGACGGGGTTTCACCATGTTGGCCAGGCTGGTCTTGAACTCCTGGCCTCAAATGATCCACCAGCCTCAGCCTCCCAAAGTGTTGGGATTACAGGCATGAGCCACCATGCCTGGACCCCTTAAGCGAGGACTGAGTAGCGGGGAATATAGGCATGCCTCACCATGCGTGGCTAATTTTTGTATTTTTTGTAAAAGAGATGGGGTCTCACCTTGTTGCCCAGGTTGGTCTCAAACTCCTGGGCTCAAGCAATCCACCTGCCTCAGTCTCCCAAAGTGTTGGGATTACAGGCATGAGCCACAGCGCCTGCCCAGAATACACATTCTTCTCCTCAGCCCATGGATTATTCTCAAGGATAGACCACAAATTAGGCCACAAAACAAGTCTTAAAAAATTGAAATTGTATCAAGCATCTTCTTTGACCACAACGGAATAAAACTGTAAATCAATAACAAGAGGAGTTTTGGAAACTGTACAACCATACGGAAGCTAAACAATATGTTCCTGAATGACCAGTGGGTCAATAAGGAAATTTTAAAATTTCTTGAAACAAATGAAAATGGAAACATAACATACCAAAATCTATGGGATATAGCAAGAACAGTACTAAGAGGAAAGTTTATAGCAATAAGCACCAACATCAAAGAAGCAGAAAATCATCAAATAAACAACCTAATGATACCTCTTAAAGTATTAGAAAAGCAAGAGCAAGCCAAAATCAAAATTCCAAGAAGAAAAGAAATAATAAAAATCAGAGCAGAAGTTAATGAAATTAAAACAAAAAAATACAAAAAATCAACGAAACAAAAAGTTGATTTTGTGAAAAGATAAAAGACAAACAAAATTGACAAAACCTTAGCCAGGCTAAGAAAAAGACAGGATCCAATTAAATAAAATCAGAGATGAAAAAAGAGACATTACAAGTGACACTGCAGAAATTCACGGGATCATTAGAGACTACTATGAGCAATGATATGCCGATAAATTGGTAAACCTAGAAGTGGACAAATTCCTAGACACATACAACTTACCAAGATTGAACCATGAAGAAATCCAAAACCTGAATAGACCAATAACAAGTAATGACAGTAAAGTCGTAATTAAAAGTTTACCAACAAAGAAAAGCCCAGGACCCAGTGGCTTCACTCTTGTATTCTACCTAATTTTTTTTTTTTTTTTGAGACAGTCTTGCTCTGTCACCCAGGCTGGAGTGCGGTGGTGCAATCTCAGCTCACTGCAACCTCTACCTCCCAGATTCAAGCGATTATCCTGTCTCAGCCTCCTGAGTATCTGGGATTTCAGGCACCCACCACCACTCCCAGCTAATTTTTTGTATTTTTAGAAGAGACGGGATTTCACCATGTTGGCCAGGCTGATCTCAAATTCCTGACCTCAGATGATCCACCCCCATCAGCCTCCCAAAGTGCTGGGATTACAGGCATGAGCCACCATGCCCTGCCCCTACCAAACATTTAAAGAGGGACTAAAACTAACCCTAGTCAAACTATTTCAAAAAAATCAAGAAAGTGGGAATACTTCCAAACTCATTCTACAAGTTCAGTATTATCCTGATACCAAAACCAGACAAAGACACAATGAAAAAAAATAAAAACTGCAGGCCAGTATCTCTGAGGAACATAGATGCAAAAATCCTCAGCACAAGACTAATAAACCAAATTTAACAATACACTAAAAAAAATCATTAATCACGACTAAACGGGATTCATCCTAGGGATGCAAGGATGATTCAATATACACAAATCAATGAATGTAACACATCATATCAACAGAATGAAGGACAAAAACTATATGATTATTTAAATTGACACTGAAAAAGCATTCAATAAAATTCAACATTTATGATAAAACTTTATGATAAAACCTCTCACAAAATGGGGTACAGAACAACATACCTCAACATTATAAAAGCCATATCTGACAGACCCATGGCTAATATCATACTGAATGGGGAAAAACTGATAGGTTTTCCTCTAAGGTGGGGAAGAAGACAAGGATATCAACTTTTACCACCATTATTCAACATAGTACTGGAACTCCTAGCTAGAACAATTAGACAGAAAATGAAATAAAGGGCATCCAAATTGGAAAAGAAGAAGTTAAATTATCCTTCTTTGCAGACAATATGATCTTATATTTAGAAAAACCTAAAGACTCCAGCAAAAAACTGTTAGGTCTGGTAAATAAATTCAGTAAAATTGCAGGATACAAAATCAACATACAATAATGAATAGCATTTCTAGATGCTAACAGTGAACAATCTGAAAAAGAAACCAGGGAAGTAATTCCATTTATAATAGCTACAGATAAAATAAAATGCCTAGGAATAAACTTAACCAAAGAAAAAAATCTCTATTATGAAACTTACAAAAAACATTGATAAAAAATTAAATAAGACACACAAAAATGGAAAGGTATTCCATGTTCATGGGCTGGGAGAATCAATATTGTTAAAATGTTCATACTATCTAAAGCAGTGTACAGATTTAATGCAATCCCTATCAAAATACTGATGACAGTCTTCACAGAAATAGAAAAAGATTATTAAAATTTATATGGAATCACAAAAGACCCAGAATAGCCAAAGCCACCCTGAGCAAAAAGAACAAACCTGGAGGAATTGAATTACCTGACTTCAAATTGTACTACAGAGCTACAGTAATCAAAGCAGCATGGTACTGACATAAAAACAAACACATAGAACAATGGAACAGAATAGAGAACCCAGTAATAAATCCACACATCTATAGTGAACTCATTTTTTACAAAGGTGCCAAGAACATACACTGGGAAAAGGATAGCCTCTTAAACAAATGATGATGGAAAAAAATGGATATTTAGGACAGCAATTTTTAACCACAGGCAATTTTTCTCCCCAGGGGCACATGTGGCAATAGTTGGCAACACGTATGGTTGTCACAACCGGGGAAGGCACCTACTGGCATCTAGTGGTTAGAGGCCAGGGATGCTGCTAAACATTCTACAAGAGACAATGAAACTAGACCTCTAGCTCTTGCCATATACATAATTCAATTAAAATGGATTAAAGGCTTAAATATAAGACTGATGCTATGAAACTCCTAAAAGAAAACATTGAGTAAACTCTCCAGGACATTGTTCTGGGCAAAGATTTCTTGAGTAATACCTCAAAAGCACAGGCAACCAAAGCAAAACTAGACAAGTGGGATCACATCAAGCTAAAAAGCTTCCTCACAGCAGAGGAAACAATCAACAATGTGAAGAGCCAAGCCACAGAATGGGAGAAAATATTTGCAAACTACTCATCTCACAAGGGATTGATAACCAGAATATACAAAGAGCTCAAACAACTCTATAGAAAAAAATCAAATAATTATATTTTAAAAAGGGCAAAAGGGCCTGGGTGCAATGGCTCAAGCCTATAATCTCAGCACTTAGGGAGGCCAAGGTGGGTGGATTCCTTGAGCCCAGACGTTCAAGACTAGCCTGGGCAACATGGCAAAAGCCTGTCTCTACAAAAATACAAACATTAGCCATGTGTAATGGCGTGCGCCTATAGTCCCAGGTACTAGGGAGGCTGAGGTGGGAGGATCTCTTGAGTCCGGGAGGTTGAGGTTGCAGTGATCCATGGTCATATCACTGCACTCCAGCCTGGGCAACAAAGCAAGACTCCTTCTCAAAAATAAATAGGCCAGGCGTGGTGGCTCACGCCTGTAATCCCAGTATTTTGGGAGGCCATGGCAGGCGGATCACAAGGTCAGGAGTTCGAGACCAGTCTGGCCAACATAGTGAAACCCTGTTTCTACTAAAAATACAAAAAATTAGCAAGGTATAGTGGTGTGCACCTGTATCTCAGCTACTTGGGAGGCTGAGGCAGGAGAATTGCTTGAACCCAGAAGGCGGAGGTTGTAGTGAGCCAAGATCGCGCCATTGCACTCCAACCCAGGCAACAGTGTCAGACTCTGTCTCAAATTAAATAAATAAATAAATAATAAGTAGGGCGGGGCGTGGTGGCTCACGCCTGTAATCCCAGCACTTTGGGAGGCTGAGGCGCGCAGATTGCGAGGTCAGGAGATCGAGACCATCCTGGCTAACATAGAGAAACCCCGTCTCTAATAAAAATACAAAATAAAATTAGCCGGGCGTGGTGGCGGGCGCCTGTAGTCCCAACTACTCGGGAGGCTGAGGCAGAAGAATGGCGTGAACCCGCGAGTGGAGGTTGCAGTGAGCCGAGATGGCGCCACTGCACTGCAGCCTGGGGGACAGAGCGAGACTCTGTCTCAAAAATAAATAAACAAATAAATAAATAAATATTAAAAGGGCAGGCCGGACATGGTGGCTCATGCCTGTAATCCCAACACTTTGGGAGGCCGAGGCGGGCAGATCACAAGGTGAGGAGATCGAGACCATCCTGGATAACACGGTGAAACCCCGTCTCTACTAAAAATACAAAAAATTAGCTGGGCGTGGTGGCGGGCGCCTGTAGTCCCAGCTACTCCGGAGGCTGAGGCAGGAGAATGGCGTGAACCCGGGAGGCGGAGCCTGCAATGAGCTGAGATCGCACCACTGCACTCCAGCCTGGGCAAGAGAGGGAGACTCGGTCTCAAAAAAAAAAAAAAAAAAAAAAAAGGCAAAAGATCTGAATAGACATTTCTCAAAAGAAGACATAGAAATGGACAAGAAGTGTATGAAAAAATGTTTAACATCATTAACCATCAGAGAAATGCAAATCAAATCTGCAATGAGATATCATCTCATCCCAGTTAAAATGGCTTTTATTCAAAAGACAGGCAATAACAAATGCTGGCAGGGATGTGGAGGAAAGGGAACCCTCGTACACTGTCGGTGGGAATGTAAATTAGTACAGCTACTGTGGAGAACAGTATGGAAGTTCCTCAAAAAACTAAAAATAGAGCTACCATACGATCCAGCAATCCCACTGCTAGGGATATATCCAAAAGAAAGAAAATCAGTATATCGAAGAAATATCTGCACTTCCATATTTATGGCAGCACTATTCACAATAGCCAAGATTTGGAATCTAAATGTCCATCAGCGGATGAATGGATAAAGTAAATGTGGCACATATACACAATGGAATATTATTCAACCATTAAAAAAGAAGATCCTGTCATTTACAACAGCATGGATGGAACTGGAGGACGTTACGTTAAGTGAAACAAGCCATGCACAGAAAGACAAATTGTGCATATTCTCATATGTGGGAGCCCACTTAGCCCCTGGTAATATATATTGTTAAAATTAAAACAATGGATCTCACGGAAATAGTAGAATGATGGTTACCAGATGCTGGGAAGGGTAGTGAGGATAAACTGGGGAAGGTTAATGGGTACAAAAATATAGTTAGATAGAATAAATAATTCTAGAATCTGGTAGTATAACAGGTGACTATGGTCAATAATAACTTATTGTATATTTCAAAACAACTAAAAGACTGAAATTGGAATGTTCCTAACACAAAGAAATGATAAATACTTAAGTAGATGGATACCCCAATTACCCTGATTTTATTGTTACACATTGTATGCCTGTATCAAAACATTACATGTGCCCCATAAATGTATACACCTATTATACACCAATGATCATTAAAAAATAAAAAAAAATCAAGGTGATAAACCTAATCCTTCTGAAACTCATTTGGAAGGAATGAAAGATCAAGGACCCCAAGGTTGTGAGTACGTACAGAAGCAGTATAGTAATTGGTAGGTATGTACTGCTGCATTTTCCCTATGCAGTCAGTGATACCTATTGGATATCTACAAAGCATCTGTCACAAGAGACGACAGAGGAGAAGTTTAACATACTTCTTTAAAGAACTTCATTCTGGCTAGGCGCAGCGGCTCGTGCCTGTAATCACAGCTCTTTGGCAGGCCGAAGTGGGAGGATTGCTTGAACCCAGGAGTTGAGGCTGCAGTGAGCTATGATTGCATGACTGCACTCCAGCCTAGGTGGCAGAGTCCCTGTCTCAAACAAATAAACTTCATTCCATTTGCACAGTTAAGACAAACACATGTGAAGTAGTATATATACTCGGGAGCTAAGTGGGGCCTAAAAAATGTAATTTAATCCTGTCAACCAGCCTGTAAGGTAGGGATGGCTGTCCCCATTATGCTATTGAGGAGACAAAGCATAGAGAGACTAAACTAGTTGCCCATGTAACACAGTTCATGTGTAGGAGTGTCAGGGCTATACCCACATTCATCTGATCCTGAAGTCCATTCACAGACCCACCAGAGCTTACTGCTTCCAAATCAAGAGGACACAAACAAGGGCCAAATAAACCAGGAAACATTATATGAAGCAATGGGACTTACGCCTGACCTTGAAAGGCAAGCAACAGTTGGACAGGCAGAAACTAAAAGATATGACACCATAAGATGCAGGAAAGCATGCACAAAAGCCCAACTGTGAGATTTAGCTTAATACAAGAGGACTAGGAGAGCAGGGAGGTAGTGACTGATTGATGGGATGAAGCACAAAAACAGGAGGAGGTGGGAGCAGAGGTGACTTGAAATCACATGGGGCCAGTGGCAGGTGTGAGGAGAGTTTGAACATGGTGTGATGGGCAGTAGAGAACCATGGGACTTTTAGGAGCATGGAAGTGATATCAAAAATCACAATTTAGTGCAGTAATTCTTAACCACAGGCAATTTTGCTCCCCAGGGGCACATGTGGCAATAGCTGGAGACACTTATGGTTGTCACAACAGGGGAAAGCATCTAGTGGTCAGAGGCCAGGGATGCTGCTAAACACTGTACAATGCACAGAACAGCCCCCACAACAAAGAATTATCCACACAAAATGACAGTAGTAACAAAGTTGAGAAACCTGGCTTTAGGAAGATAGTCTGGCAGTGGCTGCCAAGATGGAACAGAGAGAAGAAGTCAAGAGCCCAGGGGAGATGTTCATTCGGGGAGATGCTCATTCAGGGAGATGGGAGTGAGATGAGGGACCAGAAGGGGAGAATGGCAAACCCTCCAAGTATTTCAAAGGAAAAAGAAAGATGCAATTTCTAATCCCTCTTACAGGAAGTTTTCTACAAAATGTGGAAAACTGCACTTAAGACTTTTTCTTTTTTTTTTTTTTTTTTTGTGATGGAGTTTCGAGCCCAGGCTGGGGTGCAATGGTGTGATCTCAGCTCACCGCAACCTCTTCCTCCCAGGTTCAAGCGATTCTCCTGCCTCAGCCTCCCAAGTAGCCGGGATTACAGCCATGCGCCAGCTTGTCCGGCTAATTTTGTATTTTTAGTAGAGATGGGGTTTCTCTGCGTTGGTCAGGCTGGTCTCAAACTCCTGACCACAGGCCCACCTCGGCCTCCCAAAGTGCTGAGATTACATGCGTGAGTCACCATGCCTGGTCAAGACTTTTTTCTTTTAAATCATCTGAGGGCACCTTATTTTCTGATCTAAAAAATTGTAAATAATACACAACTCCAAGAAAATCACCACCTCGAGAGTGTAGGGCACAAACCTTTAACTATTATCAGTAACATTTTCTGTCTTTTTGTTAGAACAGAATCTGAAGCAAATTTGGCAAAATGTTAACATCTGTTAAATTTGGATGATGGGTACGTGGTTGTCTGTAATATTATTTTCTATACTTTATAGATACTTGAAAATTCTCATGATTAACAAAAAACAGGGTGGGGGAAGAAAGAAAAAGAAAGTCTTAGAGGGGCAGTTAATAACTTATACTAGAATTTTTCTTGGTATTTTAAAATATCATTTGTTAAATTACAGAAGTTATATGTGAATATGTGTTCATTGTAAAAACCATTCAACAATACAAAAATAAAAATAAAAAATAGAAATTCCCCTTTCATTCTATTTCTTTTTCTCTCTCCTTAGGTTACTACTGCTACATGTTAGTGTGTGTGTGTGTGTGTGTGTGTGTGTGTGTGTGTGTGTGTGTATTGTGTATATATACACATTATACTACATATATATGTATATATAGTATAATACATATATTATACTATATATGCATATATAGCATAATACATATATTATACTATATGCATATATAGTATAATGTATATGTATATAGTATATGTATATATACTATACATACTATTGTATACATATATAGTATATATACTATATATTGTGTGTATGTGATATATATACTATATACATTAATGTATATTATATATTATATGTATTATACTATAAACATTAATGTATATTATATATTATATGTATTATACTATAAACATAGTATAATACATGTATTATAGTATATAATACATGTATATACATAGTATAAACATGTATTATAGTATATAATACATGTATATACATAGTATAAACATGTATTATAGTATATAATACATGTATACACATAGTATAACACATGTATTATAGTATATAATACATGTATTATACATAGTATAATACGTGTATTACAGTATATAATACATGTATACACATAGTATAATACGTGTATTGTAGTATATAATACATGTATACACATAGTATATACGTGTATTGTAGTATATAATACATGTATACACATAGTACATACGTGTATTGTAGTATATAATACATGTATACACATAGTATATACGTGTATTGTAGTATATAATACATGTATACACATAGTATATACGTGTATTGTAGTATATAATACATGTATACACATAGTATATACGTGTATTGTAGTATATAATACATGTATACACATAGTATAAACGTGTATTATAGTATATAATACATGTATTATACATAGTATAACACATGTATTATAGCATATAATACATGTATTATACATAGTATAACACATGTATTATAGTATATAATACATGTGTTATACATAGTATAACACATGTATTATAGTATATAATACATGTATACACATAGTATAACACATGTATTATAGTATATAATACATGTATACACATAGTATAACACATGTATTATAGTATATAATACATGTATACACATAGTATAACACATGTATTATAGTATATAATACATGTATACACATAGTATAACACATGTATTATAGTATATAATACATGTATACACATAGTATAACACATGTATTATAGTATATAATACATGTATACACATAGTATAACACATGTATTATAGTATATAATACATGTATACACATAGTATAACACATGTATTTTATAGTATATAATACATGTATACACATAGTATGACACATGTATTTTATAGTATATAATACATGTATACACATAGTATAATACATGTATTATAGTATATAATACCTGTATACACATAGTATAATACATGTATTTTATAGTATATCATACATGTATACACATAGCATATACGTGTATTGTAGTATATAATACACGCATACACATAGCATATACGTGTATTATAGTATATAATACACGTATACACGTAGTATATACGTGTATTGTAGTATATAATACACGTATACACGTAGTATATACGTGTATTGTAGTATATAATACACGTATACACGTAGTATATACGTGTATTGTAGTATATAATACACGTATACACGTAGCATATTACATGTATTATAGTATATAATACAAGTATACACATAGCATATTACATGTATTATGTACATAATACACGTATGCACGTAGCATAATACATGTATTATGTACATAATACACGTATGCACGTAGCATAATACATGTATTATGTACATAATACACGTATGCACGTAGCATAATACATGTATTATGTACATAATACACGTATGCACGTAGCATAATACATGTATTATGTACATAATACACGTATGCACGTAGCATAATACATGTATTATGTACATAATACACGTATGCACGTAGCATAATACATGTATTATGTACATAATACACGTATGCACGTAGCATAATAAATGTATTATGTACATAATACACGTATGCACGTAGCATAATACATGTATTATGTACATAATACACGTATGCACGTAGCATAATACATGTATTATGTACATAATACACGTATACACGTAGTATAATACATGTATTATAGTATATTATACATAGTATAATACATGTATTATAGTATATTATACATAGTATAATACATGTATTATAGTATATTATACATAATATAATACATGTATTATAGTATATTATACATAGTATAATACATAGTATAATACATGTACTATATATATACATGTATAGTATAATACATGTATTATACTATATATAGTATATATTACATATATTATACTATATATGTATATACAGTACACATATACAGTATAATACATATATTATACTATATGAAGTATATATAGTATACATAGTATAATACATGTATTATAGTGTACATATATACATATATACTATGAACATATATGTATATATAATACATAATACATATATACTATATATGTTATATATACACACTAACATATATATACTAACATTAGTATATTACTAGTATATTACCATTAGATATATACTAATATTAGTATAACATTAGTGTGTGTGTTTATATGTATACACACACATTCACTAACAGTGTGTATACATATGTGGTGTGTATATACACACACACACTAACATTAGTGATTGTGTATATATATTGATATGATTCGTCTCTGTGTCCCCACCCTAAATTTCATCTAGAATTGTAATCCCAACATGTCGAGGGAGGGACCTGGTGGGAGGTGACTGGATCATGGGGGTGGTTTTCCCCATGCTGTTCTCATGATAGTGAGGGAGTTCTCATCAGATCTGATGATTTGAAAGTGGCAGTTTCCCCTGCACACTCTCTCTCCTGCCACCATGTAAGACATGCCTTGTTTCCCCTTCTCCTTCTGCCATGATTATAAGTTTCTTGAGGCCTCCCCAACCATGTGGAACTGTGAGTCAATTAAACCTCTTTCCTTTGTAAATTACTCAGTCAGGTATACTTTATAGCAATATGAAAATGGAACACATAAATATAGTCACATGGAATAATATCTTATATATGTGTGTGTGTAAATACATATATATGCCCCTAATTATTTTCCTACGCATTCGTAGAAAGGAAAGAAGGGAGGAAAGGGGAGAAAGGGAAGAAGGGAGGGAAGAAGAGAGAAAAAGAGATTTATGAGATATCTAGATAGATATCTAGATAGCTATCTACCTATCCATCTATCTTATGAGGGACCACAACACACAGGCAACATGATTTTCACATTAACACATTTTAGAGGGTTGCTCTTCCGTGTCAATTTATAAAGATCTACCTCTTTCTTTTTACTTCTTCAGAATATTTCATAGTGTAAATGTACCATAATTTGTTTACTACTAAGATTGCTATATATTTAGGTTGATTCCAATGTTTTGCTATTTCAAACAATCCTGGAACATACAACTTTGTGTTCGTATATAAGAATTTTTGTAGGGGAGATTCCTAGAAATACAATTTTTGGATCAAAGGGTATATACATTTCTGGTGTTGATATACAGTAAGATTGTGCCCCCCTGCAAAAAAACCGTGGGCTCCTCATTTCTCTAAACCCTCACTGATGCTGTATGCAATCAACCTTTAAACATTTTTCCACAATTACCAAAACTGCATCCAAAAACTACTCCACAGACATATTCACACTTATGGGAAGTCATGAATGTACACTGCACTGTTAATGGAAAAATACTGAAAAAATATTTCACCAATAGGGAAACATTTGGACAGATTGTTGTATATCTGCACAATGAAGTTCTGTGCATCTATTAACAAAATAGCAAGGACTCACTGTATATATCCATAGGGGAAGCTCTTGAAGGTAGAGGAACAAAGCAGGATGCAGAGCAATTTATACAGTGCATAACCACTAGTGTTTAAAGTGGTGGTAGTAAATATACATGTTTTACTGTATGTACATTAAAGACAGTGTCTGGGAAATTACACAAGATATTGATAACGGATTGCATTGAGGGAAAAGGCACAAGAGATCTGGGAGAAAGAGGTGGAAAGGGAACTTTCCACATACATTTTTTATACCTATTTTCATCTTTATCGTTGAACCCTTTAAATGTACTACCTATTCAAATAATTTTTACAGTTTGAATTCAGACATTAAAAATCTGCCAAATGGTAGATGATGAGTGCTCTCACTGCTGTTTCAGAGTGCAGTTTCCTAATTGCTGGTGACATTGAACTTGTTTTTATGTTTATTGGCCATCCACTCCCTACTCAGATGTCTTTCGCATTTTGCAACTGACTTGTTGCTTTCTTTCCAGATTGCTTTTTAGGGTTTGTTTTTTTTTTAATATATCAATGCTTTTTTTTACAGTTTTATTGAGGTAGATTTTACATACCATAAAAGTCAACCACATAAGTGTGCCATCCAGTGATTTGTAGCAAATGTATAGAGTTGTACAATCATCACCATATATCAAGAATATTAAGCCATTGGTTCCAGAGCTCCTTGATGCCTCTTGATTACATAATCCTTTGCAGCTTAGCTAGAGGAAATAGTTTTCCCCCACTGTAACATCTGTCTTTTAGTTTAGACTCCGATATGGACAGATGAAAATTAATCCACCTAGAGAGGCTTGAACATAGACAAAAGTGACCAAATACAAGGGGCAAATGCAAGTCTCCTACTGAGTCTCAAGAAGAAAAAAGAAGGTTTCACTATGCAAACAGACCATATGAAATATTATTTGACAGTGTGGCTAATTTCATTCATAAAAACTAAATATGAACTGTGGGTGTCTGAGAATATGTAGAATTCAAGACCAGCCTGGCCAACATGGTAAAACCCCCATCTCTACAAAAAATACAAAAAAATTAGCCAGGTGTGGTGGCACCCACCTGTAGTCCCAGCTACTAGGGAAGCTGAGGTGGCAGGATCACCACCTGAGCCCGGGAGGTTGAGGCTGTGGTGAGCTGAGATGGTGCCATTGCACTCTAGCCTGGGTGAAAGAGGGAGACCCTGGAAAGAAAAGAAGGAAGGAAAGAAGGAAGGAGTGAAGGAAGGAAGGAAGGAAGGAAGGAAGGAAGGAAGGAAGGAAGGAAAAGAGAGAAAGAAGAAAGAAAGAAAGAAAGAAAGAAAGAAAGAAAGAAAGAAAGAAAGAAAGAAAGAAAGAAAGAAAGAAAAAGAAATGTGGGAGGGAGGGAAGGAAGGAAGGAAAAGAGAGAGAAGAAAGAAAGAAAGAAAGAAAGAGAAAAGAAAGAAAGGTGGTAGGGAGGGAAGGAAGGAAGGAAGGAAAAGAGAGAGAGAAGAAAGAAAGAAAGAAAGAAAAGAAAGAAAGGTGGGAGGGAGGGAAGGAAGGAAGGAAGAGAAAGAAAGAAAGAAAAAGAAAGAAAGAAGAAAAGAAAAGAAAGAACTATCAGAGAGCTTGGAGTTGGGAGAAGAATAATAAAACAAAACCCATATTCCTAGGTTGCTAAGACTTGCACCCAGATCTGTCAGCCTACAGAGTCCAATGTCATAACCATGGAACTCTACTGCCTCCCAAGCCTGAAAGTGCTATAAAATGACTCTTGAAATTTTAAAATCTCATATTTCTATGTAGCTTTCTTTTCCCAGATGTGCATGCACACCATTTCTCTTACCAATCAGCAGTGTGTGTGTGAGTGCTTGTGTGTGTGTGTGCACCTGTATGTTTTCTTTTTACTTTCTCCATGATAAATTTTTCCAGGTTGTCTCAATAATTCAATACACAAATGTCCTATTCTACATTTTAGATATTCCTGTATCCAAATGTATTTTTTATAAAGCAGCTTTTACCTCCATAGGCCCAACTGGAAATTTTTTACATTTTAAAACCGTAGGCAAATGATAAACATTTCACTTGCTTCCCAACTTTCTCTCCCATGTGGAAACAGAAGCGGATATGTAGACTGCTTTCCTACATCCAAGTAAATAAAGATAAAATCTCTTTGGAAACGTACCATTTTGATAATGATCTTTTCCTACCCAAATTTCCATATTTGAAATTCTAAAGGGATCTAGAAAAACAGTTCCACCCAATAAACAATGTTTGCATAGTTCTCTTTGCTAGAACTCCTTTGGAGATAACTCTGGAGATAAGTGTAAGTATAAATTGGATTTAAAAAGCAACTGCCATGTAAAGAAATCTGTTTCTAAGAGCAACTGAAATTACAAGAGTCATGTGAAAGAGTGCTGAGAACGCCATCTTTCCCTAAGCCCAGAGTTTGTCTCTTTTCTGAGTTATGTATCTGTTATTTTGATGCAATTTCTTCTGATCTATATGTTGTGCTACTAAGGCAGCTGAAGAGGTGACAAAGTTTATTTGAACTAGGCAGTGGAAGCATCAACAGACAGCTTGGATCAAGTCAGAGGACACATACGAGTAGATTCAAAAGACAGTGGTAATTTAGCTTAACTCTAGATTATCTCTTACATTGAATTGCCAGTGCCAACTATTGCATGGGAGTTATATTGCTTTCTTTAAATATTCATAAAGCCAGCAATAGCTGACACTCATGGATCTTCTAAAGTAGAAAGGTTCCCAAAAGAATGTTTAAAATATAAACTTGTTAAGAAACAAATCTAAAGGAAAATGTCCAAAGATATCCAGCAATTTACACTTCTATGGGAAAATGGCTATCGCTGGAGTTGTTCTCTGCGCCAGGCCCTTTTTATATATACTTGTTATCGTCTGCAGAGCAAGTATTAGTATCCATATTTAGAGAGGAGAAAGCAGTCCCAGGAAGAAAGGCTGAGTTATCCAAAGGCACACAGCTGATGACAATCGTGTTTATCTGGTACCAATCCCTGGGCTATTTTTTACTCTACTAGGCTTATTAACTTTCTTTCCAGAAGACTCCTTCTCCGGAACACTTCTCAGTGACTTCTTGGACTTCACAATTTTGTGTTGATTTACATCTTCATCTTTCTAACAAGGAATCAGATTCCCTCAATAATTTCATTTCAGGCTATTTGTCATCAAGCTAACAACAAATGACTCCCTCAGGATGGAGTTATGTTGATGTGTCTACTAATCACTCCCCTGGTTTGCAGATCTTGGTTGCATTCAGTCTCTGGTCACAGAAGAGGCACTTTCGATCTCATATGATAGTTTGTGGAGCAGGGATAGAAATTATGAAGGACATGTTCTATCCTCCTGCCTCTGTCAGCCAAGAAGACCTTGATCATCTGTCATGCATGGTAACGTTCTCTACAGACCTCAGGCTTGGCCTCAGAATCCTTCTCAATCTAACACCCCACACAAACCAATCCATTAAAATTGACAAGTGAGATGAAATTCAATTGCTATCACCTATACAGGAAAACCTTCTTTATGCCTACCAGATACAGAAACCTTTCTTAATTAGTAAAGTGTCCCAAAATAATAACTTCCAAGTATACAGAGCTAGAATTCAAATTATCTTATGAAGTCAAAATTTAACCCATAATCAAGAAGAATTTGTAATTAAATCAGAGAGCTGACTAAATAGGCATTAAAGTTTACTTTAAATATAACCAAAGAGGCACCTAGGGCTATATCTCAAAAAAAAAAAAAAAAAAAAAAAAGGCAGAGGTATCTGGAAACCCAAATTCTTTGTCTGCTTTTATTGGGCCTTGGGTCTTTAGTATATCAAATGCAACTCAGAATCACCCAATTAATCAAAGGAGCTGTTAAAAATCATCTGATTATCGGCCGGGCACGGTGGCTCATGCCTGTAATCCCAGCACTTTGGGAGGCCAAGGTGGGCGGATCACAAGGTCAGGAGTTCAAGACCAGCCTGACCAACGTGGTGAAACCCCGTCTCTACTAAAAATACAAAAATTAGCTGGGCACGGTGGCGGACACCTGTAATCCCAGCTCCTCAGGAGGCTGAGGCAGGATAATCGCTTAAACCCAGGAGGTGGAGGTTGCAGTGAGCCAAGATCACGCCATTGCACTCCAGCCTGGGAGACAGAGTGAGACTCCATCTCAAAAAAAAAAAAAAAATCATCTGCTTATCTACAGGGAACTTAAACAAATTTACAAGAAAAAAAAAACAAACATCAAAAAGTGGGTACTTTTTGAACAGACTATAAACAGACACTTCTGTTCATAGTCTATGAACAGACACTTCTCAAAAGAAGACATTTATGCGGCCAACAAACATATGAAAAAAAGCTCATCATCACTGGTTATTAGAGAAATGCAAATCAAAACCACAATGAGATACCATCTCATGCCAGTTAGAATGGGGATCATTAAAAAGTCTGGAAACAACAGATGGCTGGCGAGGATGTGGAGAAATAAGAACGCTTTTACACTGTTGGTGGGAGTGTCAATTAGTTCAACCATTGTGGAAGACAGTGTGGCGATTCCTCAAGGATCTAGAACCAGAAATACCATTTGACCCATGAATCCCATTACTGGATATATACCCAAAGGATTTATAAATCATTCTACTATAAAGACACATGCACACATATGGCAATAGCAAAGACTTGGAACCAACCCAAATGCCCATCAATGAGAGACTGGATAAAGAAAGTGTGGCACATAAACAGCATGGAATAATATGCAGCCATAAAAAAGAATGAGTTCATGTCCTTTGCGGGGACATGGATGAAGCTGGAAACCATCATCCTCAGCAAACTAACACAGGAACAGAAAACCAAACACCGCATGTTCTCACTCATAAGTGGGAACTGAACAATGAGAACACATGGATACAGGGAGGGGAACATCACACACCAGGGGCCTGTCGGGGGTAAGGGGAGGGAGAGCATTAGGGCAAATACCTAATGCATGTGGGGCTTAAAACCTACATGACATGTTGATAGATGCAGCAAACCACCATAGGCACATGTATACCTATGTGACAAACCTGCATATTCAGCACATATATCCCAGAATTAAAGTAAAAATTTTTTTTAATTGTCTGATTATAAATCCAGGGAGATCAAATTTTCTCTTCTCTTGTTCAAAGCCCTTTTTATTTTTATTCATTCATGTAACAAAAGCTTACTGAGTGCCAGCCCTCTGCCAGCCACAGTGCTTGATGCTGAGGTTGCCGGCAATGACCGTGGCAGAGGGTATCTCTGCCCTCACTGAGTGCTCAGCTTAGCTGTCTTCATTCATGCATGCATCCCCGGGCAGTAGCCTCCTGCTGGAAGCTCAGCCGTGGCCTAAGGGGAGAGGCCCCTAAACCTCCAGTCTCTTGCTGTAGCTGCTGCTCCAGACAGCTCCGAACGGTTCCTCATACCTCTTTTTTTAACCACGTGGTGCATTTAACAGCCAACCTGATAAATCTAAAGGAAAAAAGTCCCAAGCACAAATATGATTTTTCAAGTGTTGGGAAAAGCCACATTATTTCATGGAGAACTCCACTGTAATTCCTTGAAAGCTTTAGTTACTCTAAATTGAGTGTAGCAGACACATACTTAAATGTTTGGAAAGTTTTACCTTACTTAATTTCTCTAATTTTTTTAAAGAGAAAGAAACAAGATTAAGGGAAATGGGAGTATGTGTTAAAGGGTGGGAAGAAGTTAGAGAAGTAAATACTGAGTATTTATTCCCACAAGTGAAATGTGAATTTTTCCTTTGAGCTCCTCAGTGGACTTTGGCATAGTTTTGTGACTTAGGTATTTAAAATATTTGAATATTTAAGCTATAGGGTTTATTGTAAATGAACATAACACTAGAATATGATCCCTACTACACTATATACTCTCTATAGGCAGGGATTGTATCCATCCTCAGCACCCAACATAATGCCTGGTGCAGAGGAGGCACTTGATAAATATTTAAGGAGTCAATAAATAAGCAAACAACTGATCGGGAGACTATAGAATTATAATTACTAGATGATGCTACTTTCTATATTTAGCATTTTCCTTTTACCTGTGCATTTGATTTAAGATTGCACTGCTCCAGTGCTTTCTCTATCAATTTCAATGTACATAAAATTTTCTCTGGACATTACTTGGCTTAGGTGATTTCCTTCCTGGCATTTTCATGCTTTGATCTGGAAAAAAAACTTGTCTGCAGCTTTGAAGGATACTATAAACCTGAAAATACATTTTAAAATATTGGTTTTACATTTCAGGTCTGCAATAAATAAAAGACTGATTTACAAAATGTAGTCTAATCTTGAAGAATATGATGGAACAAGAAAACTTGACTAAACCCAGGGCTCCAATCCTAAAGGCAGATGGATTCCAGCCACCCTTCTCCTAACACGCTGGCCTTCAGAGAAAAAACTATGGAGGCAGGAATTGTATCAAAATCCTCAGCCTGCACAGCCTCCTGGGAAGAAGGGGACTGTTATGGACAGAATGTTTTGTCTTGCTCCGAAATTCATATGTTGAAATCCTAACACACAATGTGATGGTATTTGGAGGTAGAGCCTTTGGGAGGTAATTGGGTCATGAGGGTGAAATCCTCATAAATGGGATTAGTGAGTGCCCTTATAAGAAGAAACCAGAAAGCTAACTAGCTCTTTATCTGCCATTTCATGAGAAATGGGAAGTTTACAATCCAGAAGAGGGCCCTCAGCAGAACCCAACTATGCTGGCATCCTGATCTCAAACTTCCAGCCTCCAGAACTGTGGACTATTTCTGTTGTTTATAAGCCACCAGTCTATCGTACTTTGTTATAGCAGCCCAAACTGATTAAGACGGGGAACAAATGGACATCTGCTGGTTTTGCCTGCTGAGAATTCTTGCTCTGTTAGTTAAAAGCATCCTGACTTTCCTTTGGATATACAGAAACCACTGAAAGCAGTTTTGGTGGACTGTCAATCATAGCCCTACCTAGTCCAGAGATAAACACATGCAATAAGCAAGACCAATAAATGTTTTCTTCTAAGAATCTGAATCATGAACTGTAAAACACAAGGACAGAAAAAGATTACAACATAATCATTCCAACAGTGTTCTTAGTTTCTGATTCCTATATTTCAGGACCTGTGTAGATTCTTATCCTTTGAGCTACCTCATATCTTTCCTTTAAATCCTTGTTTTGATTTTGTTTTTGTGTTTTATTTAGATTGACCAGAATCGGTTGTTTCTGCTGCTCACAACCAAAAAATCCTGTTCATGCTGAAACTAAGGTTCCGACTACTTTGAAGTTGAAAGTTATCGAAAATTATCTGGTGACTTGAGGTTAAGATAGAGCATGGTAAGACCTACTTTAAACCCAATGGCACAATTTAAAAAAATAGAACATGGAAGTAACAAAAAAAGAAGACATTTTCTTATGTGATGAGAGCAGGCGTTTCAGACCTGCCATGGCCCCACTCTGAGCCCATTGATGAGCTCAGGGATTAGGGTTCTTTCTACCCCAGATTGCTTACTCCACACAAAATGCTAGGATCTCCACTTTAGCAGGTACTTCTATGGAATGCAGAGGCCATTTGGAAGCTATGTCCTCTCAGTGGGCTCTGCATGTGTGTCCTTTGCATTGAGTACTTGCTGATTCAGTGTTATAATGAGGAAAAGACCATTTTAAACCAAGTCCAAGTCATCTTTTACTCCAGGATCCAAGTTCAGTCCACTTTTTGTGGCCTGGCCCAGCCCAGGGATGGCTGTAATCAAGGTCATAGAGATGGGAAGAAGGGACAAGGAGGCTCCCAAGAGGGAATATTGTGTGGCTGGGAAGGACCATGAGTACTGACCTGTGTACCAGGAGTCAGTTGGATGGAAACTTTTAAAATAGACCCAGTAGGCAGCTAAATCAGAACCTGCCTCATGCATCTCTGCTTCTTAGTGGTAAACATCAACCCACAGGAACTGACAGTATGCAAAAAACTAATGAGTTATAACCCTCAGGCCCACCAGTCCAGCAAAGAGCCCTGTTCCTTAAGTGTAACTCGGAGTGAAGATGTGCACCCCCTGGAGGGGCCATTGAGGCCTATTTTGGGGTTGGCTGCAGCAACAGCAGCAACAAAAGCCACCAGGGCAGGCAGATCGGCCCAAGCCACATCTCTTTCAACTACAGATTAACTTTCCAAGTGCTGGTTTTGCCAGCAGCAGCAGCATGAATGAGAGATCATGAAAAGCAGGCATATGTGGCCACTTGGGTGTCTTTTCAAATGCACAGGTTTTATTAGGAGATGGTGCCAGGTCTCTAGATCTGACAGGAGCAGCAAATTCTGGAGCAGGCAGCATCCTGGACAATGGTTGAGAGTCCTCAAGCCTCCAAGAGACACACATAAATTGTACACCTGAGATGAGAGCTCTCAGAACCAACCCTGAAGATCTGGCAGCTATTAAGAAAAGAAATCCTAGACAGAGGAAAAGGAGTAACAGCAGACTTGAGGGGAAGATAACCAGTTTGTTTGGTGCACTGCTGAGTTTGCTGTGTGACGTAGAATATATATCCCTGCCAAATCTCATGCTGAATTGTAATTCCCAATGTTGAAGGTGGGCCTGGTGGGAGATGTTTGGGTTATAGGGGTGGAACCCTCATGGCTTGGTGCTGTCCTCACAATAGTGAGTGAGTCCACACAAGATCTGGTTGTTTAAGTGTGTGGCACCTCCTCCCCACTCTCTGCTCTTGCTTTCGCCATGTGATGTGCCTGCTCTGGCTCCTGCTTTGCCTTCACCATGAGTAAAAGCTCTCTGAGGCCTCCCCAGAAGCCGAGCAGATGCTAGTGCCATGCTTGTACAGCCTGCAGAAACATAAGCCAATTAAATCTCTTTTCTTTATAAATTATCCAGTCTCAGGTATTCCTTTATAGCAATGCAAGAATGGCCTAATGCAGAAAATTGGTACCAGGGAGTAGGCATTGCTATAAAGATACCTGAAAATGTGGAAGCAACTTTGGAACTGGGTAATGGGAAGAGTTTGGATGGCTCAGAAGAAGACAGGAAGACAAGGGAAAGTTTGGAATTTTTAATAGCCTGGTTAAAATCCTGATAGTGATATGGACAATAAAGTCCAGGCTTACGAGGTCTCAAATGGAAATGAGGAATTTTATTGGGAGCTAAAGCAAAGGTCACCCATTTTATGCTTCAGCCAAGAACCTGGCTGCGTTCTGTTTATGCCCTAGGGTTCTATGAAAGTTTGAGCTTCAGAGTGATGGTTTTGGATATCTGGCAGAAGAAATTTCTAAGTAGCAAAGCATTTGAGAAGTGGCATGGCTTCTTTTAATAACCTATGCTCAGATTTGATAGCAAATAAATGACTTAAAGTGGGAATTTATATTTAAAGGGAAAGCAGAGCATAAAATTTGGAAAATTTGCAGCCTGGCCATGTGGCAGAGAAAGAAAAAGCTTTTTCAGGAGAGAAAGTCAAGCAGGCTGTAGAGCAATCATTTGCTAGAGAAATTTGCATAACTAAAAATGAGCCAAGTGCTAATAGCCAAGACAATGGAAAAAAGGCCTTGAAGGCATTTCAGAGATCTCTGAGGCTGTCTCTGCCATTAGAGGCCCTTAGGCCTAGGAAGACTGAATGGTTTTATGGGCTAGGTCCCCAGCCCCACTGCCCTGTGCAGTCTTTGGGACAGTGCTCCCTGTGTCCCTGGGACAATGCTCCCTACATCCGGGCACTCTGGCTCCAACTCAGCTCAAAGGTCCCCAGATACAACTTGGACTCCTGCTTCAAAGGGTGCAAGCCATAAACCTTGGTGGCTTCCACATGGCATTAAGCCTGCAGGTGCACAGAGTGCAATAGAGAAGGGGGCTTGGCAGCCTCTATCTAGATTTCAGAGGATGTATGAGAAAGCCAGGGGTGGAGTCCTCACAGAGAACCTCCACTAGAGCAGAACAGAGGGGAAATGTAGGGTTGGGTGCGCCACACAGAGTCCCCACTGGGACACTTTCTAGTGGAGCTGTGGGAAAGGGGCCACCATCCTGCAGATCCCAGAATGGTAGATCCACTGGCAGCTTGCACCCTGCACCTGGAAAAGCCACTGGCACTCAACAATCTGTGATGGCAGCTGTGCAGATTGAACCCTGCAAAGCCACAGGGATGAAGCTGCCCAAGGCTGGGGAGCCCAACCTTTGCACCAGTGTACTCTGAATGTGGGATATGTAGTCAAAGAAGATTATTTTGGAGCTTTAAGATTTAATGACTGCCCTGTTGGATTTTGAACTTGCAGGGTCATAGGTAGAAGGAATGCATTTCCACATGAGATTTTGGACTTGGGACTTTTGATTGAGTTGATGCTGGAACAAGTTAAGATTTTGGGGGGCTGTTGAGAAGCCATGATTGTATTTTGTAATGTAATAAGGACATGAGATTTGAGGGGCCAGGGACAGAATTATATAGTTTGAATATATGTCCCTGCCAAATCTCATGTTGGATTGCCAATCCCCAATGTTGAAAGTAGGGCCTGGTGGGAGGTGTTTGGGTCATAGGAGCAGATCCCTTGTGGCTTGGTGCTGTCCTTGCAATAGTGAGTTAGTTCTCACAAGATCTGGTATTGTTGCACCTCCCACACCTTCACTCTCTCTTTGCTTTCACCATGCGAAGTGCCTGCTCCTGCTTCACCTTCTGCTATGAGTAAAAGCCCTGAGGCCTCCCCAGAAGCTGACTAGATGCTGGTACCATGTTTGTACAACCTGCAGAACCATGAGCCAATTAAATCTCTTTTTTTAATAAATTGCCCAGTCTCTGGTATTTCTTTATAGTAGTGCAAGAATGGCCTATTACACTGTGTCTGCAGGATATAAAGGCAGAAATATCTACTTGGTAGTTGTTTCTACTTGGTTGGAGTCCAAGAGAAATGTCAAAGCTGAAGACATGGGTATAGGTAGGAGTCAAAGACATGGAACTGGATGGTGTGCACCACAGAAAATGCATCAGGAGAGGAAAGTGAAAGGTTAAGGAAACTTGGGTAATTCCAAAATTTAAAAAATTATAACATGAAGAAGAAAAGAGAAGGGGTGATCAAAGATCAGGTTTCTAAATCTCAGCACAATTGATATTTGGGCCCGCATAATCCTTTGTCTCAGAGGGCTGTCCTTGGCATTTGTTTAGCAACAGCACTGGCCTCTGCTCACTAGAAGCACTCTCCTCCCTGTTTTGACAATCAAAAATGCCTCCAGATACTCCCAAATGCCTTTGTGGGTAAAATTGTCCCTGATCGAAAACCATTGATCAAAGATCTAAGAGGAAAACAGGAAACAAAGTGTGTCACAGAAGCCAAGGGCTTGAAAAATAGTTAACAATGTTAAAATCCTAAGAGATATTGAGTAAAACGAGAACCAAAGGAACCAGTGTTTGTCCAGAAAGTCATTGGTGAACCAATCAAAAGCAGTTTCAGTGGAACAATTAAGGAAGGACACCAGACTGGCTGAATGTCCATCCAACAAATAAACAGTAAATGACATTCACCAGTTAAAAGGGTATTTGGTTGAACTAGGTGATCATTTTAAGGTTCCTTCCAACCCTGAAATTGTGTCATTCCAAATGGTCTCCAAGGAAGATCTTTCAGGATCCCTCAAGCCCTGGGCTGCTGGTGGCTGCTCACAAGTTGACATGTCAAACTAGCATGTCTCTGCTTGCCTTACTCAGGTCACAGGAAATAAAAATCCAAGGGGAATTGCTATGCGATCCGGACCCAATCCATGATAAAAACTAAAATATGGTTTTCTTTATGTCATCACATAACCAACTGTTAAGCAATAGAATGTGTTAGACTTTAAAGGCAGTTGCGATTTACAGAGAGGCTGAGTTCATAAGTAAAGTCCAGGTTTAAGGTTGGTCTGAGGAGAAAGGGCCATGGGGCTGAAGTTGCCCAGGGTCTGCTGGAAGTATGTGAGCATTGTCAAGTGTATTAGTCCATTTTCACACTACTATAAAGATACTACCCAAGACTGGGTAATTTATAAAGGAGAGAGGTTTCATTGACTCACAGTTCTGCGTGGCTGGCGAGGCCTCAGGAAATTTACAGTCGTGGAAGGCAAAGAAACAGCAAGCACCTTCTTCACAAGGCAGCAAGAAAGAGAGAAGAGAGAGTGAAGGGGGAAGAGACCCTTATAAAACCACCTGATCCCATGAGAACTAACTACTATCATGAGAACAGCATGAGGGAAACCACCTCTGTGATCCAGTCACCCCCCACCATGTCCCTCCCTCAACATCTAGGGGTTACAACTGGAGATGAGACTTGGGTGGGGACACAGAGCCAAATCATAACATCCAACACCTCTAGACTTGATCCTGTGGGCTGGATCAGATGAGGAGAGTCCTGTCTGCAGATCAAACCCACAGTGGCTGGAGTGCACTAACTGTGCCATGGAATGCCTGCATAGTAATTGACCTTCACAATTGCAGCACTCTTCTCAGGCTTTTGAACAATCAAACTAACTTCTATATGAGTAAAAAAGAAATTAAAAGCAAAGATCAGATTTTCAAACTAATTCAGAAAGAAAGGATAGCAGAGATTCTGTTTTTAAAATGCTGAATTGAAGGCTGGGCATGGTGGCTGACATCTATAATCCCACCACTTCTGGGAGGATCACTTGAGGCCTGGAGTTTGAGACCAACCTGGGAAACATGGCGAGACCTCATCTCTACAAAAAAATTAGCTGGGTGTGGTGGCATGTGCTTGTAGTCCCAGCTACTTAGGAGGCTGAGGCAGGAGGATCGACTGAGCCCAGGAGATCAAGGCTGTGATGATCCGAGATGGCACCGCACTATACTCCAGCCTGGGCAATAGAGTGAGGCCCTGACTCAAAAAAATAAAAATAAAAAAATAAAAAAAAAGCAAAATTGAGAAACAAGAATTTTATTCCTGGCTTAGTTACTAACAAAGGGTGAGTCACCTCCCTTCTCTGCATTCAGTTTCCACACCTGAAAAATAGGGGTTTGAGCCAAGATGCTTTTTGTTTCTGAAGTAGAGTCGGGGGTTCCTGATGTGTGTTTCCACTGTTGAAGTTCTTATTACACTTCATAGTATGGCTTGTTTAATTGAATGTCCTCCAATTAACAAGTGTAGTGACCTGTTCCACCACAGTCACTACAATTCACTTGTCCACCACTGAATCCCCTGCAGCCTGCAGTCCTTGACAAATATCTGTTGAAGGAATCGATACTCCTACCTACAAAAGGCAGCTCTAGGGAAAAAGTTATTTGGTATAAATTTCAATACCATGAGCTAGGATCAGAGCCTCCCATCACACTTTGCTTCTTTAAGTTTTTATAAAAGCTCAGCTATGGGCTACAGTAAGTGGCAACATTCTAAAATACTTCCCACACCTCTGATATGGATATCACTACCATCCTATCTTATGACTTCCAACTAAAGCAAAATTGGAAGCTGCATCCCAAGTCAACTATTTTAAAAGACAAAAAATCCAACACTGTTAATTCTGGTACGTTACTCACCTGCCCCAATGAGGTTAACTTGCCTTGGGACACCAGAAAACGACGCACAAGATTTAATGGGTAAGGAATCTTACTTTGGAGTGACAGGAATGTTTTATAACCAGATAGAGGTGATGGTTGCACAATATTGGGGCTGTAATTAATGCCACTGAATTGTTCCCTTAAAACTGTTTAATTTTATGTTATGTGATTTTCACCTCAATAAATTATTAAAAATAAGAAATATAGCACCTAAAATATATTTTTATGTGAATTTGCTGTTTCAAAAAACCCACTTTATTAAACATTTACTTGAATACAAAAATGAATTCCAAATTAAATAATTCCTTCTGGAGAAAGGCCCAGAAAAAGAATATAGAGCTGCTTATAACTCATTGTTAATTTGCAAATGATGCTGAACCCTTGCCATGCTTCTGCATAATGTGGTTCAGTCAAGGGTTTGGTAATGAGCAGTTCATTTGGAGCCATTTTTCCAGAATAAAGGATGCTATTCATGAAATGATTCCTCAAGTATTTATAGTTATATGCCAATCTTTATTTTTTAGTTTATGGGGAGACTTCTTTTTGAAAGGCTTAATTTGGGACTTAAGAAATTTAAGGGGCCTCAGGTTGCTTCTCATTGATAACTGATCATTCCTTCTCCCCATATTCAATGTGTTTGAGTGGTGTAGTAGTTTTCTAAGGCTGCCATAACAAAATGCTAAAGACTGGGTGGTTTAAACAACAGAAATTAATTTTCTCATAGTCTGGAGACTAGAAGTCCAATATCAAGGTGTCGGCAGATTTGGTTTCCCCTGAGGCCTCTCTTCTTGGCTTGCAGATGAGCACCTTTTTGCTGTGTCTTCACATGGCCTTTCTCCTCTGTGCTCATCCTAATTCTTCTTGTGTCCAAATTTCCTCTTCTTATAAGGACGCCAGTCAGGTTAGATTAGGGCCCACCTAATGGCCAAGGTTAGGGGTTACAGCTTCAACATATAAATTTTGAAGAAACACAGTTCAGCACATAACAAGCAGTATCTAAATGGACCCACCACATATTACAAAAGTTTCTAATAATAATGCAATATTAAAGTAGATTCAACCTCAACATTGGCAAAGACAAGCAGCTTCATGATGCTTTTCCCGTTTTGCTTCTCCAGCCAAGAGGAGAAAAAAAGAAATATTTTAAATAGCATAAATCTGCTTTTGTTTTCCAAGGGTCTATTTTTTTCTTTTCCTAGGCAAGTCCTAGTTATAAATAAAATAATCCTAATCAAGTTATCGATAATTTTAATATCCTTTTAATTAAGTACATGAGGTATTAAATATAAATTTAACTAAATCTGATTCCCATTGGGAAATGAATGACTACTCTGAGGTGATTCACATTTGTAAAATGGCAATGATACTCATCTATGTCACTGGAAACACATAAAAATAATATACATCAACATTGATTGTAATCTATGAAATGCAACATTAATACAAGGTGAAATTATTAATAATGCCATTCAGTACAAACAAATGAAGAATGATGCAATTATATAAGAAATAAATTTGTGACAGAAAATTTCTCAGTTAATTTTTATGTAAGCTTTGCTTTTTTGGCTTAGTTTTATTTCAAGAATTATTGAATGAGTTTAGAAAGAGTAGTGAGTTGTAGGTATACGCCATTAAGCAAGTTGCTCCTTTCGTTAGCTAAGAAAAGAATCTGGAGGTGGGGGGTTAGGAAGGAAAGAAGCTCAACCAGATTCTAATCTCGTTTTTCCTTCTATGTACAGATTTTTTTTTTTTTGCATGAATTTGCTTGAACTCAATCAGCACTCCTTTTGTGAAAGAAATGAGCGGAATAAAGGGGATTTGAGAATTGGGCAAGTGCCTATGGCAACACAACATTCTAAGGACTGACAGTGCACATCAATCTGTGCTATCTGATGGCAAATGAGAGAAGCTGGATGCATGACTGGAGAAAGGTGGCAATCAGCTTCAATTTGTCTGCCGTAAATAAGGATTCACTTTCTTTCAACAGAAGTTCAAAGCTTTTCATTTTTATCTTTCCTATCTGCATAAATGCCCACCAAAGAAACATTAGACTTAGAGAAGATCCTCACAATTCGTAATCGCTTTCTCTTTTTCTCTTGTTAGGTACATGTTGTGAAATCCTGGAAGAAAGCTGAGTTGTTAACACCAATTACTTTAATCCTGATTTATTATTCAGCTTTGCAAATGTCAGTCCCCATATGTCTCTGCTTCTACACCTAACTTTGAAGGTTATACATAAGATAAAGATACACATATTACAATTTTCAATGAGCAAATAATTCCAATCTTACACAAACTCTTCCAGAGAATAAAAAAGGAGAAATAAGTCCCAAGTTATTTTATAAACTTAATATAACCTCTACATCAAAACAACATTAGGAATATGTAAGAAAAGAAAATTCCAGGCCAATCACCCTCATGCACACCAAAACAAGAACCATAAATACAATATTGATAAGCTAAATTTTACACTACATATCATGACCAAGATACAGTTATCTAAGAAATGTAAAACTGGTTTAACATTCGAAAAACATGTTAGTGTATTTACTGACATTTCTAGATTAAAGAAGGAAAAAACCAAATGACCAACCCAATAGGTCTGGAAAAAGTGCTTGATAAAATTAACATGTACAATAAAAGTTTTCATCCACTTCACAATGAAAGTGAGTTTCCTTAACCTTCAAAAGGGTAACTATAAAATATCTACAGCAAATACCCTTCATAATGGTGAAATATTGAGCATTCCTGTTAAAAACAAGCAGATATTGGGGCCAGGTGCAGTGGCTCACACCTGTAATCTCAGCGCTTTGGGAGGTGTGACCAGCCTGGCCAAGACGGTGAAACCCCGTCTCTACTAAAAATACAAAAATTAGTTGGGCGCAGTGGCAGGCACCTGTAATCCCAGCTGCTAGGGAGGCTGAGGCAGGAGAATCACTTGGACCCAGGGCGCTGAGGTTGCAGTGAGCCAAGATCGTGCCACTGCACTCCAGCCTGGGTGACAGAGTGAGACTCCGTCTCAAAAAAAAAAAAAAAAAAAAAAAAAAAAACAAGAAGATACAAGTCGGCCTACGATCACCACTTCTAGTTTACATTATGTTAGAGATCCTGGTCAGCAGAGTAATATATGAAAAAGAAATTAAAGATACTAAGATTGGACAGGAAAAAACCACATTTTTAATTTGAAAATGATATACCTGCTTACACAGAAAACCAAAAAGAATCTATTAACAAATTACTGAAATTAATAGTTATAAAATATAACTTATAAGTTTAAAAGCAGATACAATAGTAATAAATAGCCAATATTGTTTTTAAAAGCCATACTGTTTACAGAAGCAAAAGCAACTATACGGACACCATTTGCAAGGCTAAAAACTGTGAGGTACATTAAAATAAATCTAGCAAGAGATTTTCAAGACTTTATGATAAAAAAAAAGAAGACTTTATGACAAAAATTATAAAAATTTTATTTTTTAGATACAGAGCCTCACTCTCTCACTCAGGCTGGAGTGCACTGGCACAATCAGCTCACTGCAGCCTCGACCTCCTGACCTCCTTGGCTCAAGCTATCCTCCTGCCTCAGCCTCTTGAGTAGCTGGGGACCACAGGCACGTGCCACCATGCCTGGTTAACTTTTTTTTGAATTTTTTTGTAGAGACAAGGTCTCTCTATGTTGCCTGACCTGATCTTGAACTCCTGGCCTCCAGTGATTCTCCTGCCTCAGCCTCCCAAAATTCTGGGATTACAGGTGTCAGCCACCATGCCTGACCAATTAAAAAAATGAAAAACCTTATTAATAATCAGGAAAGGCCAGGTGCAGTGGCTCACGCCTGTAATCCCAGCACTTTGGTAGGCCGAGGAGGGTGAATCACCTGAGGTCAGGAGTTCAAGACCAGCCTTACCAACATGGTGAAACCCTGTCTCTACTAAAAATATAAAAATGAACTGGGCGTGGTGGCAGGCACCTGTAATCCCAGCTACTCAGGAGGCTGAGGCAGGAGAATCACTTGTACCCGAGAGACAGAGGTTGCAGTGAGCCGAGATTGCACCATTTCACTCCAGCCTGGACGACAGAGCGAGACTCAGTCTCAAAACAAACCAACAAACAAAACACACACACACACACATAATAATCAGGAAAATGCCAGTTAAAGCCAATGAGATACCATTACATATCTTCCAGATGGGCAAGAATTACAGATCTGAAGCAGAACATTTTGGTGAGGATTTGAAACAACAGAAATGCTTTTACAGTGCTCATGGGAGTGTAATTACAAACTATTTAAAAAGTGATTTGGCCCTATCCGGTAAAGGTAAGGATACATATACCCTATGAGCAGGAAATAGATATGAAATTATTTACAGCAGCATCATTTATAAGAAATAAAATGAAAACTGCCGTGCGCAGTGGCTCACACCTGTAATCCCAGCACTTCGAGAGGCCGAGGCGGGCAGATCACGAGGTCAGGAGATCGAGACCGTCCTGGCTAACACGGTGAAACCCCATCTCTATTAAAAATACAAAAAAATTAGCCGGGCCTGGTGGCAGGCGCCTGTAGTCCCAGCTACTTGGGAGGCTGAGGCAGGAGAACGGTGTGAACCCGGGAGGCGGAGCTTGCAGTGAGCCGAGATCGAGCCACTGCACTCCAGCCTGGGCGACAAAGCGAGACGCCGTCTCAAAAAACAAACAAACGAACAAACAAACAACCAAAGAAAATGAAAACTAACAGACTAAAAAAACCACATAAATTGGCCGGGTGTGGTGGCTCACGCCTCTAATCCCAGCTCTTTGGGAGGCCGAGGCGGGCGGATCACGAGGTCAGGAGCTCCAGACCAGCCTTACCAACATGGTGAAACCCCGTCTCTACTAAAAACACAAAAATTAGCCGGGCGTGGTGGCGTGCCTGTAATCCCAGCTACTCAGGAGGCTGAGGCAGGAGAATCGCTTGAACCCGGGAGGCGGCGGTTGCAGTGAGCCGACGTCGTGCCACTGCACTCCAGCCTGGGAGACAGAGCTAGATTCCATCTCAAAAAATAAAAAAGGCAAACAAACGAACAAAAATTAATAGGTAAATGGATGTAAGTACAGCATGTTGTTATAAGCACTATACAGCAGTAAAAGAACGAACTACTGCTCAAACATCAACTTGGTTGAATCTCAGAAACCATGTCATTGAGTGAAAAAAGCAAGGTACAGACGATTTCTTAGAATACGAATCCATTTATACAAAATTCAAGAGCAAATCAAATACTGCTAAAGATACTGAATTAGTTTTCTAGGGCTGCCATAACAAAACGGATTAAGCAACACAATTTTATTTTCTCATAAATCTGGAGGCTCAAAATTTGAATCAGCAGGCTTGATTTCTTCTGAGGCTTCTTTTCTTGGCTTATAGGTGGTTCTCTTCTCTAAATGTCTTCACATGGTCTTCCCTCTGTACACATTCTGTGTCCAAATTTCCTCTTCTTAAAAGGACACCAGTCATATTAGATCAAGGACCACCCATGTGACCTCATTTTAACAGAATTATCTCTTCAACAACCATATTTCCAAATACAGTCACATTCTGAGATACTGGAGGTTAGGACTCCAACATATGAATTTGGCACAGGAACACAATTCAGCCCATAACGGACGCATGCATATCAGTAAAACTATAATGAAAGCCAAAAAAAATAAAAAGAAAAGAAAAAGAAATTTCCCTATGTAGCTAATCCAGAAAAGATACACAGAGTAAAATCCTGAACATGTGTTAATTGTGAAAGTTCCATATTAGCTCATCTAATTAGGAAATGAGTGCTTTACCATAATTTGACAACACATTTTAAAATGTGTTTGTTTCTTTTGTAAAACATCTATAACCTGAAAAAAAGTAATTATAGATGACTAGATGATAAAATGTTTACTCTTGAATTCGCGATTCAATCTCAAAAATGAATAGTATCAAATTCTTCTACTTAGAAAAAAATTAATGTATCAAGAAAAGAGAAATAAGGACATTCATATGATAAAATGAGACGACTTTAGCTTATTTCTACAATAGTAAACCCAGATGGGCTCATGCAAACTTGAAAAACGATATCCTCTCCACTTTCCTACTTTACAAGCTAATGGTGTTTATACTTATAGAAAGGAACAATAGAGGAGGTGACAGTTACAAAGTGCTCTCATTGTCAATGGAAACATTATCCAAGAAGATTTGAATAAAGCATCTAGAAGGATAAATTGGATTGTTTTTCTCCCCTTTGGAACTCTTGTGGATACAGTATTTTGCACTCTGGCACAAGAAGGAAATAAATCTTAGAAAGTAATTACAATACATTCAGCAGACATTTATACATAGCACTTACCAAGGGACTCAATTAACTGAGCACCTACAATGTGCCAGGGACTACATGTGAAGCCACAGCATATAAAACTTCTACATTTTTCTCCTGTTCAATTGAATTTAATTAGGTCAAAAACTTCTATATAGAGACTGAAAGCAGATCACTGGTTGCCTGGGGCTTAGGGTAAAAGTGTGGATTGGATGTCATTTACTTTTGAGATTGAATTTTTGAGATTGATTAGCTTGCCTGTTCAACAAGCATTTTATACTCTAGTCATTTACACATAATTACTCTTTTTTTCAGGTGATAGTTGTTCCAAAAAGAAAAACACTTAAATGTAGAGGAAAATTTCTGTGATAATAATAATGTTCTAAAACTAGATGGTGGTGAATGGTAATGACAAATGACTTTTCAAAAGGATTTTCTCCAAATCCTATGAATTAAAAAATATGGCCCAATATGATATTTAAACTTTGTACTAATACTAATAATTCTTGTGTATATCAACTTTACATAAAATAGGTATTTGTGCATGAGAAGTTTTTCTAAAAAACAATTACAAAATTTGACCTTTTTTTTTTTTTTTTTTTTTTTTTTTTGAGACAGAGTCTCGCTCTGTCTTCCAGGCTGGAGTGCAGTGGCGTGATCTTGGCTCACTGCAACCTCCACCTCCCTGGTTCAAATGATTCTCCTGCCTCACCTCCCGAGTACCTGGGATCACAGGTGCATACCATCACACCGGGCTAATTTTTGTATTTTTAGCAGAGACAGGGTTTTGCCATGTCGGCCAGGCTGGTCTCAAACTCCTGACTTCAAGTGATCTGCCAGCCTCGGATTCCCAAAGTGCTAGGATTACAGGTGTGAGCCACTGCAACCAGCCTGACCTGTACTTTCTTGACTATTTTATGTAACAGTTAGTAATATATTGCTAGAATTTTTAAAGCTCAAGTGAAATTGTTACATCTATGATAAACATTTAATTATATTTAGTAGGCAAATTTTAAGGAGTCATATCTAATTGATGATTACAGAGATATGAAAACATCTACCTTGGCTCTTAAAGTTTACACAAATTCCATATAATGATTCCCTACAGAAAACAGTTCACCTAAAATAAAATTCTTAAATTTGCTTTAAATTATGTTTTTTCTTATTATTTGTCATATAATGTGATCATTATTATATTTTAGAAAGCTACAGCTTGATAAAATTTGATTTAATTTTTACTGCAAGATTTATATTCAACCAAGGGTATAACAGGTTCCCTCCAGCCACAGGGCCTTGGCGCATGCTGTTTGTCTTGTTTGCCATGCTCTTCATTCATCCTTCAGATCTCAATTCAGACATCTCTACCTATAGGAAGTATTTCCCCAGGCCCCTAGTTTAGATCAGATTCCTTTATTATACACTCTCTTGGAGGCATTTAGTTCCTTTAGAGCAGTTCTTTGGTTTGCAATTATATAATCATTAAGTTAGATGTTGAACTAAGGGCAATCTCAGACCAGGTGCAGTGGCTCATGCTGTAATTTCAGCACAAGGCAGGAGGATCACTTGATGCCAGGAGTTCAAGACCAGTCTAGACAGCATAGTGAGATTCTGTCTTTACAAAAAAAAATTTTTTTTGAGATAAGATCTCACTTTGTTGCCTAGGCTGGAGTGCAGTGGCAGGATCAAAGCTCACTGTAGCCTCAACCCCCTCGGCTCAAGATATCCTCCTGCCTCTGAGTCCCAAGTAGTTGGGACTATAGGCACATGCCACCATGCCCGGC
Source organism: Homo sapiens (assembly GCF_000001405.40). Classification (NCBI taxonomy): domain Eukaryota; kingdom Metazoa; phylum Chordata; class Mammalia; order Primates; family Hominidae; genus Homo; species Homo sapiens. The sequence continues at coordinate 56,538,870 of NC_000003.12, forward strand.
TAATTTTTGTATTCTTTGTAGACCTGGGGTTTTGCCATGTTGCCCAGGCTAGTTTTGAACTCCTGATCTCAGGCCATCTGCACACCTCAGCTTCCCGAAGTGCTGGGATTACAGGCATGAGCCACCGTGCCCAGCTTCTATAATTTTTTTTTTTTAATTAGCCAAGTGCGGTGGTGCATGCCAATAGTCCTAGCTCCTCAGGAGGCTGAGGTGGGAGAGGACCACTTGAGCCCAGGAGTTTGAGGTTGCAAGAGCTATGATTGTGCCACTGCACTCCAGCCTGGGCGACAGAGTGAGACTCTTTTAAAAAAAAAAAAAAAAAAAAAAAAGTCAATCTCCCACAATCCAACCCTCCAGAGGAGCAGACTCTGCGTCTGGTTTGGCACATTATTACTTATATCTCTTTCTTCTAACAGAGCGCCTGGAACATAGCAGATACATAAAATATTCACTGAAAAAGGAAAGAAGGAAAAGAAAAACAACACACTAGATGGTTTTCCTGGAATCATCCCTTTCCCAGTCCTGCCAACTTTACTGAAGACTGAATGCTGGGTACAAATGTCACAAACTCAGAAAGCAAACTAATTATGACCACATGCCTTGAATCTGGCCAATTAGACCTGTCTTCTCCCAAGAATTTGAATCTTAAGGGGTTACTTAGGCTGAAAGGGGCAGATGAGACCATCATCTCAATGGCATGGGCCCCTGAGAAGATGACTGTCAGCTTTTGTGCTATTGGGTCCTGGACAGCCACTGAGACTTGGTTCTTCAACTTTCCTTAAATTCTGTAAGCTACTCCAAAATTTTTTATTTTTGCTTAAATTAGCCAGAGTTAGTTTCTTTGGCCCACAGCCAAAGAACTCCAACTGTTATATTTTCCTATCTCTTTTACCTTAATCAGATGTAAAGATTTCTATATGCAGTATTTCTCAAGACTAGAGATGAATGCTATGAATTTCAGAATTGTAACTAAAGGACTGTGCTACATTTAACCAACACAAATGCTTACAGTAAATGGTTGCTTCAAAATGCTGTTTTGCATTGGCTCAGGCCAAGCCCTTCTCCGACTGCCCTTCTAGTTCATTTCTAGCACATCTTTTCCAAATCCTCCTTCATTCTCTGTCTCCAAGCTGTGATGTGTAGTTCTTTCTACGCCAAAGAATCTTTCTCAAAATTCAATCAGCTTTGTTAAGTCCCATATGGAAAACTCCAGTCCCATGAACTTCTTATTTATCTTGAGCTTACCTACCTCCATCCATCCTCCCTCCTTCAGACCAGGCAACCTGGCACTTGTGTGTCTCTTACGGTCTTACCTTCCGGGTGGTTACAGCTAGCATTCACTGAGCCAGGGATGGCTCCAAACACTTTACATGTGTTACTTCATTAAACCCTGACAACAGCCCTAAGTGATAGAGACTTCTATTGCAGATCAGGGCAGTGAGGCTCAGAGAAGGTAACTAACTTGAGTAAGGACAGGAAAAAATATTTGACCTGGACAACTTGACTCCTGAGCAGGTACCCTTAAACACCACGTTTGTCCGCCTCAGTGTTTTTCAAATTTCTCAATATTTTTCAGATCTCACTCCTCTCCACTTCCCTCCCCGTTAAAATAAAAGTCTGTCTTCATCTTGCATCTTCCTGTGGCCTTCTTCCCTTCACTTTCCAGTCTTCACTGCCTCCACTGTAGTCTAGCTTCCAGCCTTCCAGCCTTCTGTTCTCACTAAATCTGCCCTTGCTGAGATCACAAAGAGGCTCCGCCAAGCACCAGGTACCTTACACATTCAACTGTGTTGAATTCATCTACTCATTCACCAAATGGTTTTGAGCACCTACTCTGTTCCAGAAACTGTGAAATATGAACTGGGTATATAGTAGCGAACAAAACAGATGGAGTCCCTGCCATCACATATCTGAGATCATCAGTGACTTCTTACCTTCCAGGTACAGGAGCCACTTTGGCCACTTCTCATATTTTCTCCTGCTTAATCTCTGCAGCATTGGTCATGCCAATCATTTCTTCCTTGAAATTTGGAGCTGCTTTGGCTTCCGTGAAGCCTCTTACCCCTGATTCTCTATTTCTGGGACCATGCCTTCTCACTTCCTTTGATAAGTTTCTCTTTTTCCATCAACCCCTTAAATGTTGGAGTTTCTGAGAGTTCTATCATGGAGCACATTAAAGTCAATATGCCTGAAACAATGTTTTTTCTACCTCCCATCCACATCTTTCCATCTTTATTCCTTGTTCTTGTGAATGGCAGCATTTGACACCCAATCTCCCACTCTTTTTCTGCCCCACGCCCTTACCCAATTGTCAGAAAATCCTCAGAGTTCTACCTCAATATACCCCTTACCTGTTAACGCTCTCCTTACCTCTCCTTGGACAAATGCAATGGAATCTTTTTTTTTCTTAACAGCTTCATTGAGATATAATTGTTATAAAATACTGTTAATACCGTTAAGTATATTTTTCATCTCAGACACTGTATTTTTCATCTTTAGAAGTTCAATTTGGGTCTTTAAAATATTTTCTATGTCTCTATTTCACTTTTTTTTTGAGATGGAGTTTTGCCCTGTTGCCCAGGCTGGAATGCCATGGCACAATCTCAGCTCACTGCAACCTCCAACTCCGAGTTCAAGCGATTCTCCTGTCTCAGACTCCTGAGTAGCCGGGACTACAGGTGCATGCCACCACACCCAGCTAATTTTGTATTTTTAGTAGAGACAGGATTTCGCCACGTTGGCCAGGCTGGTCGCAAACTCCTGACCTCAAGTCATCCGCCCACTTCAGCTTCCCGAAGTGCTGGGATTACAGGTGTGAACCACTGTGCCCGCCTCTACTTCACTTTTAAAACATTTGCAATCCAGTTATAATAACTAATTTAATATCTTTCTCTGCTAATTCCATCTGTGTACGTTCTCAGTCAGTTTAAATTGATTGATTATTCTTCTTATACTGGGCCATAATTTCCTGCTTCTTTGTAGGGTAATATTTGATTGGATGACAGAAATCACAAATTTTACCTTGTTTGGGTACAAGGTACACTTTTTGTATCCCTGTAAATTTTCCTGAGTCTGGGATGAAGTTAAATTACTTGGAAATAGTTTGATCCTTTCAGGTCTAGCTTTTATGACTTGTTAGGCAGATCTGCAGCAGTGTTCAGTCTATTCCAATACTGAGGCAAAAGCTTCCTGATTAATCTACCCTGGATTTTGGGTTTCTCCAGTCTGGCTGATGGGAGGAGGTATTGTTCCTGGACATGCCTGAGTACCAGCTACTCTTCTCTCTAACTCTTCTGAGTGGTTACATCCCTGGCCTTACACGCGTGCTGCTTAGCACTTTGCTGAATACTGAAGGAGCGTCTGCACATCTCCAGGCTTCTCTGCCTTTGTGCAGCTCTCTCCTCTGTGGTGCTCTGTTCTAGGAACTTGTCTTGGTCTCCCCAAACTCTCAGCTTGGTCTCCTCACTCAGGGAGACCGCTGGGCTCCACCTGGGTTTCCTCTCCCTGCATCAGAGTCTGGAAACTCTCTCAAAGCAGTGCGTAGGGCTGTAGGATTTGTCTATCCTTCATGTTTCCTGTTTCACAAGGATCTCTGTCTTTTATTGCCTGATGTCCAGTGTTTTGAAAACCATTGCTTTAGGTATATTGTTTGTTTTTGTTGTTTTTGTTGGGAAGTTAAATCCAGTCCTGTACCTCCATCTTGACCAGAAGAGGAAGTCTTCCAACGGAATCCTAACCAATCAATCACCTTATCTCAAACTTTTGCAATCCAGTTTTCTCACTTTATCAAAATTTTATTTTTTCTTAAAATACTAATCTCTTTCAAAAAACCAGCTCCTGGATTCATTAATTTTTTGAAGGGTTTTTTTGTGTCTCTATTCCCTTCAGTTCTGCTCTGATCTTAGTTATTTCTTGCCTTCTGCTAGCTTTTGAATGTGTTTGCTCTTGCTTTTCTAGTTCTTTTAATTGTGATGTTAGGGTGTCAATTTTGGATCTTTCCTGCTTTCTCTTGTGGGCATTTAGTGCTATAAATTTCCCTCTACACACTGCTTTGAATGTGTCCCAGAGATCTGGTATGTTGTGTCTTTGTTCTCGTTGGTTTCAAAGAATATCTTTATTTCTGCCTTCATTTCGTTATGTACCCAGTAGTCATTCAGGAGCAGGTTGTTCAGTTTCCATGTAGTTGAGCAGTTTTGAGTGAGTTTCTTAATCCTGAGTTCTAGTTTGATTGCACTGTGGTCGGAGAGACAGTTTGTTATAATTTCTGTTCTTTTACATTTGCTGAGGAGAGCTTTACTTCCAACTATGTGGTCAATTTTGGAATAGGTGTGGTGTGGTGCTGAAAAAATGTATATTCTGTTGATTTGGGGTGGAGAGCTCTGTAGATGTCTATTAGGCCCGCTTGGTGCAGAGCTGAGTTCAATTCCTGGGTATCCTTGTTAACTTTCTGTCTCGTTGATCTGTCTAATGTTGACAGTGGGGTGTTAAAGTCTCCCATTATTATTGTGTGGGAGTCTAAGTCTCTTTGTAGGTCACTCAGGACTTGCTTTATGAATCTGGGTGCTCCTGTATTGGGTGCATATATATTTAGGATAGTTAGCTCTTCTTGTTGAATTGATCTCTTTACCATTATGTAATGGCCTTCTTTGTCTCTTTTGATCTTTGTTGGTTTAAAGTCTGTTTTATCAGAGACTAGGATTGCAACCCCTGCCTTTTTTTGTTTTCCATTTGCTTGGTAGATCTTCCTCCATCCTTTTATTTTGAGCCTATGTGTGTCTCTGCACGTGAGATGGGTTTCCTGAATACAGCACACTGATGGGTCTTGACTCTTTATCCAATTTGCCAGTCTGTGTCTTTTAATTGGAGCATTTAGTCCATTTACATTTAAAGTTAATATTGTTATGTGTGAATTTGATCCTGTCATTATGATGTTAGCTGGTTATTTTGCTTGTTAGTTGATGCAGTTTCTTCCTAGTCTCGATGGTCTTTACATTTTGGCATGATTTTGCAGCGGCTGGTACCGGAAAAAGGGCTAATATCCAGAATCTACAATGAACACAAACAAATTTACAAGAAAAAAACAAACAACCCCATCAAAAAGTGGGAAAAGATATGAACAGACACTTCTCAAAAGAAGACATTTATGCAGCCAAAAAGCACATGAAAAAATGCTCACCGTCACTGGCCATCAGAGAAATGCAAATCAAAACCACAATGAGATACCATCTCACACCAGTTAGAATGGCGATCATTAAAAAGTCAAGAAACAACAGGTGCTAGAGAGGATGTGGAGAAATAGGAACACTTTTACACTGTTGGTGGGACTGTAAACTAGTTCAACCATTGTGGAAGTCAGTGTGGCGATTCCTCAGGGATCTAGAACTAGAAATACCATTCGACCCAGCCATCCCATTACTGGGTATATACCCAAAGGACTATAAATCATGCTGCTATAAAGACACATGCACACGTATGTTTATTGCGGCACTATTCACAGTAGGAAAGACTTGGAACCAAGCCAAATGTCCAACAATGATAGACTGGATTAAGAAAATGTGGCACATATACACCATGGAATACTATGCAGCCATAAAAAATGATGAGTTCATGTCTTTTGTAGGGACATGGATGAAATTGGAAATCATCATTCTCAGTAAACTATCACAAGAACAAAAAACCAAACACTGCATATTCTCATTCATAGGTGGGAATTGAACAATGAGAACACATGGACACAGGAAGGGGAACATCACACTCTGGGGCCTGTTGTGGGGTGGGGGGAGGGGGGAGGGATAGCTTTAGGAGATATACCTAATGCTAATTGAAGAGTTAATGGGTGCAGCACACCAGCATGGCACATGTATACATATGTAACTAACCTGCACATTGTGCACATGTACCCTAAAACTTAAAGTATAATAATAATAAAATAAAATAAAAAGAAAAAAAGAAATACTAATCTCTTGTTATTCCCTTGCTTCAAACTTTTTTATGGCACCCCCATATTTTTATAATAAAATTTGAACTGTAATTTTAAAAAGAAAAAACTGGATTTAACTTCATCTACGGATGCCAATTTCATCAGGAATATTTACCTTGTACTGACCAGATACCATCTAATAGTGATATTGAAGTTAGACTTCAGAGATAGACTTTTTTTCTTTTTTTTTTTTTTTTTGAGACAGAGTCTTGCTCTGTCACCCAGGCTGGAATGCAGTGGCACGATCTTGGCTCACTGCAACCTCTGCCACCCGGTTTCAAGCAATTCTCCTGCCTCAGCCTCCCAAGTAGCTGGGATTACAGGTGTGTGCCATCATGCCTGGCTAATTTTTGTATTTTTACTAGAGACAGGGTTTCAGTATCTTGGCCAGGCTGGTCTTGAACTCCTGACCTCGTGATCCACCCGTCTCAGCCTCCCAAAGTGCTGGGATTACAGGCGTGAGCCACCGCGCCCAGCCCGGTAGACTAATTTGACTCTACCATTACTCACCGTCTGACTTAATCAAGGTATTTTACTTCTCTAAGCCTCAGTTTTGTCTTCTGTAAGATGGAGAAAATACTAATATCTACAACAGAGTTTTCATTTGTTTAAGAATAGTTTGAGACACTTTTAAAATTCTTAGTTCTATGTCAAATATAACAAGTACTCAATAAACAGGAACTTATTTCAGTTTATTATTACTAAAACAATCAATCAATTGGTTATTTTGTTGTCTGTTCAAGAATATCATGATTACAATTTTTGTTTCTATCCAGTGAACCTCTGTAGAAATAAAGTTGGGGGCTGGGAGTGGTGGCTCGCCTCTGTAATCCCAACACTTTGGGAGGCCAAAGCAAGAAGATCACTTGAGCCCAAGAGTTTGATACCAACCCAGGAAACATAGTGAGACGCTGTCTCTACAAAAAATTAGAAAATTAGCCTGGCATGGTGACATATGCCTGTAGTCCCAGCTACACAGGAGGCTGAGTAGGAAGGATCACTTGATCCTGGGAGGTCAAAGCTGCAGTAAGCCATGATCATGCCACTTCATTTCAGCCTGGGTGACAGGGCTAGACCCTATCTCAAAAAGAAAGAAAGAAAGAAAGTTAGATAATTCTTGCTGTGATCTATTTTGTTATTTTGTAGTCTAGGAAAATTAATGACACTTTCAAAAATAGATGCATTCCCTTCCAACAGTACAACATAAAATACAAAATTAAACTGTCACAAAAGTCTTCCCAAAAGATTGAAAATTATATGATTTAATACTTTTAAGTATCTTTCTAAAGCGGCGCATTTTCAAATATTTCTAACATTGGGAGAAAAGCCCATCTGCTGAATCTTCTAGTTGAAGCAAGGAGTTTTCAGTTCTGTTGAGCCTTTCCCAGGGAACGATAGGAAAGGTGGGTGGACCCGAAGAGAAGATGGCTGTGTCCCCAGTGGGGAAGGAGTAAACAAGGCCTGTCACTAATTTCTGTGGAAATTCAGAGTCAATAAAGCTGAACACTGGTGAGCAAAATGAGACAGAAGTGGAGTTTCAGAATGGGAAAGAGGAAAGAAAGAAAGAAGAAACAATCAGGGCCTAACAAGGGGCAGCATATCGGAGACACATTTTTCCAAAGGCTGGGAAAGAAGGATGTCTGGTGACAGGTGTTTTTCCACATTCTGTAGAAGGGCAGAGAAAGAGAGAGAATACATACAAGAGGAGAATAATGAGATTGGCACCTGGAAATCCTCAAGAACAGGCATCTGTAGTAATAGTGTGAACACATTTTCACATTTAACTCTCCAAAAACCCTAAATGCCAAATTCTAATATTATCCCCATTTTATGGGGAAAGAAACTGAGACTTAGAGAGGCCAATGAACTTCCCCCGGACCACACAGCAAAGTTAGCAGCAAGTCAGGAATTTGAATCTGGGTCTATTTAATCAGAGCCTGCATTCTTCTCCACCTTGCTGTACTACTAGCTCTTGGTAATGCGAGGAAAGCAGGAGATTCAAAGGAATTTAGGAAAGCAGTGGGGGAATGTGAAGAAAAGGTACTGGCAAAACTTCATACCTCTAGTTCTTAAGTAAAAATTTATTTAAATTTTTCTTTGTGTGTGTTTTTTTTTTAAGCCTTGGCAAAAATGTTATCTTATACCACAGTAATAAAGCATGAGATTCTTGGCCAGGTGTGGTGGCTCACACCTATAATCCCAGCACTCTGGGAGGCCAAGGTGGGCAGATCACCTGAGGCCAGGAGTTTGAGACCAGCCTGGCCAACATGGTGAAACCCCGTCTCTACTAAAAATACAAAAATTAGCCAGACATGGTAACGCATGCCCATAATCCCAGCTGCTCAGGGGCTGAGGCATGAGAATAGCTTGAACCCAGGAGGCGAAGGTTGCAGTGAGCCAAGACCACATCACTGCACTCCAGCCTGGGCAACAGAGTGAGACTCCATCTCAAAAAAAAACAAAGAAAAGAAAAGAAAAGAAATAAATAAATAAAATGTGAAGATTCTTAAGTAATTTTATGTAAGGGGGCTTATTTGCAAAAGTCAAACTTCAAGTACTAGTTTATACAATTACTCAAATATTGTGAAAATCTCTTTGGAGATGATGATTCCTATTTCTGCTTAAGAATTAGCTTTAGATTTATTAAGGAAGTATTTTTTAATAAGCTTAATATAATCAGAAAATGTGTCTCTAAGTCTTCAGGAAGAGAGTCATGATTTTCTAGAATTTTATATTTTCTGTGTTAACCATTTAAAACCATGATTATTCAACTAAAATAAATCTCATCTGTTAAAACGTCCATATGGTATTGTTGTATATAAAGCTGGACCCACACTGCCATCTGCTGTGTCAAGATTAGGTTTAACATCACCCACATAAACCGGGTTTAAGAAATGCAAAAAAATTATATTGAAAACCCGTATTACTTTGCTTCTTGGAAAATGAATGCAGGGGAAAATAAGTACTAGCAGTTATTTATTTCAACTTGTATTAGCAGTGTGGGGAGAAATTGTATGTGTTTGTGTGTTTTAACATGACATATTTCAGGGACACAAAAATGAATAGAGAATAATATAACAAAATTTATGTTTCCACCATCTTTACTAAAAAATGAATATTACCAATGCCATTGATACTTGCTGGGTTTGTCTCCCTGGTCTCATTGTCACCACTCCCACCCAAGGAAATTACCCTCATGGTTGTCATGTTTATCACTGGGAAAGCCTTTCACAGGCAAATATGCACATCTAATAGGTAAATGTGTTCACCTTTTACTTCTGTGTGCTTTACTAAGGTTGACCAGTGAAGAAGTTTCTATGCTAGCAACTTCACCCTGGAAAATTAGTGGAGAGAGCTCTATTCCAAAACAGTCCTGTTATTCCCAGGAGGATTTTTTCCCAAATTTAAGATTCAGAGATGCCCAGATGATCTCTCCTTGGTTGCCGCTAAGTGATTGGTGTTCCCTTTCTTTGGTATGTCTATGGTAATATGTAAATTATAAGCCCCCATTGTCACATTACAGGTTCATGTGGGGAGAAAAGTATTCTACATAAAGGGAAAGCTGAAGAAGAGACACAGAAATGAGAGAGGATAGTAAGTATATTTGGGGAAGAGTAAGTAGACTGTCACAGCTGGAGCATCAGGGGATACGGGACATAAAGATGGATTTCTAGGGCCTACAAAAGCCACTGTGCCATTGACAGAATGAAGGGAAATGGAACCACAAGAGTCATGTTGGGAAAGGACAGTACAATGTAGCATTGCCTCTGCTGCATTCGAGGTGATTCCACACAGCCATGCGAGAACTGGCAGCTGCAACAGGAGACTGCATAGGTGAGGAGAGAAGTAGAAACTGGGAGTTTCAGACCCACCCTTACAATCCCTACAGAAATAAGAGTTCAAGGGAGGTAAGAGAGAGGTTGAGCAGTCAGAAGTAGGGCCTGGGAGAAGAGCAGGGGCCATGGATGCTAGAAAACAAAACTGGGGAGTCAGTCATGAGATGCAGCAGTATATCCCTCTACAAACGATGAAAATGCTCTTACTGCAATTCTCCCCAGTATCTGACCACTCTAGCTAACTATAACTTAAACCTCTTTCTTTTGGTCTTATCATGTAACTGCCCTTCTAATAATGAACCTGAATAGAGACAATTCCAGGAGGAAAAATATTGAGCCAGAGACACCACACCATCTGCAATCCAGTTCCCCATCTCCTTCAACACTTTTATGTAAGAATGAACTAGTTTAAGTCCAGACACGGTGGCTCACGCCTGTAATCCCAGCACTTTGGGAGGCCAAGGTGGGAGGATCACCTGAGGTCAGGAGTTTGAGGCCATCCTGGCTAACACGGTGAAACCCCATCTCTACTAAAAATACAAAAATTAGCCAGGCGTGGTGGTGGGTGCCTGTAATCCCAGCTACTCAGGAGGCTGAGGCAGGAGAATCACTTGAACCCAAGAGGTTGCAGTAAACAGAGATCATGCCATTGCCCTCCAGTCTGGGTGACAAGAGTGAAACTCCGTCTCAAAAAAAAAATAAACTACTTTAAATGTATATCAGGCAGGCTAGAAAGAAAACAGAAGATAGCGCCACAGAGGAGCCTGCAAGGTCTAGGTTAAAGGACCCCAGAGAAAGCCATCTCAGATGGTATTGCTAAACAGAAATCTTAGACATATTGGTGACAGACTGCATCTTTCTGAGTCGGGTTTCTGTGCATGAGGTGGTATGTGTGTGTGGGTGGTGCAAGAAATGGGAGACAAGGAAAGCTGGAGAACTCCAAGCCATTCAAAACTCAAAAGCAAATCCCATAATTTGTTCATCTCTATAGATTTCAATTAGAGCTACGGTCTCAACTCTTGTTGGGTACTGTACTGGAAAGGAGGGGTGCTTCATGGAACAAGTACAGTCATATGTCCCTTAATGATGGGAATACATTCTGAGAAATGCCTTTTAGGTGATTTTGTCATTGTGTGAACATCATAGAGTGTACTTACACAAACTTAGATGACACAGCCTGTTGCACGCCTAGGCTATCTTGTATCACTATTGCTCTGACCACCACCGTATATGAGGGTCGTCGTTGACTGAAATGTGGTTATGTGGCACATGACTGTATATGCATTAGTTGTATTATTACTTTAACAAATTACCACAAATTTAGTGGCTCAAAACAACACAACTTTATTATCTTACGGTTCTGTAAGTCAGAGGTCTGATGTGGGACTCACCGGGCTAAAATTAAGGTGTTGCCAGGGATGAATGTCTTTTGGAGGCTCTAGAGGAGAATCCATTTCCCCGCTTTTTCCAATTCCTAGAGGCCACCCACAGTCCTTAACTTGTGGCTCCCCTTCTCCATCTTCAAAGCCAACAATGTAGCATCTCTTTGACCCTGTTTGCATTGTCATACCTCTCTCTCTGAACTTCTGTTTCCCTCTTTCATTTTTAACGATCCTTGTAATTACATTGGGCCCACCCAAATTATCTAGGATAATCTCCCTATTTTAAGGTGGGTTGATTAGCAATCCTAAATCCATCTGCAACCTTAATTCCCCTTTGCCATGTAAGGTTACATATTCACAGTTTTCAGGGATTAGGATGTAGAATTTTTGGGGACACCATTATTCTGTTTGCTGCAAGGTGCTTCCATGTACATTGACCTGTCATAAACACAATTAATTGGTGGCACAATTCATTTTCCTCATAGATAAATGTGTTCACCTTTTACTTCTGTGTGTTTTATTAAGACTGACCAGAGAAGTCTCCTTGAAAGCAACAATTATCCTGGAGAGTTCATGCAGAGTTCTATTACAATACCTTTGCTCTCAAGAAGAATTTCCCCAAATTTAAGAGTCAGGACTGCCCAGCTAACCTCTCCTTCATTGCTGCTAAGTCTTATACCAACCATAGTGTTCTCTTTTCTTTGATATGTCTAAGTTAATATATAAATTATGAACTTCTATTGCCACATTACAGGTTTAGAAGTAGCATGTTCCCATTTTACATGATTCCTTTTCTAGCAGGCAGTTACTGGTTTACGGCAATTTTTATGTATCTTCTTTCCAACAGATATTTACTTAGAGCTTCCCACGTGTTAGGCTTTGGGGGCAATACAGAGCAAGGGCAGCATGTCCCTGCTCTCAGAGATTATACTCTAGTGGGCATTCAGGGACAGTCACAAATGCTCTGTGGAGGGAAGTGCAGAGTACACCCTGGAGTGGAAGAAGGGTCTAACCCAGAGACGGAGACAGTAAGGGAGGTTCCCAGGAAGATGTGACATCTCAGCAACAACCCTGTAGAACAAGTTGCTCAGGTGAGGGGCATCCTGAGGAACAGCATTTCAGCAAACAGAAATCACTCCAGGAGGGCAGGGATTTTGTCTATTTTGGTTATAGCTTTATCCCTTTTGCTAAAAACAATTCTGCGGACACATTAGGCACTCAATAAAATATGTGGAACAGATGACTATGCAAAGGTGGAAGATAGGAACAAGTGTGGCTACATTTGAGGAAATGAAAGCTCAGTGTGTTAAGAGGGCAGTGGTGAGAGGTGAAATTTAAAAGGTTGAGGCCGGGCACGGTGGCTCATGCCTGTAATCCCAGCGCTTTGGGAGGCCGAGGCGGGCGGATCACGAGATCGGGAGATCGAGACCATCCTGGCTAACACGGTGAAACCCCGTCTCTACTAAAAATACAAAAAAAAAAAATTAGCTGGGCATGGCGGCGGGCGCCTGTAGTCCCAGCTGCTGGGGAGGCTGAGGCAGGAGAATGGCGTGAACCCGGGAGGCAGAGCTTGCAGTGAGCCGAGATCGCGCCACTGCACTCCAGCCTGGGCGACAGAGCGAGACTCCGTCTCAAAAAAAAAAGAAAGAAATTTAAAAGGTCAAGATGGGACTCATGAGATTGTTAAGCCCTTCGTGCTTTGTATCAGGAGCAATAGGGTTTTTTAATTATTGGGAGTTTTTTATTTTAATAGACTGTTTTATAAGAGTGATTTTAGGTTCGCTGCAAAATTAACAGGAAATACAGAGATTTCCCATATACTTTCTGCCCCTTCCCCAACCTACCTCTTTGTCAACATCCCCGACTAGAGTAGTACATTTGTTACAATGGATGAATTTATCAGGACAAACCATTCTTGCTCAAAGTTCATAGCTTCCATTAGAGTTTGCTCTTGCTCTTGTGCATTTTACGGGTTTGGATGAAAATGACATGTTTATTAGTCCGTTTTCATACGGCTATAAAGAACTGCCCAACACTGGGTAATTTATCAAAGAAAGAGGTTTAATTGACTCATAGTTCAGCATGGCTGGGGAGGCCTCAGGAAACTTACAATCACAGTGGGAGGTGACAGGGAAGCAAGGTGCCCTCTTCACAAGACAACAGGAAGGAGGAGGGCTGAGCAAAGGGGGAAGAGCTCCTCATAAAACCATCAGATCTTGTGAGAACTCATTCACTATCACAAGAACAGCATGTGGGAAACTGCCCCCATGATTCAACTACCTCCACCTGGTCTCTCCCTTCACACATGGGGGTTATGGGGATTATGAGGGTCACAATTCAAGATGAGATTTGGGTGGGGACACAATATCAACATGTATCCACTATTACAGTATCATACAGAGTAGTTTTACTGCCCTGAAAATCCTCTGTGCTCTGGCTATTTATCCCTCCTTCTTCCAATCCCTGGCAACCACTGATCTTTTTACTGTCTCCATAGTTTTGCCTTTTCCAGAATGCCATATAATCGAACTCATACAGTTTGTAGCCTTTCCAAATTGGTTCTTTCACTTAGTAATAACAATTTACATTTTCTCCATGCCTTTTCATGACTTGGTATCAAGCTCATTTTTTCTTAGTTCTGAATAATATTTCATTGTCAGGATGTGCCACAGTTTATGCATTCACCTACTGAAGGACATCCTGGTTGTTTTCAAGTTTTGACAATTATGAATAAAGCTGCTATAAACATCCATGTGTAGGTTTTCCTGTGGACATACATTTTCAACGCCTTTGGATAAATACCAAATAATGCAATTGCTGGGTCACGCACATGGTAGGAATATGTTTAGTTCTGTAAGAAACCACAAATGCCAGGTACAGTGGCACATGCCTATAATTCCAGCACTTTGGAAGGCCGAGGCAGGTGGATCCCTTGAGCTCAGGAGTTCAAGATCAGCTTTGGCAACATGGCAAAAGCCCATCTCCACAAAAAAATACAAAAATTAGCTAGGCATGGTGGCACACGCCTGTAGTCCTAGCTACTCAGGAGGCTGAGGTGGGAGGATTTCTTGAGCCCAGCAGTTCAAGACTGCAGTGGGCCAAAATCACGCTACTGCACTCCAGCCTGGACAACACAGTGAGACCCTGTCTCAACAACGAAAACAAAAAACTAAAAGAAAATCACCAAGATGTCTTCCAAGTGGCTACACCATTTTGCATTCTCACCAACAATGAATGAGATTGCATCCTCACCAGCACTTTGTGTTATCAGTGATCTAGAGTTTGACCATTCTAATAGGTGTGTAATAGTATTTCATTGTTGTCTTATTTTGCATTTCCTGATGACATATGACATATAGCATCTTGCATATGGTTATTTGCCATCTGTATTCAGCATCTTTTTAGGTGAGGCATTCATCAAGGTCTTTGGCTCATTTTTAAAATTGGGTTGTTTATGTTCTTATTGTTGAGTTTAAAGATCTTTTCTTATATTTTGAATAACAGTCCTTTATCTGATATGTCTTTGGTAAATATTCTCTCTTAGAATGTGGCTTATCTTTTCTTTCTCTTATCGGTGTCTTTTACAAAATGGAAAATTTTGATTTTAATGAAGTCCAGCTTATCAATTCTTTCTTTGATGGATCATGCCTTTGGTGTTGCATCTAAACAGTTATCATCATATGATGTTAGCTGTGGGCTTGTTAAAAAAAAGTTATCATCAAACCCAAAGTCATCTAGATTTTCTCCTATGTTTTCTTCTAGGAGTTATACAGTTCTGCATTTTACATTTAGGACTCTGTTCTATATTGAGTTCATTTTTGTGAAGAATGCAAGGTTTGGGTCAGACTAATATTTTTGCATGTGGATATCCAATTGTTCCAGCACCATTTGTTGAAAGATAATCTTTTCTCCTTTGTTTTGGCTTTACTCCTTTGTCAAAGACCGGTTGACTATTTATGTGGGTCTATTTCTAGGCACTCTGTTTTATTATTTATCTATTTGTTTATTCTTTCACTAATACTACACTGTTTTAATTACTGTAGCTTTATAGTAAGTCTTGATGTCGGGTAGTGTCAGTCTTCTGACTTTGTTCATCTTCAATATTGTTTTCGCTGTTCTGGGTCTTTTGTCTCTCCATATAAACTTTAGATTCGGTTTGTTGATATCCACAAAATAACTTGCTGGGATTTTGATTGGCATAGTGTTGAATCTATAGATCAAGTTGGGAAGAACTGACACCTTGACAATATTGAGTCTTCCAATCTATAAACACAGAATATCTCTCCATTTATTTAGTTCTTTGATTTCTTTCATCAGAGTTTTGTAATTTTCCTCATATAGATTTTATACATATATTGTTAGATCTATACCTAAGCATTTGATTTGATGGGATGCTAATGTGAATAGTATTGTTTGTTTGTTTGTTTGTTTTTGTGACGGAGTCTCTCTCTGTTGCCCAGGCTGGAGTGCAGTGGTGCGATCTCGGCTCACTGCAAGCTCCACCTCCTGGGTTCAGGCCATTCTCCCGCCTCAGCCTCCTGAGTAGCTGGGACTACAGGCGTCTGCAACCACACGCAGCTAATTTTTTGTATTTTTAGTAGAGACGGGGTTTCACCGTGTTAGCCAGGACAGTCTCGATCTCCTGACCTCGTGATCCGCCCGCCTCAGCCTCCCAAAGTGCTGGGATTATAGGCGTGAGCCACCGCGCCTGGGCAGTATCGTGTTTTTATTTTCAGCTTCTATTTGTTCATTGCTGACATACAGGAAAGCAATTGGCTTTTGTGTATTAACCTTGCATTCTGCAATGCCACTATACTCACTTATTAATTCCAGGAGGATTTTTTGTGGCTTCTTTCAGATTTTCTACATAGACAATCATGTCATCTGCAAACAAAGTTTTCTTTCTTTCTTCCCAGTCTGTATACTTATTTCTTTTTCTTGTCTTAGCTAGGACTAAGGCTAAGTCTTAGGATTAGCTCAGACTTCCAGTGTGATGTTGAAAAGCAGTGATAAGAAGAGACATTCTTGCCTTGCTCTTGTTCCCAATCTCAGTGGAAAAGTTGCACTTTTTCACTGTTAAGTGTGATATTGGGCTCTACAGGATTTTTTTAAAAAATAGAGATAGAGTCTCACCATGTTGCCCAGGCTGGTCTCGAACTCCTACACTCAAGCAATCCTCCTGCCTTGGCCTTCCAAAGTGCTGCAATTACAGGCATAAGCCACCACACCCGGTCTCTAGGAGATTTTTTGTAGATATTGCTTATCAAGTTAAGGACGTTCTCCTATATTGAGAGATTTTAAGAAGCAGAGTGAATTAAGCAGATTCACATTTTAGAAATCATTCTGGCTACAGGCTCACGCCTATAATCCCAGCACTTTGGGAGTCTGAGGTGGGAGGACTACTTGAGGCCAGGAGTTTGAGACCAGCCTGGGCAACGTAAACAGACTCTGTCTCTACAAAAATTTTTTTAAAAATTAACCAGGCGTAGTGGTGCATGCCTGTAGCCCTAGCTACTTGGGAGGCTGAGACAGGAGGATCATTTAAGACCAGGAGTTCGAGGTTACAGTGTTATGTTCGTACCAATGTAGGCGGCCTGGGTGACAGAGCAAAACCCTGTCTCTAAAAAAAAAAAAAAAAGAAAGAAAAGAAAAAGAAAAAGCAAGTGTTGGGGTGAAGAAATTAGAACCTCATATACATTGCTGGCAGAAATGTAAGATGCTGCAACTGTTATGAAAACAGTTTGGCAGTTTCTCGAAAAGTTAACCATAGAATTACCATGTGACCCAGTAATTCCACTCTTAGGTGTATACCAAGAAAATTGAAAATAGGGATTCAAACAGATACTTGTACATCAGTGTTCACTACAGCATTATTCACAATAACTAAAAGATGGAAACAACCCAAATGTCTATTAATGGATGAATGAGTAAACGAATTGTGGTATATATATACATAGAATGGAATACTATTCAATCATAAACAGATATGAAGCTCTGATACATCCTACAACATGGATGCACCTTGAATACATTATGTTACTTGAGAGAAGACACAAAAGGACAAATATTGTATGATTCCACTTTTATGACATGAAGTATCTATAATAGGCAAATTCCTAGAGACAGAAATAAGATTAGAGGTTTCTTAGGATTGAGGGGAGAGGAAAATGGGAAGTTGTTGCTTAATGGGTACAGAATTTTTATTTGGGGGTACTAAAAAGCTTTTGGAAAAATATACTGGCGTATTCCACAACATTGTATCATGGAATTGTCACTTGAAAATGGCTAAAAATAGCAAATTTTAACACACATATTACAACAATAAAAAATAAAAAAGTAAAGGTTTGTCAGGCATTTAATAATTAATACCTTTCATTGTTTTTGTCTGGAAAGAGTGTGTGCAAAGATACTTAACAACCAAATGTAATGTGTGATCCTTGATCGGCTCTTGCATTTTTTTTTTTTTTTTTTGAGACGGAGTCTCACTCTGTCGCCCAAGCTGCTGGAATGCAGTGGCGCGATTGGCTCTTGCTTTCTAAATAAAATGCCTATAAGATATTCTTAGGACAAGTGGGGGAAATTAAATCGGGAAGAGAATTATTATGAAATTAATGATCTTAGGTATAATAATTGTACTGCGGTTATGTAGCAGAACATCTATTCTTAGGAGATACATGCTGCAATGTTAAAGGGTTAAGTGTTACAATGTCTGCAATGTTAAAGGGTTAAGTGTTACAATGTCTGTAACTTACTTGCAAATGGTGACCCCAAAAAGGTGTGTGTGTGTGTGTGTGTGTGTGTGTGTGTGTGTGTGTGTGTGTGTGTGTGTGTGTGTGTCTGTGTACGCGCTTTGGAAGGCTACAATTGCGAGAAGCGCAGGTCTCCGCCACCGAAGCTTTAGACTCATAAGCCGGGTCAGGCCAAATTCCGCTGTGCGTAGGGGAACAAACGGCACAAACGGGGCACAAAAGGGGAACAAACGGCATACGCAACCGTCCCCGCGGGAGCCCCGGCCCAGCTCAGCGCACCCGCCAGCATGCCCCACCCTGATTGGTCCACTTGCTCAGCTCGCCGGCACCCCTATATCCAATTGGCGTAGCGCTTGCTGAGCGGCGGCGGCAACCGACGTACACAAGGGGCTTGAGCGTTCTGTGGAGAGAGTGCGAGGTCAGGCCATGAACTTGGGGTAAGCAGGGGTAAGCTGGGGTAAGCTGGGGTAAGCAAGGTGGTCGTCAGCGGAGAGGGAGGCATGTGTGTCTGGGTTGTCCCTTGGAGTCTTTACTGGAGAACGTTCCCAACCTGCGCCGCCGAGAGGGGCAGAGCCCAGTTCTCGGGTAGAAGATCGAGGCAGATGGGTCGGCCCTTAGCGACTCCACAGACCTTACGTTTTCACTTAATGACTAGCATTAAAACTGCCAGTGATCCCCTTTCGGTCCCTTATTTACCTCAGGATGAGGAGGGAAGAGAGGTGAGGAGGAAAGGAGAGAAATGACGAGACAGTTAGAGGAAGCGTGGCGGCTCCTGGGGAGGACTCCTGGCCCATGCCCCGGGTTCTTCGCCACCTTGTTTTTGGAGTCTTGCAGAATGTTGAAACGCCCAAATTCGTTTTAGGCCCACGAGGCGGGGAACCAGGCTTCTCAAGAAATCGATGTAGTACCAGTGCCTAACACCTAGTAGGCGCTCCTTAAGTAGGGGTGAATAAATAAAAAGGGCTGGTGCATGGTCTTCATCACTCGCAAGTTTGATATTTTGAGAAGATGAGAAGCCACCAAACTCAGACCTAACTACACATCGTTCAGCAAATGTTATTATGTTTTAGAATCTGGGGATATGGAAATAAATAAGATAGTGTGTCCCTTAAGGAGATTACAGTGCAGTGCGTCATTGAAGGTACTTTACCATTGAAGCTCTTTTCTTTCTTGGTGACGTTTCACCAACATAAACACGAACTGTTCATAACCCTACAATAAGGAAAGCCGTAAAACCTATTCTTTCCAGTGTTTTACCTTTAATAGTTAAGGTGAGGTAATTTGATTTCCCCTACCTGAGCAACACCGCAAATTTCGCATTCCTAATCAGACCTTTCCCAGCCTCTCTCTCCCTTGACTGGCTTGCTGGATTTAATTTTCTCTCTCTGAATTATGGACTGTATGTATGGGCTGCCATTTTTGTTCTCAGTGGAGTTTTAGGACCTTAACAGACGTTCAAGTTTTGTTGGCAGTGGCTACTGTTACTTTATGCCTTTGCTTCTGATATGCACGTATAAAGCACCATACTAAATATCACTATGTATTATTTGAAATATTGAAAGTGGTACTCTTTGCTCAAGCAGTTACTAACCTTGATGGCATTGTTAGTAGTCATATCGATGCTCCAGCACTCCATAGAATGTTTTAGTCATGAGTTCATTATGAAACTAATGAATGGCGGTTAAATATATCTTGTTCCTTTAACTTATGTGAGGAGTTTTGGTAACAGCATTATTAAAAAATGGTGGTATGATAACTTAATTTATAGTTTACCAATAACAAAATGAGATTTCAGGTTAATGATAACAATGCTTGTAGTATTGAAGAGTTTCAAGAATTTTCCCCCTGTAGTTGTGGGTTTTATCTTGGATTGCAAACGTTTTTAATTAAAACACTGGTTCGATGTGTACAAGATTCCTGCATAAATTCAAAATAATGGATTTATTGTCAGGTTCAAATGAACATTTCTGGTTATTTAAAATGTTGCGGTTTGTTAAAAATGAGAGACAACTTTCTTTTTTTATTACAGAGATGGTTTAAAGCTTGAAACTGAATTACTGGATGGAAAAACCAAGCTAATATTGTCTCCATATGGTATGTTGTGTTACAGAAATCTGAAATGTTAACTTTTAAATTCATACATAAAATTTATATTAGTTCAACAGACTTTTTGCTTGTAATAGAGTGATATTTAAATGATATTTTAGAAAAAGCTGTTTCCTCAAACTTCTGCAGATTTCCTTCTAGCCAAATAAAATCAGATTACAACACTGCTTACTACTGTCAGTATTCAGACTCATAACATTTAATGTTCCAGTATATTGCGTGTTCATTATATCCATATAGCAAATATCCTCATTGCCTGATGAATAATACAAGTAAAATTTATGTAATTATGTTCTTTGCATGTAAAGAATGTATCATTTGAGAAAAGTTTATAGTAAGACCACCGTAAAATGCTAAAGTCACTTTTAGTATTCGTTTTTAAACTCAGTGTACTTTGGTACCTTCTCCTTCGCATTTTTTTTTCTGTTTATAGTTTTACCTTGGAAAGATAAAAAACAAAAATAAAATAGAAGTAAATCCTTGAACTGGATTAGAAAAAAATACTCAGTCAAGATCTAAAGTTTATGCTTTCGAGGATAATGTTGCTAGCTTAAAATCTTATAACAATATTAATTACAGTTTTCTTGCATTACCACCTTAGTATGCTTTTGGTGGATAGTTTAGTAATTTCTTTTTTCTTTTGTAGAACATAAATCAAAAATTTCTGTGAAGGTAAGCCGTATAACTTTGACCTGACCTGTTTTCAAATGTAAAATGCAGTTTTATTTATAGTGGTTAGAAAATAATTCCTGGGAAATGTCAAGTGTTCTAAGGGGTTTGGAATTATAGTGAGGAGTTATTATTTTCTTGCTTTCAGATTGGTCCTTTCACAGAAATTGAATCATTTTAGGTTTAGCCCAATAGAACCTCTTTCTCTAGATAAGTGCTATTCAGTAAAGCATCTGTGTTAATGGAAGTGTTCATTAATAAAATCAGTATTATTGAATATGGAAGCCACTAGTCATGTATAGTTATTGAACCCTTAAAATGTAACTAGTATGACTGAGCAACTGAATTTCTAATTTCCTTTAATTTTTAATGGAATTTAATGGATAATGGATTGTACTGGACAATGCACTCCAGAGATCTTTAAAAATAGATATTCAGACTTTAAACAGAAATGTTTTTTCTTTTCATACTCAAATTCCATTTGCCCACACCAAAGGGGAAATTTAATTCACAAATTGTAGCATGCATTTAGCATTTTCCTTTAAAAGGTTGCACTTGAGCTTAAGGGTAATTTTCCTTTTAAATTATTTTCCCTTATCAGAAATCTATTGTGCTTTTTTCTACAAAATACATTATCACTTTGTTTATTTTAATTTTTGAGGCAGAGTCTCACTCTTGTCACCCAGGTTGGAGTGTAGTGGCATAATCATGGCTGCAGATCTTCCTCCTCCAGCCTCCTGAGTAGCTGGGACCGTGTGCATGAGCCACCATGCCCAGCTAATTTTTTTTATTTTTAGTAGAGATGGGATCTCACTATGTTGCATAGGCTGGAATTACCATTTAAAAAATTTTTTTGAGGTTGGGCATGGTGGCTCATGCCTGTAATCCCAGCACTTTGGGAGGCCAAGGTGGGTGGATCACCTGAGGTCAGGAGTTCAAGGCCAGCCTGGCCAACATGGTGAAACCCCATCTTTATGAAAAATACAAAAATTAGATGTGGTGGCGCTAGTCCCAGCTACTTAGGAGGCTGAGGCAGAAGAATCACTTGAACCCTGGAGATGGAGGTTGTAGTGAGCCGAGATCGCACCACTGCACTCCAGCCTGGGGGACAGAGCGAAATTCCTTCTCAAAAAACAAAAGCAAAAAAAGCCAACTGTTTTGATACTTCTACTCTTCTTGCTACCTATTTCTTTTTTAATTTTTAGATTAATATCAGTAGGAATTTCTCTTCTCTTCCATAACTTACTACAGCCCCCTTTTATCTTTGCAGTGTCTTAAAGTCTTTGCTTGTCTGTGGATAGAACCCAGTTTGGATGATGTACCACTTTATCCTTCAACTCTAAGCCCTTGATGGCTTTACTTGCAGGTTTAATTAAGGTGAAGAAGTTGCTGGAGTACCCGAAATATCACTCAATAAATAGGTGAAGATGATCAGAACAATTCCACAAACTACATATAAAAATTGTTTCTCTTTCTCTATCATATAGTTATATACCATGTATGCTCCCCAATCACAGACTACAGATTGTATGTTATTCCTACCCCTTTCCCTATTAAAAATTGCAACTAACTGCTGTTATTTGAAACACATTCACAAATACAGTGGCCTTTATCAAGTTCCTAGATGAAAAGCTGTTTGTAATGGTTGATTTTTATCTTCTCCAGGCTGATTTGTTATAGAAGCCACATTTGTGAAGACATTTTATTGTCATTTTAACCAACTCAGAACATCTGAAGATCCCCTTTATAGGCCTATAATAAACAGAATTACTGGTCTTGGATTTTTGGTAGGCCTATAATAAAGTTACTAGTCTTGGACTTTTGATTACTAGACTTTTAATCATAAAATTCTATCAGCTATCTAAAGGTGTTTTAGAATTTTTTTTTTAAGAGTAACTACTGTGTTCTCAACTGATGTTGAGCCTAAATTGTTTACTGCCTTAAAGCAAATTGTTTGGGTTTATCCCCATTGCATTTGGGACTTCAAAATACTGATGCAACCTAAGTTTCCCTTCTGTATTGATTGTTTTCAAGAAGTTTCTCTTCCCATATTGATAGAGGTTACAGAGATCCTCCTCATTTCTTTTTTGCTCTTCACAGACTATAAACACCAAAATCAGTAGTATTTTCTTCCTTTTTTGTTTTGTTTTTTAGTTTCCCAAATTTCACAGTTCTGCCACTAGATGTTGAATTCTCTTTTCTGCAAGTTATTCATGAATTATCTCTGCATAGTGCTTTTCTTTATTCCTTCTAATGGGGTAAGCTCCTGAGTTACTACAACACCTACAGGTCTCTTTTTTTTTCCCCCATTTCCCACTGGTTGAATTATTGTAATCTCCATAGTTTGTTCTTTAAACACAGCTGAACTCTATCTCATTATCATCAAGTTTAACATATATGTGGTCAAAGTGCTTTCCTAATTCTATCAAAATCTGTGCATTTTTCTTTTCTTTTTTTTTTTCTTTTTTGAGGCAGGCTCTCTCTCTTTGTCCAGGCTGGAGTGCAGTGGGACAATTATGGCTCACTGCAGCCTCGACCTCCTGGGCTCAAGGGATCCTCCTGCCTCAGCCTCCCAAGTAGCTAGGACTACAGGCGCGTGCCCACACCACCAGGCTCAGTTAATTGTTTAAAATTTTTTGTACAGACGGGAGTCTTCCTGTGTTGCCCAGGCTTGTCTCAAACTCCTGGGCTCAAGCGATCCTTCCGCCTCAGCCTCCCAGAGTGCTAGGATTATAGGTGTGAGCCACTGTGCCCAGCCTCTCCTACATTTTTATTTTTCTTCAATCTGTGGTAATGAAGTAAACTTGGTTACTTTCCTAATTTCTTAGGTTTATAGGAAGAGAAATGGGAAAATACAGATAATACAGTATCATAAGTAATTTATTAAAATAATGGATTCTAAAACTCTTACACTTAAAATAGTCTCAAAGATTAGTTGAACTATAAAACAATAAAAAAATTTTTATGAGTACCTCTGCACGTGAGAATCAGTGACATACTAAAAGGTATTTGTAATATTAGTGCTAGGTAGCACATTTTATATATATATATTTTGTTTGTTTTAGAGATGAAGTTTCGTTGTTGTTGCCCAGGCTGGAGTGCAGTGGCACGATCTCGGTTCACTGCAACCTCTGCCTTCTGGGTTCAAGCGATTCTCTTGCCTCAGCCCCTCGAGTAGCTGGGATTACAGGAGCCCACCACCACGCCCAGCTAATTTTTTGTATTTTTTTTTTTTAGTAGAGATGGTGTTTTACCTTGTTGGCCAGGCTGGCCTTGAACTCCTGACCTCAGGCAATCCACCCACCTCGGCCTCCCAAAGTGCTGGGATTACAGGCATGAGCCATTGCACCCTGGCCCACATTTTATATTTAAAAATGTTACTTTTCTCTGATTTGTTCTGGCCTTGGGATCCTGGCCCCATATAAATTGTGAAGTGAGCTGATATTAAACAAATCCATTGAACATTGTCTTTATAATAATAAAAAATGGCTGGGCTTGGTGGCTCACGCCTGTAATCCCAGCTCTTTGGGAGGCCAAGGCAGGTGGATCACCTGAGGTCAGGAGTTCGAGACCAGCCCGGCTAACATGGTGAAACCCCGTCCCTACTAAAAATACAAAAACTAGCCAGGCTTGGTGGTGGGCACCTGTAATCCCAGCTACTCAGGTGGCTGAGGCAGGAGAATTGCTTCAACCGGGGAGGTGGAGGTTGCAGTGAGCTGAGATCGTGCTGTTGCACTCCAGCCTGGGCAACAGAGTGAA
Source organism: Homo sapiens (assembly GCF_000001405.40). Taxonomy (NCBI): domain Eukaryota; kingdom Metazoa; phylum Chordata; class Mammalia; order Primates; family Hominidae; genus Homo; species Homo sapiens. The sequence continues at coordinate 56,563,351 of NC_000003.12, forward strand.
ATGCTGTGTCAAAAAAAAGTAGTTAAAAAAATTTTTTTAATTGAAAAAAAAAAAAAAGAGATAATGTAGGTGGTATAATCTAATGACATAAGATTCAAAGCTGGAGTATAGTGGAGATGTCCTATAACAACTATAATAAAAGTTCCTGAAGTAAGATAATTTCTAGTTGTTGATGAAGATTTGCAAGTATTAAGAGTTAGTTTCTTATGGTTATATTACCTAAATAGCAAAATGGAAAAAAGTTTAGAGGACTGATTTATCACAGATCATATAAAGATAATTGGTGATTTTTCTTGGACAGTTATAAAGAATAAGCTTCTGGTGTTTTAACAGATGGGAAATAAGGCCAAGATTGCAAAATGTCCTTTAAGAACAAAAACTGGGCACATTCTAAAATCAACACAAGATACTTGTATTGGGAGTGAAAAACTTTTGCAAAAGAAGCCAGTTGGTTCAGAAACATCACAGGCAAAAGGTGAAAAAAATGGAATGACTTTTTCATCCACTAAGGATTTATGTAAACAATGTATAGATAAAGACTGTCTTCATATCCAGAAAGAGATTTCACCTGCAACCCCTAATATGCAGAAGACTAGAAACACCGTAAATACATCTCTAGTAGGTAAACAGAAGCCTCACAAAAAACACATCACAGCTGAAAACATGAAGAGCAGTTTGGTGTGTCTAACACAAGACCAACTACAACAGATTTTGATGACTGTAAACCAAGGAAATAGATCTCTTTCCCTGACTGAGAATGGAAAGGAGGCAAAAAGTAAGATTTTTCTAAAGTTTTCATGAATTTTGATTTTTTCAATATGTGTTTTAGAATATCAGATTCATTGGGTTTTATGTAACTGTGACTCTTAAACTCTAATTTAACCTGTCAATCTATTAAAATAATTGTTCTTTTAGAGGACTTTCTCTAATATGCAAAATTATTTTTATAGTTGTGCCATATTTTAAGGTTAGTGTTCAGAATATTAAGAAACCTAGTTTCTGTGGATTTTAGAAAAAATGTTAGTACAAAAAACTATTATTATACTTATTTTAGAATATAGGAGGCTTTACTCATATTTAAAATAGTTATATGAAACATTGTTTAAAAACAAATTACGGTATTTCCAGTGAAAATTAAGGAAACCTTACTATGACTATTTGACTTGAGTTACTGAAAAACATTGCTTTCCTGGCCACAGCATTTACTCTTCCTGTTCCTCATTCCATGCTAAGAAATGGCAGTACTTTTTTTAAAAAACAAGGTTAACACAGATTTGGAAGGAACAGTAGAGTGTTACATGCTTTGTCTTTCACAAGTCCTGGCATTGTATTGTGTTTTTAAAAGCCTTCTAATTTCCACTTTGGGATAAGGAATTGCGAATATGAAGACAATAGAAATATCTAAAATTTTATTAGGCAATAGTGAAATAAATAAAAAATTAACAGTTCACATGGAGAGGCCCCACAAATGGTTTGGGGACCCATTAACTCCTGAATATTCCCGTGATACTCAAGATGGAATTATTTACTCTCTTGTTATAGATTATTCTTGGTAAAATGAGGGAGCTGGATTTTGTCTTTAAGGCTAAAATTCTAGCAACAACCTGCTTATTAGGCATAACGAGAAATCATATCAACAAAGTTAAAAGCAGAATTTGCCTAATCACGTAGACTTTCATGATTTCTTTCTCTTCACTGGGAGAACTAGCACATTCAAAAGAAATCAGAACATTTTTTGAGCCATCCTGTGAGCCCTCTAAAACATCTGATTTTGATATTATAGCTGGGCATAGAGACAATTCATGAAAAGGTTTTCCACTGATTTCACAGCTAAATAAGAAAAATAACGTCAAGGTAATGAGTATTTATCAAGATATTTGTATTCCCCTTTAGGTTGTGATTTGTGTTATAATTTTTATTTTATTTATTTATTTATTTTTTGAGATGGGGTCTCGCTTTGTCACCCAGGCTGGAGTGCAGTGGCACGATCTTGGCTCACTGCAAGCTCTGCCTCCCGGGTTCACACCATTCTCCTGCCTCAGCCTCCCGAGTAGCTGGGACTACAGGCGCATGCCACCACACCCGGCTAACTTTTTTTTTTTTTTCTTTTTTTTGTATTTTTAGTAGAGACGGGGTTTCACCGTGTTAGCCAGGATGATCTCAGTCTCCTGACCTCATGATCCGCCTGCCTCAGCCTCCTAAAGTGCTGGGATTACAGGCATGAGCCACCACACCCAGCCATATAATTTTTATTTTTATTTTTTATTTATTATTATTATTTTTTTAGATGGAGTCTCGCTCCGTTGCCCAGGCTGGAGTCTCGCTGCGTCGCCCAGGCTGGAGTCTCGCTGCATCGCCCAGGCTGGAGTGCAGTGGTGCGATCTCGGCTCACTGCAAGCTCCGCCTCCCAGGTTCACGCCATTCTCCTGCCTCAGCCTCCCAAGTACCTGGGACTACAGGCGCCCGCCACCACGCCCGGCTAATGTTTTGTATTTTTAGTAGAGACGGGGTTTCACCGTGTTCGCCAGGATGGTCTCGATCTCCTGACCTCGTGATCCGCCCACCTTGGCCTCCCAAAGTGCTGGGATTACAGGCGTGAGCCACCGTGCCTGGCCAGTTTTTATTTTTAAAAGCATGCTGGCAAGAGGAAATGGAGATTTGTTTTCTGTTGTTGCTCGCTTGTTTTCCTTATTTGATATAAGAAATTGTATGGCTATGGTCATGAGCAAGCCATTTAACCTCTGGGCTTCAGTTTCCTTTGTTTTGTTTTGTTTTGTTTTGTTTTGTTTTTTTGAGACGACATCTGGCCCAGACTGGAGTGCAGAGTGCAGTGGCACAATCTCAGCTCACTGAAACCTCCACCTCTTGGGCTCAACCCATCCTCCCACCTCAGTGTCCCAAATAGCTAGGACTACAGGCACGTGCCACCACACCTACCTAATTTTTGTAATTTTTGTAGAGACGAGGTTTTGTCATGTTGCCCAGGCTGATCTCGAACTCCTGAGCTTAAGCAATCTGCCCACGTCAGCCTTCCAAAGTTCTGGGACTACAGGTGTGAGCCACCACTCCCTGCTTCCTTTTTTTCTTTTTGACAGGAAGGGAAACTTAATGGCTACCTCAAGGATTGTTTTGAGAGTTAATTTAAGTAACGTGTAAGACATGTAAGAACTGTATAGCACTATGCCAAGTATTATAACAGATGTAATTTAGTGTTAATTTTAAAACATGTATTTTACCTCCTAGGTCAATATAGTCTATATTTAAACAGTATTTCTAATCAGCCAAAGGATGAGAACATTATGGGATTATTCAAAAAAACTGAAATGGTTTCATCTGTCCCAGCTGAAAATAAATCTGTCTTAAATGAACATCAGGAGACATCTAAACAGTGTGAGCAAAAAATTGCCATGTATGTAACTCCTATCTGTTGTTATTGTGTGGTCATCTTCAGAATATGGTTTTGCTTTTCCTTTACTTGCATGTGAAATAGTTACTCTGAATACTTAGAGCTATTTAAAAGCTTATTACTTAATATTTATGGAGTCAGTTGTGTAGAAATGTATGATACAGTTTCTGTTATCTTTTGTGTTTTACCTTAGAGAGAATGAATGGAAACCAGCTGATATATTCAGTACTCTGGGGGAAAGGGAATGTGATAGAAGTTCGTTGGAAGCAAAAAAAGCCCAGTGGAGGAAAGAGCTAGGTAGGTAACTTTTATACCTTTATTATAGTTTTATTGGCTTAAAGAATATGTATTGAAGCCGGGCACGGTGGCTCACACCTGTAATACCAGCACTTTGGGAAGCCGAGGTGGGTGGATCAGGAGGGCAAGAGATCAAGACCATCCTGGCCAACATGGTGAAATCCCATCTCTACTAAAAATATAAAAATTAGCTGGGCGTGGTGGTGCACGCCTGTAATCCCAGCTACTCGGGAGGCTGAGGCAGGAGAATTGCTTGAACCTGGGAGGCAGAGGTTGCAGTGAGCCAAGATCGTGCCACTGCACTCCAGCTGGGCTACCGAGCAAGACTCCATCTCAAATAAATAAATAAAAAAGAATATGTATTGAGGATGAAGTTTAGGGGCCAAGGGAAAACGTCCCCTTTGCCCTCTGGAGGTTTTCTGAAAGATCAACTGACAAAAGGCAAATTAATAAAAGGCATACAAATTTATTAACATGCATGGAAGTTTTACAAAATATAAAAACTAAAATAAATGGCCAGATGGCTGACACTTGTCCACCATGTTGAGGTTACAGAAACAATAGGGGTTGGAGCATGGCAAAACAGATTATGGGAGGGGGAGGAGAGGCAACCTGGCCAGTAAAAGTGTTTTTTTGTTTTGTTTTGTTTTGTTTTTTGAGATGGGGTCTCGCTGTGTTGCCCAGGCTGGAGTACAGTGGTGTGATCTCGGCTCACTGCAAGCTCCACCTCCCGGGTTCACGCCATTCTGCCTCAGCCTCCCCAGTAGCTGGGACTACAGGCACCCACTACCACGCCCGGCTAATTTTTTTGTATTTTTAGTAGAGACGGGGTTTCACTGTGTTAGCCAGGATGGTCTTGATCTCCTGACCTCATGATCCACCTGCCTCGGCCTCCCAAAGTGCTAGGATTACAGGCGTGAGCCACCACGCCCGGCCAAAAGTGGTTTTATTATGTACATGAGACCTCAAAGGTAGTAGCCTTCAGAGAACAGATGACAAATGTTTCCTTCAGACCTTTAAAGGTGTCAGACTCGGTTAATTTATCCTAGATCTGGACAGGGGAGAATCCTCAGAGAAAGCCTGGCTGCGTCATTGCAGATTTTCTCTACAGATGCAAATCTTCCCCACAAAAGACAGCTTTGCAAGGCTACTTCTGTTTGTAGGCCCTCTGAACAGCCATCTTGAAATGTGTCAAATTAATACATTTTGGGGTAAAACACTGTAGTTCCCTTTAAAGTATAGTTATCCCTCAGTATCCATGAGAGACTGGTTCAAGGATAGTCTTCCCACTTCAGGGTGCCAAAATGCACAGATGCTCATGTGGAATCCATGGATATGGAGGGCCTACTGTATATCTTTTAGTATGATATTATCAAAAGTCGTATTTTATAATATTTGACATCTAGAGTAGTTCTCTACAAATGCTTAAGAAACTTAGTGGTTTCATAATGCCTTAGGTCGTGTCTTTTTGTTACTCTGAAGTGTGCACCAAAAACATTAATGTCATCAGTACATTCTGCAGCCCTTGTAAGGTCAAAGATTTGTAAACTTTTCCCATTTCCTGGAAATCCTTTTTTATAATTTTTGATAGCAGACATCCTATGCGTTTAAGGATGGTTTTACTAAAAACTAATTGATTTCACTTTTTTAAATAACCAAAACATTCTAATGAAGAAGAATCATTGTTGTATCAGACAGTATGTATTCTAGACAGAAATAAGCTTATTGCTTTCTTTCAGCTTTGGACCTTATAACAGAAAAATCTATAATTTCTGTTAGAGTCTTGAAATTTCGTTAGTGACTAAGAAATATCCATTACTTCTTCGACTAAACTTGGAGTCTGCGTATCACAATCTGCAAAACATGTGACGTAACAGTTGTATTTCTTAGGAATAGCTATGCTAAAGGCATGAGATGGGCTTCACCCTAGTTGAAAAACAAGAAAGTCTTGTGAGGCCATCACTAACTTGGCTGGGATAGATGATTTAGAAAAAGAGATAAGCAAGACCAGCTGAGTGGCTCACATGTAATCCCAGCACTTTGGAAGGCCAAGATGGGAGGATTGCTTGAGGCCAGGGGTTCAACATCAGCCTGCTGGAGCAACAGAGTGAGACCCTATCTCTACAAAAAAACAGAGAGAAGCAGCAGAAATAAGGAGTGAATTGATGCTGGAAGTCAAGTGTGTTAGTCTGTTTTGTGTTGCTATAAAGGAATACCTGAGACTGAATAATTGATAAAAGAGGTTTATTTGGCCCACAGTTTTGCAGACTGTACAAGCATGGTACCAGCATCTCCTCGGCTTCTGGTGAGGCCTCAGGAAGCTTTTACTCACGGTGGAAGGCAAAGGGGGAGCAGGCATTTTACATGGCAAGAGAGATGCCAGGCTCTTTTACACAACCAGCTCTCATGTGAACTGACAGAGGGAGAACTCAAGCATCATCCCAAGGGGATGGCACCAAGCCATTCATGAGGGATTCATCTCCTGTGACCCAAACACCTCCCCTTAGGCCCCACCTCCAACACTGGGGAATCACATTTCAACATGAGATTTGAAGGGGACAAATATCCAAACTGTATCATCAAGGTAAAAGAAGAATGAAGAGATTAAACTTATGTTAGCAGTATCAGAAGGTTTGGCGGTCTTGATGTGTGTTTATATCACAATTTCATCTTTAAATATTTTCTTTCAGCACATTCCACATCAAAATGCAATACCAAATGTCTGAAATAATATGGAACTACTTGGAAATGACCAGAATATTTTGTGCTTTAATCATTTTTGTTGTTGTTGTTGTTTTGAGACGGAGTTTCATTCTTGTTGCCCAAGCTGGAGTGCAATGGCACCATCTCAGCTCACTGCAACCTCTGCTTGCTGGGTTCAAGTGATTCTCCTGCCTCAGCCTCCTGAGTAGCTGGGATTACAGGCACCTGCCACCATGCCCAACTTACTTTTTGTATCTTTAGTAGAGACAGGGTTTCACCATGTTGGCCAGGCTGGTCTCAAACTCCTAACCTCAGGTGATCCGCCTGCCTTGGCCTCCCGAAGTGCTGTGATTACAGTTGTGAGCCACCACACCTGGCCTTATGCTTTAATTATTTTAAAAATCAGTTTACTGTTTTTTTAACTTGTCTCAGTAAAGTGCCTCTATTTAAGTCATGCTTCCAGTAACATTCTTGGAATTTAAATTTATACAACATTGAATTTTGTATTTAAAGAACTACTGTTGATTGGGGGGTTAGTTTTGACTATATCTCTCAGACACAGGCTTTTATGTTTTTTACTTGTCAGCAATTAAGAAATAATAGCTAACATTCATTGAATATTTACTTTGTGCCAAGCCCTATATTGAGATAGGCACTATTATTATCCCCATTTTATAGAAGAAACCAAGGCTTAGAAAGCTTACCAGCAGTTGGCCAACTGCGGTGGGCTCATGCCTGTAATCCTACCACGTTGGGAGGCCGAGGCAGGTGGATCACAAGGTCAGGAAATAGAGACCATCCTAGCCAACATGGTGAAACCACATCTCCACTAAAATACAAAAATTAGCCGGGCGTGGTGGTGCTGCCTGTAGCCCCAGCTACTCAGGAGGCTGAGGCAGGGGAATCGCTTGAACCTGGGAGGCGGAGATTGCAGTGAGCTGAGATAGCGCCATTGCACTCCAGGCTGCTGACAGAATGAGACTCTATATTAAAAAAAAAAAAAGCTTACCAGCAGTTTGCTAACAGTCACGTAGCTGGGAAGTTGTTGAACTTGAATTTTAACCCATAGTTCTCTACTTCAGAATTCTAGCTTTTAATTCTCTTAATAATAATTGAATGAACATTACAGGAAACTAGAACCTCGTGATAATTGACAAAGTATAAAATAAGTTATTCCAATAAAACTGCTCCTTATTGGTAATTGTGATAATAAAATTGTACCATACTTAACTTTGGTTCTGATTAAATTTTTTCTTATTCTGTGTCCCTAAAAAATTATTCTCCACTTTGTGAGTTAATCTCCTTCCTAAAAAAGAGTTTTGATTAGATCTGTGTTGGTATCTGCATTAAGAAGGTCAGATTTGTTTACATGGTTCTGTTTTTACAGTTTTTGTACATTTTTTTAAAAAGGACATTATTTACAGATGAACAGGTTGCTTTAAAGAAGAAAGAAAAAGAAGTTTCTGAAAAATGGAATGATCCTTGGAAAAAATCTGAAAGTGATAAAATAATATGGGAAAAACATCAAATTCTTGACCAATCTAGGGTAAGACATCTTAATTGCAATTTTTAAAATACTAAGCAGTGTTCATATTATAGAATTTATTTTTAAAGCTTATTAAAAAAAAAAAGTTTTTTTTTTGAGACGGAGTTTCTCTCTTGTTGCCCAGGCTGGAATGCAGTGGCACAGTCTCAGCTCACTGCAACCTACCCCTCCCAGGCTCAAGCGATTCTCCTGCCTCAGCCTCCCGAGTAGCTAGGACTACAGGTACTCACCACCATGGCCAGCTAATTTTTTGTATTCTTAATAGAGATGGTATTTCACCACTCAGGATGGTCTCGAACTCCTGGCCTCATGTGATCTGCCAGCCTTGACCTCCCAAAGTGCTGGGATTACAGGCATGAGCCACCGTGCCCAGCCTATTTAAAAAAACTTGTCATATTTTTGGGTTTTTTGTATGTGTGTTTTTTTTAAAAAAAGAAACAGGGTCTTGCTCTGTTGCTCAGGCAGGTATGCAGTGGTGAAAACATAATTCCCTGCAGCCTTGAACTTCTGGACTGAAGGGATCCTCCTGCCTCTGCCTCCCAAATGGCTGGTACTACAGGTGTACTCCACCATGCCCAGCTAATTAAAAAAAATTTTTTTTAGAGACAGGGTCTCACTGTGTTGCTCAGGCTGGTGTCAAACTTCTGACCTCAAGCGATCCTCCCACCTTGGCCTCCTGAGTAGCTGGGATTGTAGGTGTGAGCCACTGGGCCTGGCTCATATGGTATTTTAAAACAGTGTTATTTTTAATTTAATTATGACCTTAACTGGTCTCTATTTACATTCTGTGAGTTGTCTCGTTATGTCGTTAGGTGAATGTAGAGGCTCCCTTTAGAGTCTTATAAAGGAGCTGTGCAATTTTTGAAATGAATACAAAACTCTGCCACTATGTGTAAGTGTTTAGTTATCAAATATACACATATGCCAAGTGTGTCTTGTGTAGTGCTTTTGTGATTTTTAAATTTTATCTGTGGTTAATTTTGGGTAAAGAAACAGTGTCACTGTTTTTCTATTTATTTTTACACTTCTGCTAGCTCTTCAAGCATTCTATCACAGTCTCGTAGCCAGGTTATGGTGGTCCAAGCTGATGGGGCATTCACAACTTAGAGCTAGTCAGACTTTAGAGGTAAGTCCTAAGTGTCAGTACTTTGGATATTTAAACCTTTTAGTATTTGACCTCTAACCTATTTTCCTTGAAGGAGAGAATCTAAGTCCTCCTTATTTTTAGTTATCAGTTAATTTTTACTTGAGTGTATTATGCTTCATTTGCTATCCCTTCCTCCTTGTGAACATTTACATTTTAGCAAATGTATTCTGAAAATAATGTAGTAACCTGAAGGGATGATTCTCCTAAAGAGATGATTCTGGTGGTAGAAATTTTTGGCACTATGGCCTAATTAGGTAAATTTCTTATAGAAACCCTTCAAGTTAAATTTTGTGCATGGCTGTCTGTTCTGCTTCATGTAGAGCTGACTTGCCTACATTGAATACTTTTGTTGTCTGTTGATAATTTTACATTAACAAAAGGAATGAAATCTGAATTGCATTTGCCCACAATCCCAAAAGCACATTGACTGAAAAGGCAATAAGGTTGTCTTGGTAGAACTCATTTTGGAAAATTCTGTAGCTCTGGGTGATAATTTTAAGTGTGTAAAGTTTAGAAGTTGTATGCAGACACCGTTAAAAGTTGTAGCTAAAACTAAGTTTTCATGAAGTTGGTGAGGATCCGTTGTTGGCTTATTTACTTTTCAACATCAGGATAAAAAATCTGTAATACTAAAAATGTTAAATAATTTCAGTTGCCAAATTTTCAGTTGAAATGTCAATATATAATTTATTTCTTAATTTGCATGGCTTTTTAGGTCATTTATTATCTGGGGATAATCCATACCATGATTGTTAATGCAAGTAAAGAACCATTTGAGGTGACATTTAGGTTTTAAAATATTTTGTATATATTTTTTAATGATAGTATTTGTCAGTTGATGAAATGACGAGGCTCATGAATTTGGAAAGGAGAACTTTATTTCTCATCAGCAGTTGCAACCTGCAGCATGGCCATTCTGACAGGCTGGGAAGCATAGCCTTCGGCCAACCAGGAGCCAGAAACTTCAAGGTGTTGGGGAAGGGAACAGGAATTTATGCTGAGTGAAGTGGCTGAATATACGTATTTAATAAGCATAGAAGGAGTCATGAATATTTATGAAAGGAGAAACATCCATGCACAATTGAGTTTTATGCCCCTTCATGGGTCCCATGTACAAAAAATGTCAGCGTTAGCATGATCCAAGGGTAGAGTTTTCAGCCCTCTGACATCAAAAAGTAAAGCAGAGGACACAAAAACCTTTTGGACAGAAGCATCAGGTGGTTGGTTGGTATCAGTGCTGACATCTTCTGAAGGGCTGGTTTCTGTTTAGCCCTTAGGCTAAATAGTGGTTAGCCAGGGAGGGAGGAGGTATAATGTGGTGTGTCTGATTTCCCCATCCACTCATGGCCAAGAACTCAGTTTTCAAGGCACTTTGGGGTCCTTGGCCAAGAGATCCATTCAGTTGGTTGGGGGACTTAGAATTTTACTTTTATTCCTCATGTGTATCTTTTTTTAAATAACTAAAAAAAAACAATAAAGTTATTTAAAAAATTTTTGGAATCAAAAGTTGTGGGGGTTGATGATGGGAGAAGGACTAGAAAACGAAACACATGCTATATCCAGGACTGGACAACCAAGAGTTAAAAGAGTATGATTATTGGCTCATTTTTTTTACTATTTAAATGCAGTTTTCGCTGGGTGCAGTGGCTCATGCCTGTAATTCCAGCACTTTGGGAGGCCGAGGTGGGCGGATCACGAGGTCATGAGATTGAGACCATCCCAGCCAACGTGGTGAAACCCCATCTCTGCTAAAAATACAAAAATTAGCTGGACATGGTGGCACGTGCCTGTAGTCCCAGCTATTTGGGAGGCTGAGGCAGGAGAATTGCTTGAACCTGGGAGGTGGAGGTTGCAGTGAGCTGAGATCGTGCCACTGCACTCCAGCCTGGGCGACAGAGCAAGACTCTGTCTCAAAAAAAAAAAAAAAATCAGTTTTTATGTATTTGTATGCGAATGTGGTACAAAATTGGAGAGATGTTATTGAGGGAAAAGGAATTTGCTGTGTAACAAAAAAGCCCTCTTCTCAAATACCTTAGAGCAGTTGTTTTCAGAAATCCCAGCTGTAGCCACAACTATTTATACTATTTGAATATCTAGTTAGTCTCTCCATATAATTGGGAGGGAAAGAAGTTTGGTTGTAGGCAGTCACCAAAGCCTTGAGTGTTAAAACATGAGGTAATGCATATGAAGTGCTTAGAATAGTGACTGACAATAGAACAAATGCTAACAAAGTTTTGTTCTACTTATAATTTAAAGAGTTGGGGTCTCACTTTGTTACCCAGGCTGAACAGGCACAGTCATGTTGCACTCCAGCCTTGAACTCCTGGGTTCAAGTGATTCTCCTGTCTCAGCCTCTAACTGGCTTATTTCACTTAGCATAATGTCCTCAAGGTTTACCCATACTGTAGCATGTGTCAGAATTTCATTTCTTTTTAATGCTAAATAACATCCTATTGTATGTATATACCATGTTTTCTTTATCCATTAATCCATGGATAGAAATTTGGATTGTTTCTACCTTTTGGCTATTGGGAATAATGCTGCTATGAACATTGGTGTATAAATAATCTTTTTGAGTTCCTGCTTCAATTCTTTTGGGTGTGTACTCAGAATTGGAATTGCAGGATTGTGTGGTAATTTTTTGTTTAATTTTTATGTTAAATTTTTACCAATTTTAATTTTGTAATTTTGTGTTAAACTATTTTGTGTTAAATTTTGTGTTAAACTGCTTTCCACAGCAGCTGTACCATGTATATTTCCATCAGCAGTGCACTGTGTTCCAATTTCTTCACATCCTCACCAACACTTACTTTCTGATTTATTGACAGTATCCATCCCAATGGTTGTGAAATGGTATCATTGTGGTTTTCATTTGCACTTCCCAATGATTAGTGATGTGGAACATTTTCCCACAGGCTTATTGACTATTTGCATGTATTTGAAGAAATGTCTATTGAGATCCTTTGCCCATTTCAGTCAGGTTTTTTGGGGGTTTTTTTGTTGTTGAGTTGTAGGAGTTATATATTTTGTATGATAATCCCTTGTCAGATACATGATTCACAACTGTTTTCTCCCATTCTGTGAGCTACTTTTTCACTCTCTTGATAATAGTGTCCTTTGATGCACAAAAGTCTTTAATTTTGATGAAGTCTGTTTTATCTCTTTTCTTTTGTTGCCTGTGTTTTTAATGTCCTATCAAAGAAATCATTGCCAAGTCTGATCATCGGACTGTATTTTCTTCTAAGAGTTTTCTAGTTCTAGCTCTTATGTTTAGGTCTTTGATCTATTTTGAATTAAGTTTTCTATATGGTATAAGGTCAGGGCCCTACTTTATTCTTTTGCATGTGGACATCTAGTTTTTCCTAGCACCATTGTTGAAGAATGTCCTTTCCCCATTGAATGGTGTTGGCTCCCTTGTCCATAACTATTTCACTGTGTATGTGAGGATTTATTTCTGGTCTCCTCTATTCCATTAGTCTGTCTGTATGCTACTGCCTCACCATCAGGAACTATGACCCTTCCAACTTTCTTCTTTTTTAAGATTGTTTTGTCTATTCGTGGTCCCTTGAGATTCCATATGAATTTTAGGATGGATTTTTCTATTTCTGCAAAAAAAAAAGATTATTGATATTTTCATAGAGATTGCATTGAAACTGTAGATTGCTTTGGGTAATATTAATATCTCAATAATATTAAGTCTTCCAATTAATGAATGCAGGATATCTTTCCATTTATTTGTGTCTTTAATTTTTTTTCAGCAATGTTTTGTAGTTTTCAGTGTACAAGTCTTACTCCTCCTTGGTTAAGTTTTTCTTTTTAATTTTTTAAATTTTTTTTGTTTTTTTATATATTTTTCTTTTTATTGTTTTGGTTAAGTTTATTCCTAAGTATTTTTTCTTTTTGATGCCATTGTACATGGGATTTTTAAAAAAAATTTTATGCCATTGTACATGGAATTTTTTTTTTTATTATTATACTTTAAGTTCTGGGGTAAATGTGCACAACATGCAGGTTTGTTACATATGTATACATGTGTCATGTTGGTGTGCTGCACCCATTAACTCGTCATTTACATTAGATATACCTCCTAATGCTATCCCTCCTCCCTCCCCCCACCCCACGACAAGCCCCGATGTGTGATGTTCCCCACCCTGTGTCCAAGTGTTCTCATTGTTTAGTTCCCACCTATAAGTGAGAACATGCAATGTTTGGTTTTCTCTCCTTGCAATAGTTTGCTTAGAATGATGGTTTCCAGCTTCATCCATGTCCCTACAAAGGACATGAACTCATCTTTTTTATGGCTGCAGAGTATTGCATGGTGTATATGTGCATAGTATTCCATGGTGTATGTGTATTAATCCAGTCTATCATTGATGGACATTTGGGTTGGTTCCAAGTCTTTGCTATTGTGAATAGTGCCGCAGTAAACATACGTATGCATGTGTCTTCATAGCAGCATGATTTATAATCCTTTGGGTATATACCCAGTAATGGGATGGCTGGGTCAAATAGTATTTCTAGTTCTAGATCCTTGAGGAATTGCCACACTGTCTTCTACAATGGCTGAACTAGCATGTAGTCCCACTAACAGTGTAAAAGTGTTCCTATTTCTCCACATCCTCTCTAGCACCTGTTGTTCCCTGATTTTTTAATGATCACTATTCTAACTGCTGTGAGATGGTATCTCATTGTGGTTTTGATTTGCATTTCTCTGATGGCCAGTGATGATGAGCATTTTTTTCATGTGTCTGTTGGCTGCATAAATGTCTTCTTTTGAGAAGTGTCTGTTCATATCCTTTGCCCACTTTTTGATGGAGTTGTTTGATTTTTTCTTATAAATTTGTTTAAGTTATTTATAGATTCTGGATATTAGCCCTTTGTCAGATGAGTAGATTGCAAAATTTTTCTCCCATTCTGTAGGTTGCCTGTTTACTCTGATGGTAGTTTCTTTTGCTGTGCAGAAGCTCTTTAGTTTAATTAGATCCCATTTGTCAATTTTAGCTTTTGTTGCCATTGCTTTTGGTGTTTTAGTCATTTTGTCCATGATGTCCTGAATGATATTGCCTAGGTTTACTTCTAGGGTTTTTATGGTTTTAGGTCTTAGGTTTAAGTCTTTATTTCATCTTGAGTTAATTTTTGTATAAGGTGTAAGGAAGGGAAGGGGTCCAGTTTCAGTTTTCTGCATATGGCTAGCCAGTTTTCCCAACACCATTTATGAAGTAAGGAATCCTTTCCCCATTGCTTGTTTTTGTCAGGTTTGTCAAAGATCAGATGGTTGTAGATGTGTGGTGTTATTTCTGAGGCCTCTGTTCTGTTCCAGTTGTCTATATATCTGTTTTGGTACCAGTACCATGCTGCTTTGGTTATGGTAACCTTGTAGTGTAGTTTGAAGTGAGACAGCATGATGCCTCCAGCTTTGTTCTTTTTGGTTAGGATTGTGTTGGCTATTTGGGCTGTTTTTTGATTCCATAAGAAATTTAAAGTAGTTTTTTCCAATTCTGTGAAGAAAGTCAGTGGTAGCTTGATGGGGATAGCATTGAATCTATACATTACTTTGGGCAGTATGGCCATTTTCACAATATTGATTCTTCCTATCCATGAGTATGCAATGTTTTTCCATTTGTTTGTGTCCTCTTTTATTTCCTTGAGCAGTGATTTGTAGTTCTTGAAGCGGTCCTTCACATCCCTTGTAAGTTGTATTCCTAGGTATTTTATTCTCTTAGTAGCAGTTGTGAATGGGAGTTTGCTCATGATTTGGCTCTCTGTTCTTGGTGTATAGGAATGCTTGTGATTTTTGCACATTGATTTTGTATCCTGAGACTTTGCTGAAGTTGCTTATCAGCTTAAGGAGATTTGGGGCTGAGATGATGGGGTTTTCTAAATATACAATCATGTCATCTGCTAACAGAGACAATTTGACTTCCTCTTTTCCTATTTGAATACCCTTTATTTCTTCCTCATACCTGATTGCCCTGGCCAGAACTTCCAATACTATGTTGAATAGGAGTGGAGAGAGAGGGCATCCTTGTTTTATGCCGTTTTTCAAAGGGAACGCTTCCAGTTTTCGTCCATTCAGTACGATATTGGCTGTGGGTTTGTCATAAGTAGCTCTTATTATTTTGAGATACGTTCCATCAATACCTAGTTTATTGAGAGTTTTTAGCATGAAGGAGTGTTGAATTTTGTTGAAGGCCTTTTGTGCAACTATTGAGATAATCATGTGGTTTTTGTCATTGGTTCTGCTTATGTGAATAGATTACGTTTATTGATTTGCGTATGATGAACCAGCCTTGCATCCCAGATAAGAAGCCAACTTGATCATGGTGGATAAGCTTTTTGATGTGCTGCTGGATTCGGTTTGCCAGTATTTTATTGAGGATTTCTGCATCGATGTTCATCAGGGATATTGGTCTAAAATTCTCTTTTTTTGTTGTGTCTTTGCCAGGCTTTGGTATCAGGATGATGTTGGTCTCATAAAATGAGTTAGGGAGGATTCCCTCTTTTTCTATTGATTGGAATAGTTTCAGAAGGAATGGTACCAGCTCCTCTTTATACCTCTGGTCGAATTTGGCTGTGAATCCGTTTGGTCCTGGACTTTTTTTGGTTGGTAGGCTATTAATTATTGCCTCAATTTCAGAACCTGTTATTGGTCTATTCAGGGATTCATCTTCCTGGTTTAGATGTGGGAGGGTGTATGTGTCCAGGAATTTATCCATTTCTTCTAGATTTTCTAGTTTATTTGTGTAGAGGTGTTTATAGTATTCTCTGATGTTAGTTTGTATTTCTGTGGGATTAGTGGTGATATCCCCTTTATCATTTTTTATTGCATCTATTTGATTCTTCTCTCTTTTCTTCTTTATTAGTCTTGCTAGTGGTCTATCAATTTTGTTGATCTTTTCAAAAAACCAGCTCCTGGATTCATTGATTTTTTTTGAAGGGTTTTTTGTGTCTCTATCTCCTTCAGTTCTGCTTTGATCTTAGTTATTTCTTGCCTTCTGCTAGCTTTTGAATGTGTTTGCTCTTGCTTCTCTAGTTCTTTTAATTGTGATATTAGGGTGTCAATTTTAGATCTTTCCTGCTTTCTCTTGTGGACATTAAGTGCTATAAATTTCCCTCTACACACTGCTTTGAATGTGTCCCAGAGATTCTGGTATGTTGTGTCTTTGTTCTCATGGTTTCAAAGAACATGTTAATTTCTGCCTTCATTTCGTTATGTACCCAGTAGTCATTCAGGAGCAGGTTGATCAGTTTCCATGTAGTTGAGTGGTTTTGAGTGAATTTCTTAATCCTGAGTTCTAGTTTGATTGCACTGTAGTCTGAGAGATAGTTTGTTAAAATTTCTGTTCTTTTACATTTGCTGAGGAGTGCTTTACTTCCAGCTTCGTGGTCAATTTTGGAATAAGTGTGATGTGGTACTGAGAAGAATGTTTATTCTGTTGATTTGGGGTGGAGAGTTCTGTAGATGTCTGTTAGGTCTGCTTGGTGCAGAGCTGAGTTCAATTCCTCGATATCCTTGTTAACTTTCTGTCTCGTTGATCTGTCTAATGTTGACAGTGGGGTGTTAAAGTCTCCCATTATTATTGTGTGGGAGTCTAAGTCTCTTTGTAGGTCTCTAAGGACTTGCTTTATGAATCTGGGTGCTCCTGTATTGGTTGCATATATATTTAGGATAGTTAGCTCTTCTTGTTGAATTGATCCCTTTACCAGTATGTAATGGCCTTCTTTGTCTCTTTTGATCTTTGTTGGTTTAAAGTCTGTTTTATCAGAGACTAGGATTGCAACCCCTGCTTTTTTTTGTTTTCCATTTGCTTGGTAGATCTTCCTCCATCCCTTTATTTTGAGCCTGTGTGTGTCTCTGCATGTGAGATGGGTCTCCGGAATACAGCACACTGATGGGTCTTGACTCTTTATCCATTTTGCCAGTCTGTGTCTTTTAATTGGAGCATTTAGTTCATGAACATGTAAGGTTAATATTGTTCTGTGTGAATTTGATCCTGTCATTATGATGTTAGCTGGTTATTTTGCTCATTAGTTGATGCAGTTTCTTCCTAGCCTCGATGGTCTTTACAATTTGGCATGTTTTTGCAGTGGCTGGTACCGGTTGTTCCTTTCCATGTTTAGTGCTTCCTTCAGGAGCTCTTGTAAGGCAGGCCTGGTGGTGACAAAATCTCTCAGCATTTGTTTGTTTGTAAAGGATTTTATTTCTCCTTCATTTATGAAGCTTAGTTTGGCTGGATATGAAATTCTGGGTTGAAAATTCTTTTCTTTAAGAATGTTGAATATTGGCCCCCACTGTCTTCTGGCTTGTAGAGTTTCTGCTTAGGGATCCACTGTTAGTCCGATGGGCTTCCCTTTGTGGGTAACCTGACCTTTCTCTCTGGCTGCCCTTAACATTTTTTCCTTCTTTCAACTTTGGTGAATCTGACAATTATGTGTCTTGGGGTTGCTCTTCTTGAGGAGTATCTTTGTGGTGTTCTCTGTATTTCCTGAATTTGAATGTTGGCCTGCCTTGCTAGGTTGGGGAAAGTTCTCCTGGATGATATCCTGCAGAGTGTTTTCCAACTTGGTTCCATTCTCCCCATCACTTTCAGGTACACGAGATGTAGATTTGGTCTTTTCACATAGTCCCATATTTCTTGGAGGCTTTGTTTGTTTCTTTTTACTCTTTTTTCTCTAAACTTCTCTTCTTGCTTCATTTCATTCATTTGATCTTCAGTCACTGATACCCTTTCTTCCACTTGATCAAATTAGCTACTGAAGCTTGTGCATTTGTCATGTAGTTCTCGTGCCATGGTTTTCAGCTCCATCAGGTCATTTAAGGACTTCTCTACACTGTTTATTCTAGTTAGCCATTTGTCTAATCTTTTTTCAAGGTTTTTAGCTTCTTTGCAATGGGTTGGAACATCCTCCTTTAGCTTGGAGAAGTTTGTTATTACCGATCGTCTGAAGCCTTCTTCTCTCAACTCATCAAAGTCATTCTCTGTCCAGCTTTGTTCCATTGCTAGTGAGGAGCTATGTTCCTTTGGAGGAGAAGAGGTGCTCTGATTTTTAGAATTTTCAGCTTTTCTGCTCTGGTTTCTCCCCATCTGTGTGGTTTTATCTACCCTTGGTCTTTGATGATGGTGACGTACAGATGGGGTTTTGGTGTGGATGTCCTTTCTGTTTGCTAGTTTTCCTTCTAACAGTCAGGACCCTCAGCTGCAGGTCTGTTGGAGTTTGCTGGAGGTCCACTCCAGATCCTGTTTGCCTGGGTATCACCAGCGGAGGCTTCAGAACAGCAGATATTGCAGAACAGCAAATGTTGCTGTCTGATCCTTCTTCTGGAAGCTTCATCTCAGAGGGGCACCCAGCTTTATGAGGTGACAGTCGGCCCCTACTGGGAGGTGTCTCCCAGTTAGGCTACTCGGTGGTTAGGGACCCACATGAGGAGGCAGTCTGTCCGTTCTCAGATCTCAAACTCTGTGCTGGGAGAAGCACTACTCTCTTCAAAGCTGTCAGACAGGGACGTTTAAATCTGCAGAAGTTTCTGCTGCCTTTTGTTCAGCTATGCCCTGCCCCCAGAGGTGGAGTCTACAGAGGCAGGCAGGCCTCCTTGAGCTGCGGTGGGCTCCACCCAGTCCGAGCTTCCTGGCTGCTTTGTTTACCTACTCAAGCCTCAGCAATAGGGGACGCCCCTCCCCAGCCTTGCTGCCGCCTTGCAGTTCAGTCTCAGACTGCTGTGCTAGCAGTGAGCGAGGCTCCGTGGGCGTGGGACCCTCCAAGCCAGGTGCAGGATATAATCTCCTGATGTGCCATTTGCTAAGGCCATTGGAAAAGCGCAGTATTAGGGTGGGAGTGTCCCGATTTTCCAGGTACCGTCTGTCACGGCTTCCCTTTGCTAGGAAAGGGAATTCCCCGACCCCTTGCACTTCCAGGGTGAGGCGATGCCCCACCTGCTCCGTGGGCTGCACCCACTGTCTGACAATCCCCAGTGAGATGAACCTGGTACCTCAGTTGGAAATGCAGAAATCACCTGTCTTCTGCATTGCTCACGCTGGAAGCTGCAGACTGGAGCTGTTGCTATTTGGCCATCTTGGAACCTCCTCCGGAATTTTTTTAAATACCCTTTAAGAATTGTTCTTTATTGGTATATAGATTAGTATGTAGAAACACAACTTATTTTTGTGTGTTGGTTTTATCTCCTGCAACTTTGCTGAATTTATTCTAAAAGTGTTTTTTAGAATCTTAGTGATGGTCATTGTCCAGTGCAAGAGTTTGATGTGGATCCTTCTGGTACTATTTTGCTTTCTTGATGAGTAGATACATAAACTTCGATCTACATTAATGCTCAAGATAGTCATATATGCATAATCATAATTGAATTCTACATATCTTTCCCTTTTTTGACTTCTCAACTTTCTTTATTATTATTATTATTATTATTATTATTATTATTATTATTATTAGATAGGGTCTCATAACCTGTCACCCAGGCTAGAATGCACTGGCACAATCACGGCTAACTGCAGCCTTGACCTTCCTGGGCTCAAGCAATCCTCCCATCTCAGCCTTACAAGTAGCTGGGACTACAGGTACCTGCCACCATGACTGGCTAATTTTTCGTATTCTGTAGAGACAGGGTTGCTCAGGCTGGTCTCAAACTCCTGGGTTCAAGCAGTGCAACTGCCTTTGCCTCCCAAAGGGCTGGGATTATAGGCTTGAGCTGCTGTGCCTGGCCAACTTTCTGACTTTTAAAAATATTATATGTATTTGTGAAATGCAAAAAAAACATAAAGGATAGTACAGAAGACATTTCTATCATGTCATACATATTTAGGAAGAGCCCCTCGTATGGCATAGTTAAGAGGTTTTTGTTTGTTTGTTTGTTTTATTGATCATTCTTGGGTGTTTCTCCCAGAGGGGGATTTGGCAGGGTCATAGGACAATAGTGGAGGGAAGGTCAGCAGATAAACAAGTGAACAAAGGTCTCTGGTTCTCCTAGGCAGAGGACCCTGCGGCCTTCCGCAGTGTTTGTGTCCCTGGGTACTTGAGATTAGGGAGTGGTGATGACTCTTAGGGAGCATGCTGCCTTCAAGCATCTGTTTAACAAAGCACGTCTTGCACCGCCCTTAATCCATTTAACCCTGAGTGGACACAGCACATGTTTCAGAGAGCACAGGGTTGGGGGCAAGGTCATAGATCAACAGCATCCCAAGGCAGAAGAATCTTTCTTAGTACAGAACAAAATGGAGTCTCCTATGTCTACTTCTTTCTACACAGACACAGCAACAATCTGATATCTCTATCTTTTCCCCACATTTCCCCCTTTTCTATTCCACAAAACCGCCATCGTCATCATGGCCCGTTCTCAATGAGCTGTTGGGTACACCTCCCAGACGGGGTGGCGGCCAGGAAGAGGGGCTCCTCACTTCCCAGAAGGGGCGGCCGGGCAGAGGCGCCCCCCACCTCCCGGATGGGGCGGCGGCTGGGCGGGGGCTGCCCCCCACCTCCCTCCCGGACGGGGCGGCTGGCCGGGCGGGGGCTGCCCCCCACCTCCCTCCCGGACGGGGCGGCTGGCCGGGCGGGGGGCTGCCCCCCACCTCCCTCCCGGACGGGGCGGCTGGCCGGGCGGGGGCTGCCCCCCACCTCCCTCCCGGACGGGGCGGCTGGCCGGGCGGGGGCTGCCCCCCACCTCCCTCCCGGACGGGGCGGCTGGCCGGGCGGGGGCGGCCCCCCACCTCCCGGGCGGGGCGGCTGCCGGGCGGAGACGCTCCTCACTTCCCAGACGGGGTGGCTGCCGGGCGGAGGGGCTCCTCACTTCTCAGACGGGGCGGCTGCCGGGCGGAGGGGCTCCTCACTTCTCAGACGGGGTGGCTGCCGGGCGGAGGGGTTCTTCACTTCTCAGACGGGGCGGCTGCCGGGTAGAGGGGCTCCTCACTTCTCAGACGGGGCGGCTGCCGGGTGGAGGGGCTCCTCACTTCTCAGACGGGGCGGCCAGGCGGAGACGCTCCTCACCTCCCAGACGGGGTCGCGGCCAGGCAGAGGTGCTCCTCACATCCCAGACGGGGCGGCAGGGCAGAGGCGCTCCCCACATCTCAGATGATGGGCAGCCGGGCAGAGACGCTCCTCACTTCCCAGATGGGATGGCGGCCGGGAAGAGGCGCTCCTGACTTCCCAGACTGGGCGGCCGGGCAGAGGGGCTCCTCACATCCCAGACGATGGGCAGCCAGGCAGAGACGCTCCTCACTTCCCAGGCAGGGTGGCGGCCGGGCAGAGGCTGCAATCTCGGCACTTTGGGAGGCCAAGGCAGGTGGCTGGGAAGTGGAGGTTGTAGCTAGCCGAGATCACTCCACTGCACTCCAGCCTGGGCAACATTGAGCACTGAGTGAACGAGACTCCGTCTGCAATCCCAGCACCTCGGGAGGCCGAGGCTGGCAGATCACTCACGGTTAGGAGCTGCAGACCAGCCCGGCCAGCATAGCGAAACCCCGTCTCCACCAAAAAAATATGAAAACCAGTCAGGCGTGGCGGCACACGCCTGCAGTCGCAGGCACTCGGCAGGCTGAGGCGGGAGAATCAGGCAGGGAGGTTGCAGTGAGCCGAGATGGCAGCAGTACAGTCCAGCTTCGGCTCGGCATCAGAGGGAGACAGTGGAAAGAGAGGGAGAGGGAGACCATGGGGAGGGGGAGGGGGAGAGGGAGAGGGAGGGAGAGGGAGAGGGAGAGGGACTAGTTAAGAGTTTTTTAAGAAAATATTCACTCAGTTTTTATCTACTCATATCTTAAGGAATTGAAGTGGTCCAGGAAATCTTTGTACAGGAATAGGCCCAACATAAGATGGGTGGAAGAAAACAACAATACATACAATCATAGGAAAGAAAAAAGACTTGGTATAACATTAAATTTAAAATACAGTGAGGAAAAAGAAGAAATTGCTGTGGGAACACTCCCAGAATATAGGAAGAAGTTTCAAAAGAGATGAAAAATCTGGCATCAAAGATATTATAAATAGCTTATAAAAATACAATCTTGAATCATAGGCTTTCCTAAAGAAGAAAACAGAAGTAATAATATATCAAGTTTCATAGAAAAAACTTTCTAGATCCAGAAGAAAATTAGGTTGAATGAAAAGAGGGCCAATTTGAAGGTATATCATAATAAGTTTGCAAATATCAAGAATAAGGATATACTTCTTCAAGCATTTAAATATGAGAAAATGACAACAAAAATCAAAGTAACCTTAGTTTTCTTCTCTGTATATAGTATAGCAATATTTATAAGGGTTTAATAAATAGAGCTAAAATATTTAATGCCTAGACAAGATGTTCATTTATAAAGAGAACATAGACATACTCAGACCTGAATAATTACATAAAATATTTCTCCCAAATATTTCTTTTAATACAAAAGTTCTTAAAGATCATTTCTGGATCAGAAAAATGGGTCAAAATTAAAACAATTTACAAGAATTTTGTGGTTAGAAAGTAATGAGTAGCTGACACAAAAGTCTCTAAGACATTGTGAAATGAAAAGAGTAATGCATATACTATAACCATATCTATATTTAAAGAAAGACTTTAAAAGACTAGTACATACATAAACACACAAACACACACAAAAAGCAGAATGGTGGTATTGTCTCACTCTGGTGAAGGACAGTGGAAGGAAACAAGGAGAACCTTCTAATTCTTTATGCATTTGTTTTGTTAGAATATTGTGCAAAGTGTTTAGCTGTTGTGTGATCTCTCCATAAAGGCAGAGTTTATTATGATTGTGAAAATCAGATAAAAGTTAAAGAATGTACAAAACTAAAGTAACCGGCCAGGCGTGGTGGCTCACGCCTGTAATCCCAGCACTTTGGGAGGCTGAGGCGGGTGGATCACGAGGTCAGGAAATCGAGACCATCCTGGCCAACATGGTGAAACCCCATCTCTACTTAAAAAATACAAAAAAATTAGCCGGGTGTGGTGGCGCACGCCTGTAATCCCAGCTACTCAGGAGGCTGAGGCAGGGGAATGGCTTGAACCTGGGAGGCAAAGGTTACAGTGAGCTGAGATCACACCACTGCACTCTGGCCTGGGGGCAGAGCAAGACTCTTTCTCAAAAAAAAAAAAAGAAAAAAAGAAAACTAAAGTAATCATTAGTATAATTATAAAGAGTATCTGCCAACATAGTTTGTACAGTAAACATCAAGATAAATAGTAATAGCAAGATAACAAGAATCAACTCTGAAAAGTCAAAAATCCTTTGTTAAAAAGCAGAGATATGAAAACTCCAAAGACTTGATGCTTAAAAGAGACATACTTACAATAAAATTATACATTATTAAAAATTATGGGCTGGATACAGTGGCTCATGCCTATAAGCCCAGCACTTTGGGAGGCCAGGGCAGAAGAGTAGCTGCCTTGAGCCAAGAGTTTGAGACCAGCGTGGGCAACATAGTGAGACCCTGCCTCCACAACACAAAAAAACTAAAAAATTAGCCGAGCATGGTGGGATGTTCCTGTAGTCCTAGCTATTCTGGAGGCTGAGGTGAAGGAATTACTTTAGCCCAGGAGTTAGAGGCTGCAGTGAGCTATGATTATGCTTGGGCCACAGAGCAAGACCCTGTCTCTAAAAAGAGATAAGATGCCAATATATTATTACTATTTGTATTGGTGGTTCTAGGCAATATAACAAGGAAAATAAATTTCAAGTCCTAAGAATTGGAGAGGAAAAAATGAAAGTGTAGTTATTCGTCATGTGTATAGAAACCCCAAAGAATCTATAGATGAAATATTCAAAGTAAAAAGTGAGAATTAATAATTTATTAGGCTATAAAAGTCTCAACAAATTTCATAGGTTCACATTACATAGAATGTTATAGTGGATTTTATTAGTTTGTTCTCTCATTACTGTAAAGAAATCTCTGGGGACTGGGTAATTTATAAAGAGGTTTAATAGGCTTACAGTTTTGCAGACTATACAGAAAGCATAGTGGCTTCTGCTTCTGGGGAGGCCCCAGGGAGCTTTCAGTCATGGTGGAAGGCAAAATGGAAGCAGGCATCTAACATGGCAGAAACAGGACCAAGAGAGAAGTAGCAGGGAGGGCTACACACTTTTAAACGACCAGATCTTACCATGAAAAACAATGTGGAGATTCCTTAAAGAACTAAAAGTTAGGCTGGGCGTGGTGGCTCATGCCTGTAATTCCAGCACTTTGGGAGGCCTAGGCAGGCGGATTACCTGAGGTCAGGAGTTCGAGACCAGCCTGGCTAATATGGTGAAACCCCGTTCCCTAAAAATACAAAAATTAGCCAGGCGTGGTAGCAGGCGCCTGTAATCCCAGCTACTCAGGAGGCTGAGGCAGGAGAATTGCTTGAATCCAGGAGGCAGAGGTTGCAGTGAGCCGAGATCGCACCACTGCACTCCAGCCTGTGTGACAGAGACTCCGTCTCAAAAAATAAAAGTAAAATAAAAATAAAAAAAGAACCAAAAGTAGAACTACCATTTGATTCAGCATTCTCACTACTGGGTAACTACCCAGAGGAAAAGAAGTCATTATACGGAAAAGATACTTGGACACACATTTATAGCAGCATAATTCACAATTCAAAAAATATGGAACCAGCCCAAATGGCCATCAGTCAATGAGTGGATAAAGAAACTGTGAGATAGATATAGATATGGATATATGATGGAATCCTACTCAGCCATAAAAAGGAATGAATGAATAGCATTTGCAGCAACCTGGATGGAGTTGGAGAGTATTATTTTAAGTGAAGTAACTCAGGAATGGAAAACCAAACATCTTATGTTCTCACTCATAAGTGGGAGCTAAGCTATGAGGATGCAAAGGCATAAGAATGATACAGTGGACTTTGAGGACTTATGGAGAAAGGCTGGGAGGGGGCTGAGGGATAAAAGACTACAAATTGGATTCAGTCTATACTGCTCGGGTGATGCATACACCAGAATCTCACAGATCACCACTAAAGAACTTACTCATGTAACCAAATACCACCTGTTCCCCCAAAACCTATAGAAATAAAAATTTTTTTAAAAAGTAATTGCAGTTTTACCCATTACTTTCAATGGCAAAAACCGCAATTTACTTTTGCATCAACCTAAAAAATAAAAAGATCTCATGAGAACTTATCGCAATGATAGCACCAAGTGGGGTGATGTTAAACTATGAGAAACCATCCCTGTGATCCAGTCATCTCCCACCAGGCCCTACCTCCAACACTGGGGATTACAATTCAACATGAGTTTTGATGGGGACACAGAATCAAACCATATAATGGAATTAAGCTAGATATCAGTAACAAATAGTAACTAGAAAATTCCCAAATGTTTGATAATTAGGCAGTATACTTCTGACTGAAAGAGAAATTCACATTAGAAAATATTTTTAACTGAGTGATAATGAAAATATTACATATCAAAATGTAGGTTTCCTGTGCTGAGAGGGAAATTTTTCACCTTAAATGCATCTCTTGAAAGACTGAAAATCAAGGAATAGTGACCTAAAGTATTCATCTCAAGAGGTTAGAGAAAGAACAGCAAAATTGAAGCCCAAGGTAGGTCAAAGTGGATATTAGTAAAACTGGAAATACCTACAATAAAATTAACAAAGCCAAAAGTTAATTGTTTGAAAAGTTATTTAAATTGATAAGCCCCTCATAAAATCGAGATGAATTAAAAAGGAGATATTACCAGAGAATATGACATTAGAAAGAGAAGGGGATTTTCTGAATAACTTCACCAATAAGTTAGAGAATTTGGGCTTAAAAATGAGCAAATTATTAGAAAAACATAGATTACTAAAATTGACACAAGAAGCAGTAAATCAGAATGGTACTATCTTTATTAATGAAATTGAGCTTATTACTAAAAACCCAACAAAATAAACTCCAGAACCAAATGTGTTTACTGGTGAATTCTTCCCAACAAAGGTAGAAGTGAAAACCTTTTAGGTTGTTTATAAGGGTAGTAAACCTGATACCCAAAACTAACATTTTTTAATACCAAAACCCAACAGGAAATATAAGAAAGAAAAATAAATACAAGAAAGAATAATAAATCATGATGAGTTGGGTCTATTCAATGAATGAAAGCAAGCTAGGTTTAACATTCACAAATCAATGATAGTCATCATATTTATAAAAATAATAGGTAAATTTAATAAAAGTGGCTAGACACAAGAATTAATGTACCAGTGTCATTAGCACAACATTGAAAGGATGATCTGTTAAAAAGTAATTGATGAATGACCTAATCACAAGTTCTGTTCTTGGAAGGTTAAAGTTAATATTATAAAATAGAGGGAGAAAATGTTTGCAGATTAATCCTTGATAAAAGGACTTACATCCAGCATATATTTTTAAAAACTAAACATTCACTAATTAGACAACCCAATTTTTTTAATTGGCAGAATTTTAATAGACATGGCTCCAAAGAGGATATATGGCAAATAAATACATGAGAAACGGATTTTTAGCCATTTGTTAAACCTCTATGGGCCCTCTGGTTCCAGAGGGAATTTAATTAATTTTTAAGTTCAAAGTAATTTTGTTTTTTAAAAAGTGATTTCAGCTCTGTGTTTTGCTGCTGTTCCTCCTGTAAGGTAATGAATGGTCTTTGTAATCCAGTGTCCCGACATCCCTACCACCCACATGAATACCTTTTCTGCGTGGCCAGTAGACAAGGTCGGCAGGTGGATGTTGTCATCTTAACTGGGGAATCATGAACTGGCAAGAAGGGCTGTTCTGGCCCATGGCAAAGTCAACACTGAGTGTTCTTTCCCAAAGCTGCATTTTTATAAGACTGCTTTAAGGGGAGAATTACATGAAATGGAAACAGGCATCTGTAGTGGACCATTTGAAAAGCCCTTTATTTTCAGTTGTGACTTAACCAGCTGCCATTTGTACAGCATTTGAATCAGGAGTGAGACTAAGATTTCCTAACAGAATAATTTGAAGACTGAAAGAATTACATTAGGACTCTGTAACATCAGGAACTATTTTAGGGGAAGGTTGTAGTGGGTTTCCTATGAGTTTTCACACAAGGCTGTCATGTGAGAATAGGCCATGTGCAGTGGCTCTTTGGGAGATCAAGGCGGGTGGATTTCTTGAGCCCAGGAGTTCAAGGCCATCCTGGGCAACAACATGATAAAATCCTGTCTCTACAAAAAAATAAAAATAGCCGGGTGTGGTGGTGTGCATCTGTAGTCCCAGCTACTTGGGAATCTGAGGCAGGAGGATCACTTGAGCATGGGAGGTTGAGGCAGCAGTGAGCCGTGATTGTGCACTCCAGCCTGGGTGACAGTGAGACCCTGCCTAAAAAAAAAAAATAAAAACACAAAAGAGAATAGGCTCCAAACACGTTTAGGAAACCAGTTTTTATGTAGGGGAAGTCTCAGGTCAATAATAGGGAGATAGAGTGAAAAAGTCAGTTAGCCTGGGAAAAGAGGCTTCTTTCTTTAACTGTATGGAGGATTTAGTGAGAGGGAATGCTAGAAGAAGGTCAAAACAATTGTTACAGTGTGTCTTGTGTTATACACAAATATGCCTTACTCACCTTCAACTAAATGCATGCAGTAAACCAAAAGGAATGCAGTTCTACCTACTACCTCTCCCCATCTCCCACCCCCATGTTTTTCATTCTTCTAACTGAATGCACATTGGGAGAGACTTGTGAAAAAGAATGTAAGAATAATGTAAAGCCTTTCCCAGTCAACGACAGAAATGAAATGCAGTTAAGTGGTAGTAGCTTTGTAAGACATCCTTGAGTAAGAAATTAAAGACTCAACTGAGAGATCTAATTGTTCAGTTATCTTAGGGTTATGAATATAGATAAAACATTTTGAGTGTTTAAGGAATTTTTAAGGGTAATTTTAACTTTTGTCTAATCCCTGAATAATTTGCAATGCCACTACACTAAAATATGGAATCAGATCTGGTTACATCAAACTTAAACAAATATACAGCATCCACTCTTTTAGCTTCCCTGGGTCACACTGCAAGAAGAAAAACGGTCTTGGGCAACAGATGAAATAAACTAACACTGTGATAGCTGATAAACTTAAAAAAAATTGCAAAACACTTTCATAATGTTTTAAGGAAGTTTACAAATTTGTGTTGGGCCACATTCAAAGCTGTCTTGGGCCACAGGTTGGACAATGCTCGTTTTTCTTTTCCCATTTTGACCTCTAAAACATTTCTTGAGGTATAAAAATTGTTAAATCTTTTACCTAAAGATAATGTTCCTTTTGAAGTGATTGTTTTAGACTTAAATAAGTTGGATGGTTTTTAATCTGGTTAGAATGTAGGAGGACCTGAGATAGAAGGATCTTTACTTTTTGTATAAATATTTCTTCTGATCAAAACAGTGAGTTGTAAACTATGAGCTTTGTGATCTTTTCTGGTAAAAACAAGGGAAGAAAGTAACATTGTGAGGTATATCGTCATTGTAGGATTCTGTCAAACAGTTTTTCTTAATTATGTCTTGTAGTTATTTCATGTAATGAAATGTTTTGTTGTTTGCCTGTTGCATTTCAGAAGAATTTGAGTAGAATATATTTTTTTCCTTTTTTAAAAGAGTATCCTAAACTCATCAATTAAAGTGGCAGCAAACTTTTATGCTACTGTTTTCATTTTTTACTTTTTCCTTAAGATTCAAAGACTCGTTCTGGACACAGTATATTTTTGTTATTGAAACATCATAGGCTGTGATAGAGCTGTAGTAGCAGAAACCTAGAAGACAGAGGTTCTCCTAGAGAGAGACATGATTCAATAGGGAAAGTCTCTTGCTCTCACACATCTTTCTATATTCTCCTTGTTCTTGGTCCAAAGACAATATTCCAAATGTTGTATTCCAAAGCCAAATGTAAAACAATATTCATCTGTTTTAAATTAATAACTCTTTCAGCCTCTAAAAGAGACTTAGAATTTTGAAAAACAATATTTTTGAGACAGGGTCTCACTCTGTTGCCCATGCTGGAGTGCAGTGGCATGATTTCAGCTCACTACAACCTCCACCTCCCGGGTTCAAGTGATTTGTGTCTCAGCCTCTCAAGTAGCTGGGATTACAGACATGCACCACCACAGCTGGCTAATTTTTTTTTTTTTTTTCAGTAGAGATGAGATTTTGCCATGTTGGCCAGGGGCTGGCCTTGAACTCCTGGGCTCAAGTGATCTGCCCATGTCAGCCTCCCAACATGCTGGGATTATAGTCATGAGCTGCTGCATCCAGCTGAATTTTGAAAGTCTTTTAATTGTTTTGGAGAAAGAATTTTCTGTTTTTCATTAGAAAATTCCCTTCCCTTACACTTAGATATCTTATTATATATCTCTGATCTAGTATATTTAAAATATGATTCTGAGAATCAGAATATATCTACTTAATTCTTTGAATTCAAATTCGTTTGAAGTTATTGCTCCTCTTACAGATAAATGCCTCAGTGGATTAAATCTGTATGTTACTTTGGCAAGATTTGCACATATTAAGTGATTAGAAAAAGAGAACTGAACTTTAGATGGCTTTTATGGCTGTTGTTTAGGAAACAGTACTGCTGGAGCACCCTTTCAGTGCTGTGAAACAAGAACTGCAAAGAAAATGGATTGAAGAGTTGAATAAGCAAATAGAAGATGACCGTCAAAGAAAAATAGAGGAAAAAATTATATATTCAAAGGTAACTTATGAGGTTTTGTGGCTATAAAAGAAAAAATAAAATCAAAGTCTTTAATCAATTAAAACTAGAAGTATTCTGAAACTCTTGACAAGACCAGAATATTCCATTTATTCCACATTTGCCCATGTGAACCTGTTTCATTGAATGCATTATGTGATGTTGCATAGCTTCTTACAACTTTTTAGAAATTTCCTAATTCTTTGAATTTCTCAAATTTTCAAAGCTAGTGATCTATATGTATAAGGACTCTAAACAGTACAGTCTTGTTAATTTTTATGATGCTTATTCTGCTCTAAGGTGACTTTTAGAAATCATCTTTGGTTGTCATTTAGAATTATATATGAGAATAATTGGAAAAATTCTTAGCAATTCTTATTTGTCATCATTAGGGTGAGGAACATGACAGATGGGCAATGCACTTTGATTCATTAAAGAGTTATCCTGGTTCTCAATCTCAGCTGTTCTCTCAGTCAACACACAAACAACCTGAGTACTTCTGTGTCTCTCCTGACACTCAGGAGCTGGCTGATGTCAGCAGTGTTTGTACACCTACAACCGGAAGCCAGGTTGAACCTTCAGAGGAGGAGCATATAGCAAAACCTATTAAGGATGTGGTTATGGCAAACAGTAAGAAAACAAAGTAAGTTCATGCTTATGTATTTATTGACTTTTCAGAAAGTCTGTGTGCTTTAGTAAGACTGTTGTTATGTCTAATTGGTTTCAGGTTTGGTATTTGTCTTTGAAATAGAAATAATTAGTAGATTTATCCCAAACAAAAATGATTTAGCTTGTTGAATCTACCTTTTTGAGGTTTTGAATAGCTAATGTATGTATCTTGCCAGCTTTCTCCGTTCTATGACTGCTCTCTTGGACCCAGCTCAGATTGAGGAACGAGACAGACGACGACAAAAACAATTAGAGCATCAGGTATTGCATTGTTAAACATTGTTCTTTACCTTAATAAGTAACAGTCATGGTGAACATATACCTAAGTAAATGGAAATTTAAATTCTGATGTAAACTTTACAGCATAGGTCCTGTCCAGTTGTGTCACGAATCCAATCCCTACCACAACTGGCATTGTAATATTAGAATTAGCTTATCAAATGCTACAGCCACCTGCCTTCCAGTACAGAAGGTCTTTAATATATTAAGTTGTATATGTGAATTTGTGTTGTCTTAGGTTAGTACTGGTTTTTTTTTTTTTCATCAATTTATTTCTCCTGAGTTCTGTTTAAGATGAGAATTCATTCTTTGAATAGGGATTGAACTAGAATTATGACTAAGAAATCTAATGCATAATGGCCGGGCACGGTGGCTCACGCCTGTAATCCCAGCACTTTGGGAGGCTGAGTGGGCAGATCACGAGGTCAGGAGATCAAGACCATCCTGTGAATGGTGAAACCCCGTCTCTACTAAAAATACAAAAAATTAGCTGGGCGTGGTGGCAGGCGCCTGTAGTCCCCAGCTACTCGGGAGGCTGAGGTGGGAGAATGGCATGAACCTGGGAGGCAGAGCTTGCAGTGAGCTGAGATTGTGCTACTGCACTCCAGCCTGGGCGACAGAGTGAGACTCCATCTCAAAAAAAAAAAAGAAATCTAATGCATAATATAAGAAAGGAGGCTAAAATTAAAATTAAAACTTCCTGTCCTGATTTTAGCCTAATGCTAAAGGGACTTTAATATCTGCATAATTCTTCAAATCCTTTGATATATGAATTTGGCATCATTAATGTTATGCTTAGTCAGTGAGCAGACATTTGCAGAGCATCTGCTACTTAACAGGCACTATGCTAAGCACTGAGATTATTTCTTCAGTTTTTTTTAATACCATTTCCTCCAGTAGCCCTCCTAGGGTTGAAGAAAAGGCATGTAGAACTTGACAGTACAAATGGGAGATGGGAGAAATGCATTGGAAATTTGACATTTCCACTTCACTTATATAAATAATACTTTCAGTATGCTGATAAAAACTTATTTCTACAGTCACCAAACTAATGCTTCATGGATTTTAAAAATTGATATATAATGTTTTATATATTTATAGGATACATATGATATTTTGTTATATATGTAGAATGCGTAATGATTCAGCCAGAGTATTCTGGTATCTATCACCTTGAGTATTTATCATTTCTGTGTTGGGAACATTTCAAGTTTACTAGCCAATTTGAAATATATAATACATTGTTGCTGACCATAGTCACCTTACTATTGCTATCAAACATTAGAACTTATTCCTTTCATCTAACCATATGTTTGTACCCATTAACCTACCTCTCTTGATCACTACCACCCTCACACACACCCTTCCCAGCCTTTGATACCTATCATTCCATTCTTTAGCTCGTTGAGACCTACTTTTTTAGCTCCCACATATGAGTGGGAACATGTGATGTTTATCTTTATATACCTGGCTTATTTCACTTAACATAATGACGTCCAGTCCCATCTGTGTTGCTGTAAATGACAAGATTCTATTCTTTCTTTATGGCCAAATAGTATCCCATTGTGTATATACCACATTTTGTTTATCTATTTGTTCATCAATGGACACTCAGATTGTAAATAGTGCTACAGTTAGCACAAGAGTGCAGGTTTCCTTTTGATATACAGATTTCATGTTCTTTCGATAAATATCCAGTACTGGGAATGCTGGATCATATGGTAGTTCCATTTTTAGTTTTTTGAGACGTCTCCATACTGTTTTCCATAGTGACTGTATTTATTTACATTCCCACTAACAATGTATAAGGATTCCCTTTTCTCCGCTTCCTTGGCAGTATCTGTTAGTTTTTGTCTTTTGGTATGTTTGTTTGTTTGCTTGTTTTTGAGACAGGGTCTTGCTCTGCTGCGCAGTCTGGTATGCAGTGGCATAATCATGGCTCACTGTAGCCTCATACCCCTGGGCTCAAGCAATCCTGCTGCCCGAGCCTCCCCAGTAGCTGATATTACAAGCATGCGCCACCATGTCAGGCTAATGTTAATTTTTTTCTTTTATAGAGACACAGTCTCACTATGTTGACCAGACTGGTTTCGAGCTCCTTGCCTCAAACAGTCCTCCAACCTCAGCCTCCCAGAGTGCTGGGATTACAGGCATGAGCCACCGGGCCCAGCATTTTTGTCTTTTTAGTAATAGCCATTCTAACTGAGGCGATATGATATCTCATTATGGGTTTGATTTGCATTTCTGTGATTAGTAATGTTGAGCATTTTTTCATGTACCTGTTTGCCATTTATATGTCTTCTTTAGAAAAATGTTTATTAATGTTCTTTGCCCACTTTTTAATGGAATTATTTGGATTTTTGGTGTGTGTGTGTGTTTAGTTTGAGTTTCTTAGGCATTCTGGATAGTAGCCCTTTGTTGGATGAATAGTTTGCAGATATTCAAACTACTGAATATGCAAGCTATTGAATATTCAAACTACTGAATATTCAAACTGGGGGACAGACTGTCTCTTTCACTCTGGTTATTGTTTCCTTTCCCGTGCAGAAGATTTTTAGTTCAATGTAGCCCTATTCGTATGTTTTTGGTCCCTGTGTTTTTGAGGTCTCGACCACAAACTCTATACCAGTGTCTTGAAGTGTTTTCCGTATGTTTTCTTCTAGTAGGTTTACATTTTTGGGTCATACATTTAACTATTTAATCCATCTTGAATTTTTTTTTTTTTTTTTTTTGAAGTGGAGTCTCAGACTGTCACCCTGGAATGCAGTGACGTGATCAGCTCACTGCCGCCTCCACCTCCCAGGTTCAAGCAATTCTCCCTGCTCAGCCTCCTGAGTAGCTGGGATTACGGGTGCATGCCACCACACCTGGCTAATTTTTTTTTTTTTTTTTTAGTACAGATGGGGTTTCACCATGTTGGCCAGGCTGGTCTTGAACTCCTGACCTTAAATGATCCACCTGCCTTGCCCTCCCAAAGTGCTAGGATTACAGGCATGAGCTACCACACCAGCCCTTGAATTGTTTTTTGAATATGGTGAGAGATGGGGCTCCAATTTCATTCCTCTGCATATAGATATCCAATTTTCCAAGCATTATTTATTGAAGAGTGTGTGCTTTCCCCAACTATGTTCTTGACACTTTTGTTGAAAATCAGTTGGCTGTAAATACATGGATTTATTTCTGGATTCCCTATTCTGTTCCATTGATCTATATGTCTGTTTTTATACCAATACCATGCTGTTGTGGTTCCTATAGTCTTGTAATGTATTTTGAAGTCAGGTAGTGTGATGCCTTCAGCTTTGTTCTTTTGATCCACCTTGATTTGGTTATTACGGCTCTTTTTTGGTTTCATAGAAAGTTTTGAATTTTTTCTACTTCTGTGAAAAATGAAGGTGGTATTTTGATAGAGATAGCATTGAATTTGTAGATTGCCTTAGGCATAATTCTTCTGATCCATGAACATGGGATGTCTTGCCATTTGTTTGTATCCTCTTTCGTTTATTTCATCTGTTTTGTAGTTTTTTATGTAGAAATGTGTAACCCCCTTGGTTAAATTTATTCCTAGATATTTTATTGTTTTGTAGCTATTGTAGGTGGGATTGCCTTCTTTATTTCTCAGCTAGTGTATAGAAATGCTACTGATTTTTGTATGTTGATTTTGTATTCTGCAACTTTACTGAATTTATTGATCAGATGTGAGGTTTTTGTGGAGTCTAGGTTTTGTTTTGGGGTTTTTTTTTTTTTTTGAGACAGAGCCTCGCTCTGTTGCCTAGGCTGGAGTGCAGTGGCGCGATCTCATCCCACTGCAACCTCTGCCTCACAGGTTCAAGCGATTCTCCTGCCTCAGCCTTCCAAGTAGCTGGGACTACAGGCATGTGCCACCGCACCTTGTAATTTTTGTATTTTTTTAGTAGAGATGGGGTTTCGCAGTGTTGGCCAGGCTGGTCTCGAACTCCTGACCTCAGGTGATCCACCCGCCTTGGCCTCCCAAAGTGCTGGGATTTCAGGCATGAGCCACTGTGCCAGTGGAGTCTAGGGTTTTTAAGATATAAGATGATAACATCAGCAAAGGGGACGTTTTGATTTTAGTTTGTTTTGTTTTGTTTTGTTTGTTTGTTTGTTTGTTTGTTTGTTTTGAGACAGCTCTGTCACCTAGGCTGGACTTCAGTGGCACAATGTTGGATCACTACAACCTCCACCTTCTGGGTTCAAGCAATTCCCATGCCTCAGCCACCCAAGTAGCTGGAATTACAGGTGTGTGCCACCATGCCTGGGTAATTTTTGCATAGGGGACTTTTTATTTTATTTTATTTATTTTCTATTTTATTTATTTTATTTATTTTCTAATTTAGGTGCCTTTTATTTATCTTGCCTGGTTGCTCTGGCTAGGACTTCTGTTGCTATGTTGAATAAGAATGGTGAAAGTGGGCATCCTTGTTTTGTTTTAGCTCTTAGGGGAAAGGCTTTCAGCTTTTCCCCATTAAGTATGATGTTAGCTGTGGGTTTGTCATATATAGTCTTTATTATTTTAAGGTATATACCTTCTGTGCCTAGTTTGTTGAGAGTTTTTATTATTTAGTGATGTTGAATTTTGTGAAATGTTTTTTCTTGTCTACTGAGATGATCATATGGTTTTTGTCTTTCATTCTGTTGATGTGATGTATCACATTTATTGATTTGTGTATGTTGAATTCTGCCTGCATCCCTGGGATAAATCCCACTTAATTATTGGGTATTAGTTTTCTCATGTGCTGTTGGATTGAGTTTGCTAGTATTTTGTTGAGAATTTTTGCATCTATGTTCATCAAAAATAGTGGCCTGTAATTTTCTTTGTTCTTTTTTGTTGTGTCCTTCTCTGGCTTTGGTATCAGGGTAATGCTGGCCTCACAGAATGAGTTAGGGAAAATTCCCTCCTCTTTGATTTTTTTGGAATAGTTTGGGAAGAATTGGTTAGTTCTTTGATAGTTTGGTAGAATTCATTAGTGAAGTTGTCTGGTCCTGGACTTTCCTTTGTTGGG
Organism: Homo sapiens; assembly: GCF_000001405.40. Taxonomy (NCBI): domain Eukaryota; kingdom Metazoa; phylum Chordata; class Mammalia; order Primates; family Hominidae; genus Homo; species Homo sapiens. The sequence goes on from NC_000003.12 coordinate 56,599,065, forward strand.
AGACTTTTTTATTACCAATTCAGTCTTATTACTCATTACTGGTCTGTTCAGGTTTTCTATTTCTTCCTGATTCAATCTTGATAGCTTGTGTGTCTCCAGGAATTTATCCATTTCTTCTAGATTTTCTAGTTTGTCTGTGTGTAGTTGTTCATAATAGCCTCTGATGATCTCTTGTATTTCTGTGGTATCAGTTGTAATTTCTCCTTTTTTATTCCTGATTTTATTTGGGTCTTCTCTCTTCGGTTCTTGGTTAGTCTATCAAGTAGCTTATTGGTTTTGTTTATCTTTTAAAAAATCTTTGTTTCTTTGATCCTTTGTATTGTGTGTCTCTATTTTGTTTAATTCTGCTCTAGTGTTTGTTATTTCTTTCCACTAATTTGGGGTTTGTTCTTTTCTAGTTCCTTTTAGGTACATCATTAGATTGCTTTTTGAAATGTTTCCACTTTTTTGATATAGGCACTTATTGCTAAAATTTCCCTCTTAGCACTGCTTTTGCTGTATCCCATAGGTTTTGGTATGTTGGGTTTAAATTTTCATTTTTTTCAAGAATTTTTTTAAATTTTTTCCTTGACTGGATGCTTGTTCAGAAGCATGTGGTTTAATTTCTATTTATTGGTACAGTTGCCAGTGTTCCTCTCATTATTGATTACTGGTTTTGTTCCATTGTGGTTTGAGAAGATACTTGATATGAAGTCAGTTTTTTAAAGTTTGTTAAGATTTGTTTTGTGTCCTAACATATGATCTGTCCTGGAGAATAATCCTTATGCTAATGAAAAGAATGTGTATTCTCTTAACTGTTGGATGAGATGTTCTGTGTCCATGTGTTCTCATGGTTCAACTCCCACTTATGAGTGAGAACGTGCAGTGTTTGGTTTTCTGTTCTTGTGTTAGTTTGCTGAGAATTATGGTTTCCAGCTTCATCCATGTCCCTGCAAAGGACATGCACTCATCCTTTTTTATGGCTGCATAGTATTCCATGGTGTATATGTGCCACATTTTCTTTATCGAGTCTATCATTGATGGGCATTTGGGTTGGTTCCAAGTCTTTGCTGTAGTGCTGCAATAAACATACATGTGCACTTATCTTTTTTTTTTTTTTTTTTGAGACAGAGTCTTGCTCTGTCGCCAGGCTGGAGTGCAGTGGTGCAATCTCAGCTCACTGCGACCTCTGCCTCCCGGGTTCAAGTGATTCTCCTGCCCCACCCTCCCAAGTAGCTGGGATTATAGGTGCCCGCCACCGTGCCTGGCTAATTTTTGTATTTTTAGTACAGAGAGCATTTCACCATGTTGGCCAGGATGGTCTCAATCTCCTGACCCCATGATCGGGCTACCTTGGCCTCCAAAAGTGCTGGGATTACAGGCATGAGCCACCGCGCCCGGCTGCATGTATCTTTATAGTAGAATGATTTATAATCCCTTCGGTATATACCTAGTAATGGGATTGCTGGGTCGAATGGTAGTTCTGGTTCTGGATCCTTGAGGAATTGCCACACTGTCTTCCACAATGGTTGAACTAATTTACGCTCCCACCAACAGTGTAAAAGCGTTCCTATTTCACCACATCCTCTCCAGCATCTGTTGTTTCCTGACTTTTTAATGATCGCCATTCTAACTGGCATGAGATGGTATCTCATTGTGGTTTTGATTTGCATTTCTCTAATGACCAGTGATGATGAGCTTTTCTCCATATGTTTGTTGGCTGCATAAATGTCTTCTTTTGAGAAGTGTCTGCTCATAGTCCTTTGCCTACTTTTTGATGGGGTTGTTTTTTTCTTGTAAATTTGTTTAGGTTCTTTGTAGATTTTGAATATTAGCCCTTTGTCAGATGGGTAGATTGCAGAAATTGTCTGCCATTCTGTGGGTTGCCTGTTCACTCTGATGATAGTTTCTTTTGCTGTGCAGAAGTTCTTTAGTTTAATTAGATCCCATTTGTCAATTTCAGCTTTTGTTGCCATTGCTTTTGGTGTTTTAGTCATTTTGTCCATGCCTGTGTCCTGAATGATACTGCCTAGGTTTACTTCTAGGGTTTTTATGGTTTTAGGTCTTACGTTTAAGTCTTTATTCCATCTTGAGTTAATTTTTGTATAAGGTGTAAGGAAGGAGTCCAGTTTCAGTTTTCTGCATATGGCTAGCCAGTTTTCCCAACACCATTTATGAAGTAAGGAATCCTTTCCCCATTGCTTGTTTGTGTCAGGTTTGTCAAAGATCAGATGGTTGTGGGTGTGTGGTGTTATTTCTGAGGCCTCTCTTCTGTTCTATTCATCTATATATCTGTTTTGGTACCAGTACCATGCTGCTTTGGTTATTGTAACCTTGTAGTATAGTTTGAAGTGAGACAGCATGATGCCTCCAGCTTTGTTCTTTTTGGTTAGGATTGTGTTGGCTGTTTGGGCTGTTTTTTGATTCCATAGGAAATTTAAAGTAGTTTTTTCCAATTCTGTGAAGAAAGTGAGTGGTAGCTTGATGGGGATAGCATTGAATCTGTACATTACTTTGGGCAATATGGTCATTTTCACAATATTAATTCTTCCTATCCATGAGTATGGAGTGTTTTTCCATTTGTTTGTGTCCTCTTTTATTTCCTTGAGCAGTGGTTTGTAGTTCTCCTTAAAGAGGTCCTTCACGTCCCTTGTAAGTTGTATTCCTAGGTATTTTATTCTCTTAGTAGCAGTTGTGAATGGGAGTTCACTCATGATTTGGCTGTTTGTCTGTTATTGGTGTATAAGAATGCTTGTGATTTTTGCACATTGATTTTGTATCCTGAGACTTTGCTGAAGTTGCTTATCAGCTTAAGGAGATTTGGGGCTGAGACAATGGGGTTTTCTAAATATACAATCATGTCATCTGCAAACAGAGACAACTTAACTTCCTCTTTTCCTATTTGAATACCCTTTATTTCTTTCTCATGCCTGATTGCCTTGGCCAGAACTTCCAATACTATGTTGAATAGGAGTGGAGAGAGAGGGCATCCTTGCCTTTTGCCGTTTTTCAAGGGAATGCTTCCAGTTTTTGCCCATTCAGTATGATATTGGCTGTGGGTTTGTCATAAGTAGCTCTTATTATTTTTAGATACGTTCCATCAATACCTAGTTTATTGAGAGTTTTTAGCATGAAGGGATGTTGAATTTTGTTGAAGGCTTTTTGTGCAACTATTGAGATAATCATGTGGTTTTTGTCATTGGTTCTGTTTATGTGAATAGATTACGTTTACTGATTTCCATATGATGAACCAGCCTTGCATCCCAGATATGAAGCCAACTTGATCGTGCTGGATAAGCTTTTTGATGTGCTGCTGGATTTGATTTGACAGTATTTTGTTGAGGATTTTTGCATCAATGTTCATCAGGGATATTGGCCTGAAATTCTCTTTTTTTGTTGTTGTTGTGTCTCTGCCAGGTTTTGGTATCAGGATGATGTTGGTCTCATAAAATTAATTAGGGAGGATTCCCTCTATTTCTATTGATTGGAATAGTTTCAGAAGGAATGGTACCAGCTCCTCTTTGTACCTCTGGTAGAATTCTGCTGTGAATCCGTCTGGTCCTGGACTTCTTTTGGTTGGTAGGCTATTAATTATTGCCTCAATTTCAGACCTGGTTATTGGTATCTTCAGGGATTCGTCTTCTTCTTGGTTTAGACTTGGGAGGGTGTATGTGTCCAGGAATTTATCCATTTCTTCTAGATTTTCTAGTTTATTTGTGTAGAGGTGTTTATAGTATTCTTTGATGGTAGTTTGTATTTCTGTGGGAACAGCGGTGATATCCCCTTTATCATTTTTTTTTTTTTTTTTTGAGACAGAGTGTTGCTCTGTCACCCAGGCTGGAGTGCAGTGGCATGATCTCGGCTCACTGCAAGCTCTGCCTCCCAGGTTCACGCCATTCTCCTGCCTCAGCCTCCTGAGTAGCTGGGACTACAGGCGCCCACCATCACACCCAGCTAATTTTTTGTATTTTTTAGTAGAGACGGGGTTTCACCGTGTTAGCCAGGATGGTCTCAATCTCCCAACCTCGTGATCCACCCACCTCGGCCTCCCAAAGTACTGGGATTACAGGTGTGAGGCACGGCACCCGGCCCCCTTTATCATTTTTTATTGCGTCTGTTTGATTCTTCTCTCTTTTCTTCTTATTAGTCTGGCTAGTGGTCTGTCTATTTTGTTGATCTTTTCAAAAAGCCAGCTCCTGGATTCATTGATTTTTTTTGAAGGGTTTCGTGTCTGTATCTCCTACAGTTCTGCTCTAATCTTAGTTATTTCTTGTCTTCTGGTAGCTTTTGAATTTGTTTGCTCTTGTTTCTCTAGTTCTTTTAGTTGTGATGTTAGGGTGTCAATTTTAGATCTTTCCTGCTTTCTCCTGTGGGCATTTAGTGCTATAAATTTCCCTGTAAACACTGCTTTAAATGTGTCCCATAGATTTTGGTACGTTGTCTCTTTGTTCTCATTGGTTTCAAATAACATCTTTATTTCTGTCTTAATTTCGTTATTTACCCAGTAGTCATTCAGGAGCAGGTTGGTCATTTTCCACGTAGTTGAGCGGTTTTGAGTGAGTTTCTTAATCCTGAGTTCTAATTTGATTGCACTGTGGTCTGAGAGACTGTGTTTTTATATCTAGTTTTTTTTGCATTTGCTGAGGAGTGTTTTACTTCCAATTGTGTGGTTAATTTTAGAATAAGTGTGATTAAGTCCTCAGAAGAATGTAGATTCTGTTGATTTGGGGTGGAGAGTTCTGTAGATGTCTATTAGGTCTGCTTGGTCCAGAGCTGAGTTCAAGTCCTGAATATCCTTGTTAATTTTCTGTCTCATTGATCTGTCTGATATTGACAGTGGGATGTTAAAGTCTCCCATTATCATTGTGTGGGAGTCTAAGTCTCTTTGTAGGTCTCTAAGGACTTGCTTTATGAATCTGGGTGCTTCTGTTTTGGGTACATATATATTTAGGATAGTTAGCTCTTCTTGTTGCATTGATCCCTTTACCATTATGTAATGGCCTTCTTTGTCTCTTTTGATCTTTGTTGGTTTAAAGTCTGTTTTATCAGAGACTAGGATTGCTTTTCTTTCTCTCCGTTTGATTGGTAAATACTCCTTCATCCCTTTATTTTGAGCCTATGTGTGTCTCTGCGTGTGAGATGGGTCTCCTGAATACAGCACACTGTTGGGTCTTGATTCTTTATCCAGTTTGCCAGTCTGTGTCTTTTAATTGGGACATTTAGCCCATTTACATTTAAGGTTTATATTGTTATGTGTGAATTTGATCCTGTCATTATGATGCTAGCTGGTTATTTTGCTCATTAGTTGATGCAGTTTCTTCATAGTGTCGATGGTCTTTACAATTTGGTATGTTTTTGCAGTGGGTGGTACCAGTTGTTCCTTTCCATGTTTAGTGCTTCCTTCAGGACCTCTTGTAAGGCAGGCCTGGTGGTGACAAAATCTCTCAGAATTTCCTTGTCTATAAAGGATTTTATTTCTCCTTTGCTTATGAAACTGAGTTTGGCTGGATATGAAATTCCGGGTTGAAAATTCTTTTTTTTTTTTAAGAATGTTGAATATTGGCCCCAACTCTCTCCTGGCTCGTAGAGTTTCTGCAGAGAGATCCGCTGTTAGTCTGATGGGCTTCCCTTTGTGGGTAACCCGACCTTTCTCTCTGGCTGCCCTTAACATTTTTTCCTCCATTTCAGTCTTGGTGAATCTGATGATTATGTGTCTTTGGGTTGCTCTTCTCCAGGAGTATCTTTGCATTTCCTGAATTTGAATGTTGGCCTGTCTTGCTAGGTTGGGGAAGTTCTCCTGGATAATATCCTGAAGAGTGTTTTCCAACTTGGTTCCATTCTCCCTGTCACTTTCAGGTACACTAATCAAACGTAGATTTGGTCTTTTCACATACTCCCACATTTCTTGGAGGCTGTGTTTGTTCTTTTTCATTCTTTTTTTTCTAATCTTGTCTTTTTGCTGTATTTCATTAAGTTGATCTTCAATCACTGATACCCTTTCTTACGCTTAATCAGTTTGGCTATTGATACTTGTGTATGCTTCACAAGGTTCTTGTGCTGTGTTTTTCAGCTCCGTCAGGTCATTTATGTTCTTCTCTAAACGGTTATTCTAGTTAGCAATTTGTCTAACCTTTTTTCAAGGTTCTTAGCTTCCTTGCATTGGGTTAGAACAGGCTCCTTTAGCTCGGAGGAGTTTGTTATTACCTACCTTCTGAAGCCTTCTTCTGTCAATTCGTAAAACTCATTCTCTGTCCAGTTTTGTTCCCTTGCTGGCAAGGACTTGTGATCCTTTGGAGGAGAAGAGGCGTTCTGGTTTTTGGAATTTTCAGTCTTTTTGTGCTGGTTTCTCCCCATCTTCATGGATTTATCTACCTTTGGTCTTTGATCTTGGTGACCTTTGGATGGGGTCTCTGAGTGGACATCCTTTTTGTTGTTGATGCTAATCCTTTCTGTTTGTTAGTTTTCCTTCTAATAGTCAGGCCCCTCTGCTGCAGGTCTGCTGGAGTTTGCTGGAGGTCCATTCCATATCCTGTTTGCCTGGGTATCACCAGCAGAGGCTGCAGAACAGCAAAGATTGCTGCTTGTTCCTTCCTCTGGAAGCTTCGTCCCAGAGGGGCACCCGTCACATGCCAGCCAGAGCTCTCCTGTATGAAGTGTCTGTCAGCCCCTACTAGGAAGTGTCTCCTAGTCAGGATACATGGGTGTCAGGGACCCACTTGAGGAGGCAGTCTGACCCTTAGTAGAGCTCGAATGCTGTGCTGGGCGATCCACTGCTCTCTTCAGAGCCATCAGGCAGGGACGTTTAAGTCTGCTGAAGCTGCACCCACAGCCACCCCTTCCCCCTGGTGCTCTGCCTCAGAGAGGTAGGGGTTTTATCTATAAGCCCCTGACTGGGGCTGCTGCCTTTTTTTCAGAGATTCCCTGTCCAAAGAGGAGGAATCTAGAGAGGCAATCTGGCCACAGCAGCCTTGCTGAGCTGCGGTGGGCTCTGCCCAGTTCGATCTTCCAGGCCGCTTTGTTTACACTATGAGGGTAGAACCACCTACTCAAGCCTCAGCAGTGGTGGGTGCCCCTCACCCCACCAAGCTTGAGAGTCCCAGGTCAACCTCAGACTGTTGTGCTGGCAGGGAGAATTTCAAGTCAGTGGATCATAGCTTGCTGAGCTCCCTGGGGATAGGACCCTCCGAGCCTGACTACTTGCAAGGCTCCCTGGCTTCCGCCCCCTTTCCAGGAGAGTGAACAGTTCTGTCTCACTGGCATTCCAGGCACCACTGGGGTATGGAAAAAAAACTCCTACAGTTAGCTCGGTGTCTGCACAAACGGCCGCCCAGTTTTGTGCTTGAAATCCAGGCCCTGGTGGCATAGGCACCAGAGGGAATCTCCTGGTCTGCGGGTGGCGAAGACTGTGGGAAAAGCACAGTATCTGGGCCAGAGTGCACCATTCCTCACAGCATGGCACATCCCTCATGGATTCCCTTGGGTAGGGAAGAGATTTCCCTGACCCTTTGCACTTTCTGGGTTGAGGTGGCGCCTCACCCTGCTTCGGCTCGCTCTCTGTGGGCTGCACCCACTGTCCAACCAGTCCCAATGAGATGAACTAGGTACCTAAGTTGGAAATGCAGAAATCACCCGCCTTCTGTGTCGATCTTGCTGGGAGCTACAGACCGGAGCTCTTCCTATTCGGCCATCTTGCCAACAACCCTCCATCTTCTAGAATTTTTATAGTTTCAGGTCTTAGGTTTAAGCCCTGAATCCATCTTGAGTTGATTTTTGTATAAGGTGAGAGATGAGGATCCAGTTTCATTCTCCTATATGTGGCTAGCCAATTATTCCAACACCATTTGTTGAAAAGGGTGTCCTTTCCCCACTTCATGTTTTTGTTTGCTTTGTCGAAGATCAGTTGGCTGTAAGTATTTGGGTTTATTTCTGGGTTCTCTGTTCTGTTCCATTGGTCTATGTGCCTATTTTTATATGAGTACCATGCTGTTTTGGTGACTGCGGCCTTATAGTATAGTTTGAAATCAGGTAATATGATGCCTCCAGATTTGTTCTTTTTGCTTAGTCTTGCTGTGGCTATGTGGGCTCTTTTTTGGTTCCATATGAAGTTTAGAATTGTTTTTTCTAACTCTGTGAAGAATGATGGTGGTATTTTGATGGGGATTATGTTGAATTTGTAGATTGCTTTTGGCAGTATGGTCATTTTCACAATGTTGATTCTACCCATCCATGAGCATGGGATGTGTTTCCATTTGTTTGTGTAATCTGTGATTTCTTTCAGCAGCGTTTTGTAGTTTTCCTTATAGAGGTCTTTCGACTCCTTTGTTAGGTATATTCCTAAGTATTTTATATATTTTTTTGCAGTTGTGAAAGGGCTTGAGTTCTTGATTTCTCTGCTTGGTCGCTGTTGGTATATAGAAGAGCTACTGATTTGTGTCCATTAATCTTGTATCTGGAAACTTTGCAGAATTATTTTATCAGTTCTAGGAGCTTTCTGGAGGAGTCTTACAGACTCCTAAGGTAAACAGTTATATTGTCAGCAAACAGGGACAGTTTGACTTCCTCTTTACTGATTTGGATGCCCTTTATTTATTTCTGTTGTCTGATTGTTCTGGCTGGGACTTCCAGTACTACGTTGAAGAGGAGTGATGAGAGTGGGCATCCTTGTCTTGTTCCTGTTCTCAGAGGGAATGCTTTCAACTTTTCCCCATTCAGTATTATGTTGGCTGTGGGTTTGTCATAGATTGCTTTTATTACATTAAGGTATGTCCCTTGTATGCTGATTTTGCTGAGGGTTTTGATCATAAAGGATGCTGGATTTTGTCTAATGCTTTTTCTGCATCTATTGAGATGATCATGTGATTTTTGTTCTTAATTCTGTTTATGTGGTATATTACATTTATTGAGTATGTTAAACCATCCCTGCATCCCTGGTATGAAACCCACTTGATCATGGTGGATTATCTTTTTGATATGTTGTTAGATTCAGTTAGCTAGTATTTTGTTAAGGATTTTAGCATCTATGTTCATCAAAGATATTGGTCTGTAGTTTTCTTTTTTGGGTGTGTCCTTTCCTGGTTTTGGTATTAGGGTGATGCTGGCTTCATAGAATGAATTAGGGAGGGTTCCTTCTTTCTCCATCTTGTGGAATAGCGTCAAAAGAATTGGTACCAATTACCTGAATGTCTGGTAGAATGCTGCTGTTAATCCATCTGGTCCTGGACTTTTTTTGTTGGTAATTTTTAAATTACCATTTCAATCTCACTGCTTGCTATTGGTCTGTTCAGGGTATCTAATTCTGATTTAAGCTAGGAGGGTTGTATTTTTCCGGGTCTTTATCCATTTCTTCTAGGTTTTCTAGTTTATGTGTGTAAAGGTGTTCATAGTAGCCTTGAATGATCTTTTGTATTTCAGTGGTGTCAGTTGTAATATCTCCTGTTTTGTTTCTTAGTGAGGTGTTTGGATTTTCTCTGTTCTTTTCTTGGTTAATCTTGCTAATCTATCCATTTTATTTATCTTTTCAAAGAACCAGCTTTTTGTTTCATTTGTCGTTTGTTTCAATTTCATTTAGTTCTGCTCTGATGTTGGTTGTTTCCTTTCTTCTGCTAGGTTTGGTTTGTTCTTGTTTCTCCATTTCCTTGAGGTGTGACCTTAGATTGTCTGTCTGTGCTCTTTCAGACTTTTTTGATGTAGGTGTTTTAGGGCTATGAACTTTCCTCTTAGCACTGTCTTAACTGTATCCCAAAGGTTTTGATAGGTTGTGTCATTACTGTCGTTCAGTTCAAAGAATTTTTAAATTTTCATCTTGATTTCATTTTTGGCCCAGTGCTCATTCAGGAGCAATTTATTTAATTTCCATGTATTTGTGTGGTTTTGAAGGTTCCTTTTGGAGTTGATTTCCACTTTTATTCCACTGTGGTCTGAGAGAGTGCTTGATATAATTTCAGTTTTCTTAAATTTATTGAGGCTTGTTTTATGGCCTGTCATATAGTCTATTTTGGAGAAAGTTCCACGTGCTTTTGAATAGAATGTGTATTCTGTGGTTGTTAGACTAAATGTTCTGTATATATCTGTTAGGTCCATTTGTTCCAGGGTATAGTTTAAATCCATTGTTTCTTTGTTGACTTTCTGTCTTGATGACCTGTCTAGTCAGTGGAGTATTGAAGTCCTCCACTATTATGGTGTTGCTATCTCATTTCTTAGGTCTATTAGTAATTACAAGTTTGGGAGCTACAGTGTTAGGTGCATATATGTTTAGGATTGTGATGTTCTCCTGTTGGACCAGGCCTTTTACTATTATGTAATGTCCCTCTTTGTCTCTTTTAACCACTGTTGCTTTAAAGTTTGTTTTGTCTGATATAAGAATAGCTATCCTGTTTGCTTTTGGTGTGCATTTGCATGAAATGTGTTTTTCCGCTCACATAAACTTAAAGTTTAGGTGAGTCTCCTAAGAGGGCAGATGGTTGGTAAGTTCTTATCCATTCTGCAGTTCTGTATCTTTTAAGTGGAGCCTTTAGGCCATTTACATTCAATGTTAATATTGAAATGTGAGGTACTGTTGCATTCATCATGCTGTTTGTTGCTTGCGTACTTTGGATTTGTTTTTTGTTTTTGTTTTTTAACTTGTATTTTTGTTTTATAGGTCCTCCTGTGTGATTTATGTTTTAAAGAGATTCTGTTTTGATGTGTTTCCAGGATTTGTTTCAAGATTTAGAGCTCCTTTTAGCAGTTCTTTTAGTGGTGGCTTGGTAATGGCGAATTCTCTCAGCATTTGTCTGAAAATGACTATATGATGCTTAGTTTTGCCAAATACAAAATTTGGCTGATAATTTTTTTGTTTGAGGAGGCTGAAGATAGGGCCCCAATCTCTTCTAGCTTGTAGGGTTTCTGCTGAGAAATCTGCTGTTAATCTGATAGGTTTTCCTTTATAGGTTACCTGGTGCTTCTGTCTCACAGCTCTTAAGATTCTTTCCTTCGTCTTCACTTTGGATAACCTGATGACACTGTGCCTAGGCAGAGATCTTTTTGTGTTGAATTTCCCAGGTGTTCTTTGTGCTTCTTGTGTATGCATGTCTAGGTCTTTAGCAAGGCCAGGGAAGTTTTCCTCAATTATTCCCCTAAATATGTTTTGCAAGCTTTTAGAATTGTCTTCTCCCTCAGGAACACCAATTATTCTTAGGTTTGGTCATCCGAGCTCTGAATTTCTTTCTTCTACTTGTTCAATTCTATTGCTGAGACTTTCCAGAGCATTTCATATTTCTAAAAGTGTGTCCACTTTCTTTGAGCTCTAAATTTCTTTCTTCTCCTTGTTCAATTCTGTTGCTGAGACTTACCAGAGCATTTCACATTTCTAAAAGTGTGTCCAAAGTTTCCTGAATTTTTGGTTTTTTCTTTAAGCTATCTATTTCACTGAATATTTCTCCCTTTACTTCTTGTATCATTTTTCTGATTTCCTTGCATTGGGCTTCGCCTTTCTCTGGTCCCTCTCTGATTAGCATAATAACTAACCTCCTGAATTCTTTTTCAGGTAAATCAGGGATTTCTTTTTGGTTTAGATCCATTGCTGGTGAAGTAGTGTGATTTTTGGGGGGGTGTTGACGAGCCTTGTTTTATTATATTACCACAGTTGGTTTTCTGGTTCCTTCTTATTTGGGTAGGCTCTGTCAGAGGGATTGTCTAGGGCTGAAGAGTGTTGTTCAGATTTTTTTGTCCCACAGGGTGTTCCCTATGTATTACGCTTCCCCCTTTTCCTGTGGATGTTGCTTCCTGTGAGCCTAACTGCAGTGATTATTGTCTGTCTTCTGGGTCCAGCCACCCAGTGAGTCTACTTGGCTCCGGGCTGGTGCTGGGAGTTGTCTGCACAGAGTGCTTATGTGAACTGTCTGTGGCTCTCTCAGCCGTGGATACCAGTGCCTGTTCTGGTGGAGGTGGTGGAGGATGCAGTGGACTCCGTGGGACTCCTTAGCTTTGATGGTTTAATGCTCTATTTTTGTGCTGGTTGGCCTCCTGCCAGGAGGTGGTGCTTTCCAGAAAGCATCAGCTGTAGTAGTGTGTGGAGAGGGACCAGCCATGGTGAGGGCCCTAGAACTCTCAAGATTATATGTCTTTTGTCTTCCGATACCAGGGTGGATAGAGAAGGACCACCAGGTGGGGGCGGGGCTAGGTGTGTCTGAGGTCAGGCTCTCCTTGGGTGGGTCTTGCTGTGGCTGCTGTGGGGGACGGGGATGAGATTCCCAGGTCACTGGAGTAGTGTACCTAGGAGGATTATGGCTGCCTGTGCTGAGTCATGCAGGTTGTCAGGGAAGTGGGGGAAAGCCAGCAGTCACAGGCCTCACCCAACTCCCCCACAAACCAAAGGGCCAGTCTCACTGTGTCCCCCGACCCCCTCAAACGCCTGCAACATCCCCCGAGTCTGTTTCCAGGTATAGGGCCCAGCTATGAAAGAAGACCTCCCCAGCTGCGAAAGAAAACGGCTTTAGTTCTTCCCCCACCTGTGGAGTCTGCAAGCCCAATTCATGCCCACCCCCCACCCCCCACGCCCAGTTCTGGCAAGGAAGCTTCTCGTCCTGTTCAAGTTGTTACAAAGTTCATCTAGAGAAGTAATTCTCCCTGTGGAGTTTTAACCCCTGCTCCTCTGGCCACCCTCCTGATGGATCCCTGTGGTGCCAGGCAGGGATGGGATCCTTGGGGATCCCACGAGCTCCCAGTGTCTTTCTGCTACTTCCTCTACCCATGTATTTCACTGGGCTCGGCTCTCTAACTTGACTCAGCCCCAGGTAAAGTCGGGAGCTTCTCCCGCAAAGACTTTCAGCTTCTCCAGTGGGGGTGTGTGTTCGGGAGAGGAGGGTCTCCCTTTCCCACTTCCACAGTTGGGTCACTCACAGTATTTGGGGTGTCTCCCAGCTCCTGCAGCAGCAGTCTGCTTTCTTCAGAGGGTCCTCTAAGGATTGCTGGTCTGTTCTTGCAGTTGATCTATAGCTAAAATTCACAATGCAAGCCTCCACATGCTGCTGTGTCTGGAGCTGCAATCTAGTCCTGCCTCCCATCTGCCATGGTCCTCAACTCCTATTTCCTTGCTTTTTTACATATTCTGCACCTTGATATCTGCATATCTGGTATAACGATCACTTCTTCCGATTTTTTGAATTTGCTTTCATATCTATGATGGTGGTTGGGTAGGCACTTTGGCTTTGATTCTGGGTATGTGCAGTAGTGTAATCTCTATAGACTTTTTTTTGGCCGAAAACAGTATCTGTGGTATCTGTAATTTCCTTGGTGGCTTAGGGTGCAGTTGTTCGTGGAGGCTGTGGTAAAGTTTTGTTGTGAACGGGGACACCAAATGGACCAGTCGTTAGGTTGCAGGATGCTAGCAGTAGGCTGAGCATGCCTGTCCTTGGGCCCCAGGGCTGTATACACTGGCATCAGTGGTAGCAGGTCAAGCCAGGCCAATTATTGGGCTTCTAGATGGCTTGCTCAGGTGCTGAGAATGGTGACAGTGGGTTGGGTGGGTGAGTAGGTTTTCAAGCCACTGGGCAGCAAACATGGGCAATGGCAGTAGTAGTAGTGGGACAACCCTCTGGGATCCAAGCAGCCAGTGGTGGTGTTGGCGGTGGCTATAATGGGCTGCGTGGGCCAGTCCCCAGACTTGCAGGTGGCATATGAGGGTGGGTGCCAGCTGTGATGGTAATGGCAGGTTGATTGGGCCCATACTCTAGGAGGAGTGCTCAGGTGCCAATGGTGGTGTCCTGGGCAGGGCAGTCCCCAGGTCCCTGGACCAATGTGCTTGGTTACTGGTGGAGATGCAGCAAGGCTGGGCAGACCTGCCCCCGGGTTCCCAAGGTGTTGTGTGCAGTGCTGGCTGTTGTAGGCAGGGGTGGGATGATTTCCCAGGCCACCAGCAGAATGCTTAGGTTGGGGCAGTAGCAGCTGCATTGTAGCTCTGCTACTAGGGAGGGTGGGTTTGCTTTCAGTGGGTTGCTCTTGCAGATGGTGAATGTCAGTGGGGCTCTAGGGATGTGGAGATGCAGGGGCTGTTGGGCCCCAGAGCAAGATGCAGGACCACTAGGGACTGGGCTCTCAAAATAGTGCCATGCTACAGTTCCTTAGGTCTTGGGTGTTTGTGGAGCCTAGTGTGAGCTCCCTCTTGAGCAGTGCTTTCATGTGGTCTCCAGGTAACGCCCTGTTAGTCTTGAGACCCACAAGAGTCAAGGGGCTGTTTGATGGTTAGGATTGTAGGAGTCCTTGATGGGCATGTGGATTGCTGGGGATTGCTCACTTTCCTTTTCCTCCAATTAGGCAGCCTCTGTAGACTCCTAGCTAATCCTGTCAAGACAGGCTGCTTTGCTTTCTTCCTTGCTTTTGATGCTTCCTGTCATGTTGAATTCCACTGTTCTCTGTTAGATCTACGTGAAGTATGATTGTCTACTCATTATTTTGGTTCCCCTCTGTGGAAGAGGTGAGCACTGAATGTATCTAGTCAGCCATCTTGAATTCCCTCCTGCTTAGATTTTTATTTTTGACAATGATTTACGTGATTGCTTATGACTAGAAAGCCATCACTGCCCAGGTAGAAGAGAAGCGCAGGAAGAAACAACTGGAGGAAGAGCAAAGAAAGAAGGAAGAACAAGAAGAGGAGCTTCGCTTAGCACAGGAACGTGAAGAGATGCAGAAACAGTATGAAGAAGACATACTTAAGCAAAAACAAAAGGAAGTAGGTACTTACATTCTAATTGTAACTTTGGTTTTTGTTTGTGTTTTTGAGACAGGGTCTCACTCTTTTGCCCAGGTTGGAGTGCAGTGGTGCAATCATAGCTCACTGCAGTCTTGACCTCTGGGCACAAGTTGTCCTTCCACCTTGGTCTCCTCAGTAGCAGGGACTACAGGCACGTACCAACACATCTGGCTAATTTTTTTGTTGGTCTGTGGAGACAGGGTCTCACTATGTTCAAGCGATCCTCCCACCTCAGCCTCCTAAAGTGTTGGTATTACAGGTGTGAGCTACCATGCTTGGCCTCCTAATTGTAACATTTTAGAATAAAAATGGATATGTTTTTAAAGGAAAAATAACCAGAAGTTGAACATTTCTATTATTTTGAATTGTGAAGCTATGTATGGAAATGTCAGACCTTCACATAAAGTTAGCAAAGAGAGAAGCTTGAGAAAGTTTTATTATTTCACATGATATAGTTCTCAAATGTTATATTGGTTTGGCTTTTTCTGTTGAGGAGGTCAAGATGAATTATTACAGCACAAAGCAAATTACCTATGTGCTTCATTTTTATCTACTCCTAGTTTTTTTGCTTCATTTCTAAGCAATAATTATTATATCAATAATTATTCTAGGTATGTTAAGAGAAATGATTGGCCTATCATTATCCACTTAGGAACATACATTTGCAGAATAATTGGCTGGGATTGATGATACAATTTGTGACTGTTAGAGATCTCTGTGTTAAATGGCCTTTTTAAAAAGTAGATACCTAGTTGGCTAGGAGAACCCTAAGTGGTGCAGACAAGATAGGTATGTATGGTGGTGGTACCATATTTGAGCTAACCTAACAAAAATACTCACTTGCTAAAGTTTTAAAGTGTAGAGCACTTTAAACATTTTCTTGCCTTTTGCTGCAGTTTTCCCACTTGGCAACCTTCACTCCAAAATTGGCTGGTAAAGGGACACATGGTCTGGGTTCCAGTTTCATTGAGTTGATAGGCTGAGCCAGTTACCCCTAGGTAACATGAGGAAATCAGTAAAGTATCATTTGAACCGCAAGAAATGGTCATAAATCTTGTGTTTACCTTTTAAAATCTATTTTTAAATGTAATAAAAGTTTTTAAAACTTTGAAAACTTTTAGTATAAATTTGAAATGGGTAAAAAGAGTTATATTTGTGATTGAATACAGCTGTAGAAAAAGATGTTAAAATGTAAGCTCCAAAAGGGCAGGAACTTTGCCTTGTTGACTGTTGTACCCTTAGTGTCTAAACAAGTGCCTGATACATAGGAGAAGCTTAGAAAATGTTTACTGAGAGGAAATAGTCAAGTCTTTGTATGTTTAATAGATGAATTTAGTAACACATCAATATTGACAGGAAATCATGACTCTCAAGACAAATGAGCTATTCCAGACAATGCAGCGAGCACAGGAACTGGCACAGAGACTAAAACAAGAACAAAGAATCCGAGAATTGGCGCAAAAGGGACATGACACTTCTAGACTGATTAAAAATCTTGGTGGTAAGGGCCTAACCAGAACTTTATTTATAATATTTTTAGAAGATGATTTTAAATAATTCCTTTTTATCTTTGTTTGGAGACAAGGACTCATTCTGTTGCACAGGCTAGAGTGCAGTGGTGCCATCACAGCTCACTGCAACCTCATATTTTTTGTAGACATGGAATCTCGCTTTGTTGCCCAGGCTGGTCTTGCTGCCTTCAGATGACTCTCCCACCTTGGCCTCCCAAAGTGTTGGGATTACAGGTGTGAGTCACTGCACCCAGCCTAAATGATTGCCTATTTTTAATACCTTCAATATACCTACTATTCTTGTAGGAATATCAGACTTTAAACTAGTATAATTTTATAAATAGGAATGCTTAATTTATGTGGAAAATTGCAATAAAAGCAGAACTAAAGGTTAAAATGTGTTAATGTTAAAATAATAGGTAAAATGTGTACTTTTTGTGTCTATTTTTACCGAGAACAATTATTAAATGATCTCCCTAAATTCAGTAACTGATAGGAATGTGGGTACTTTTTGTAAGAAAATTTTTATTGCAGTGTTCATTCTGATTAAGTGAAAATTATTGTATTTAGTTGCTGCTATACATAATTTTTATTAATATTCCTTAAGTGTTGTTTTATCAGGTGATTTCTCTTTGCCAGTTGATACAATACAAATGGAATATAATGCATCTAACATTTCAAATTCAAGACATGATTCTGATGAAATCAGTGGTAAAATGAATACATATATGAATTCTACGACTTCTAAGAAGGATACTGGTGTGCAAACAGGTATTTGTGTGGAAATTGTGGTTTGGTTTAAAATTTACTTAAAGTCATAATTAAAGCAGTTAGAATTAAGTTCAATTTAAAAGTTCAAAAATTAACAAAACTTGAGGTTTTCAGTAAGAGTTACAAAATAAAGGGATAACAGCTTTGTTGAAACATGTCATGTACCACAAAATTTATCCTACAGTTTAGTCTTTTTTGGTATTCAGTGGTGCAACCATTACCACAATCAATTCTAAAACATTTTGATCACTCTAGAAACACTGTACCCATTACTTGCCACTTTCTATTTCTCTTTTCTCCTCCAGTTAACATTCTGTCTCTGAATATTTTTGCCTGTTGTGGACATTTCACGTAACTGGAATTAGACCACATAACGGTCTTCTCTGGCTTCTTTCTCTCTTAGCATGTTTTAAGGTTCATCCATGTTGTAGCATGTGTCAGTACTTCATTCCTGTTTGTCACTGAATAAATATTACATTTATAATACCACATTTTTATTCATGAGTTGATGAACATTTGGGTTATCTCCACTTTTTGGCTATGAATATGCTGCTGTGAACATTCATATATAGATTTTTGTGGATGTACATTTTTAGTTCGAGAGAAGAGTAGAATTGCTGAGTCATGAGTAACAGGTACTGTATGTTTAGCATTTTGAGGAACCACCAAACTCTTCTCCAAAGCAGTGGTACCATTTTACATTCCCACCATCAGTGCATGTGGGTTCTGATTCTCTATATCCTTGCCAGCCCTTGTTATTCTACTGGTTGTGAAGTGGTATCTCAGGTGGTTTTGGTTTGCATTTCCCCCCCAGTGACTGATGATGTTGAGCATCTTTTCATGATTATCAGTTCATAGAAATGGAAATTAGAGTGGTGGCTGCCAGTGGTTGGGAGTATGTGGTTGTTCTTTAATGAGTATAGAGGTTCGGTTTTGTTGAAAATTAATGAAAGAAAAAAGTCTTAGAGGGCAATAATTGTTTAATGTTTTGGGGAAAATTATTTAATATTGAAAATTTTGTTTACAATTTTTAAAAATCATTTGCAACTTTTTTTTAGATGACTTAAATATAGGAATATTCACCAATGCAGAATCACATTGTGGATCATTAATGGAGAGGGACATCACAAATTGTTCATCTCCTGAGATTTCGGCAGAACTTATTGGACAGTTTAGCACCAAGAAAAACAAGCAAGAACTAACTCAGGATAAAGGAGCCAGCTTAGAAAAAGAAAACAATCGGTGTAATGACCAGTGTAATCAGTTCACAAGAATAGAGAAACAAACAAAACACATGAAGAAATATCCTAAAAGGCCTGATTGGAATATAAATAAGCCACCTAAAAGGTATATTCCAGCATCAGAAAAGTACCCTAAACAGCTTCAAAAGCAGAGAGAAGAAAAAAAAGTAAGGAGGCAGATGGAATTGCTTCATTTGGTAGAAAAAAATAATCCTGGGCACCTCTCTCAAAACAGAGGCATTTCACCAGAAATTTTTCATTCATCTCATCAAGAAACGGAGTCAAAGTTGAGGTGGCATCTAGTCAAAAAGGTAAAGCTCTTCCATCTTAGATGATGTGTTGACGTTTCTGGATTCAAAACACAGTTTCTCATACGTATGCTTTGGTAAGGCTGTTCTGATCTGTTTCAGTTTACATTAGGGATCAGCAAACTATATCCCATGGGCAAATCCAGGCTGCTGCCTGTTTTTGGAAAGTTTTATACGAACATAGTCAACTCATTCTTTTATGAATTGTCTGTGGCTGACTTCACACACCAGACTAGCAACAGAAACAATATGGCCCACAAAGCTGAAAAGGTTTCCTTATGCTTATCGAGTCCTTTACACTTACACAACTTCTGTAGATGGATGCTGTGTATTCAAATACCCCTTTAAAACCCTTGTTTATAGTCCACATAGACAGAGGTTTGGGAGATTAGGAACTCCCAAGGATTAGTTTTGACTCTGGAAAAAACTATATCTATTCCATTGCTCAGTCAGTACCTGTTATTCAAATATTACCCTCAGACTATTTCAACAAGTAGCCCTAAAAATATTTGTGGGGACATGTGAAGATGCTATATATTCCTTTCTGCATTTATCTATCCATATTTTAGGAAGAAGAGCCTCTGAATATTCATTCATTCAGCAAGGAAAGGTAAGTATGCATCAGATTAATTCCGCAGCTACTTAATGCTTTCTATGTGGGACAAAAAAGGGATTCAAGATCTGGACAGCATCATATGGTATATGTAGAGAACAATCAGAAAGGGTGTGGCTTCCAGGTGAGGGTTAGAGGTTTAAGGGATAGTGTGGCACTTTAGCAGGAGCTTGAAGGCCCAAGTTGGACTGGGCCTAGGCAGGAATGTAGATAACATTTACTTTTATCTCTAGACTTAACTAAGTGATTTTGATATTCCAGGTATGTCATTAGCAGAATAGGCATTCTGCTTTGGGAGGAGGGATGGCTGGGGGCTGTGAATGGGAAGAAATGACTGATAAGGACAATGAGAAATTCAGTCAGTTAATGAGAGATTTAGAACCATTAGAATTTTTATTCTTTGTGCATGAACCAGCTGGTTTAGTTGTCTCAGAATGGGGCTCTAAAAACAAGTTTCATTCAAATGGTGAGTACATTATTGTATGGTGAATTATCTAAGGAGAAACAGTAGGCTCAGATTAACCAAGCCAGCACTGTTCCTCAGGATCTAGGAATTAAATTTCTCCCTTGTGCTACAGTACACATACCATAGCTAGTGCTAGTAAAAACATAAATGAATACCATTCTCTTCCCCGGTTTTATGGAACAATATTATAGAGTTCAGGCTTCTATGCATACATTCCCAAAGGTGTTACAGGTACATTTAGAATAAAGTGAAATGGGCCAGGCATGTGGCTCACGCCTGTAATCCCAGCACTTTGGGAGGCCGAGGCAGGTGGATCCACCTGAGGTCAGGAGTTCAAGACCAGCCTGGCCAACTTGGTGAACCCCGTCTCTACTAAAAATACAGAAACTAGCTGGGCACTGTGGCGTGCGCCTGTAATCCCAGCTACTTGGGAGGCTGAAGCAGGAGAGTTGCAGTGAGCTGAGATCGCGCCACTGCACTCCAGCCTGGGCAACAGAGCGAGACTTCATCTCATAAATAAAGTGAAATGTGATTAAAGAGATATACTTAATCTAAATACACAATTTTTTACTATTTTTTTTTTAAATAGGTCTCCATCATCACCAGTTCCAGTAGTGAAAAACAGAACCCAACAAACTCAAAATACATTACATTTACCACTAAAAAACAGTAGCTATGAGAGAGAGAATTTGATCTCAGGAAGTAATCAAACAGAATTATCATCTGGGATTTCTGAATCATCCCATTTTATTCCGTATGTTCGAACAAATGAGATCTATTACCTTGATCCCGATGCACCATTGTCTGGGCCTTCAACCCAGGACCCTCAGTACCAAAATTCACAAGGTAAGTAAATATTAAGCATTCTAACTGTAAAAATTGAAGACCCATGTAAACCCCGTCAACAACTTTAAATTCCAAATTAGTAATTCCTGCACTTAGTTCTATAAAGTTTCTTGAATATGTCTTAAATTTTTCTTAGTACTTTCCTAGGATACATACTTATTATAATGACTCCTGACAATATTATATAGCACAGGGCTATGTCATTTTACTAATGTAATTGACTGACTTGTTACTTTCATCTGGCTTTAGACTGTGGCCAAAAACGACAGCTATTTGATTCTGACTGTGTCAGGGATCCACTTCTTAATCCTAACATGGTGAAAAATAGGGATCGACAGCAAGCAATCCTTAAGGGACTTTCAGAACTGAGACAGGTATGAGCTTTTTCAAGTGTAGATATGTCTGTTCTTTATGTGGCGTGGGCGGTTGGGGGAACCTGTTGAACGGTTTGTTTTAAGTTACTTCGGTGCATCCCAGGATTTAACAAAAATATTTCAGTTCCTGTATGTTTGTTAGACACAAATAAAATGGGACTTTCCTAAGACTTGCTTTTACACTGCCGTCTTTGAGTAGTTCTTTCCAGTACGAAATCATCAGACAGTTCTAAAATTAAGACAAGTTTATTGAGTAAAAAAATGCATACATTGGAACGGCAAAACATCAATAAGGCCCTAAAACAAAAAATACAGTTATGCTTTAACAAATTCTTAGCAATGTGGCCCACGCTTTTTAAAAAATTGACGTGTTGGCAGTGTTTGTTAGAACATTGACGTACATCCCAAATAGTAATAAATTCAGTATGAAATTATACGCATAACCTTACTCACCATACTACTTTTTCTCCCAAACTATTGTGACTTCTTTTTGCTCTCTGATTAAAACAAACAGGTAACATCCTTACACCTTTGCTCCATCCCTTGGGCTTTAAAAAGAATGGCTGTAGTTAGTTTTGATTCACTATATACTCTCTGTACTTGAGGAAGAGTAAGCTGTGTTTAAAAGTGCCCTTTTCCATGTCGTCATGTACCAATACCCTCTGCATTTCAAAATGTTGACTCAGATGTTTTTCCCTCTACAGAACTAGAAAATTGTCCCCCCACTTTGGTCTATTTACTCATTTGAAGACAAACAGGGTTACTAAGAGTTTTACATAAGTTATTTCTTTAGAGTGACGAAGTGTTAGTTTACTTCTTGCTTAGTGGAGACAAAAATTGTGAGATAAAGAGGAAGGAATAGGATGTACACATTTACCCATCAATATAGCACCCAGTGTTATTTCAGCAGGACCCTTCTGTTAGCATCTAAGGTAAGGTTAGGACAGTCAAGATAAAATACTGGATGTTGGCCAGGAGCAGTGGCTCAAGCCTGTAATCCCAGCACTTTGGGAGGCTGAGGCAGGCAGATCATGAGGTCAGGAGATCAAGACCATCCTGGCTAACACAGTGAAACCCTGTCTCTACTAAAAATACAAAAAGTTAGTTAGTTAGTTAGCCAGGCGTGGTGGTGGGTGCCTGTAGTCCCAGCCATTCGGGAGGTTGAGGCAGGAGAATGGTGTGAACCTGGGAGGCAGAGCTTGCAGTGAGATTGCACCACTGTACTCCAGCTTGGGCGACAGAGCGAGACTCCATCTCCAAAAAAAAACAAAACAACAACAACAAAAAAAAAACACTGTATGTTAAGGGAGACTCCTTCAGTATCTAAGAGCACTTGGGGGTGGACTGGGGGAGAAGGGATGACTTCATTTACCCCCATAGTTATGGAGTCTTGAGTTCTAAGAAAATTTTCATCCCTATTGATTTTTATGCTAAAAACAGAATCTTACAAATGTGATAGCTATATATCCAAATGAGGTGGTCTAGTACAAGCATTTCTGAAAAAATTTTTGAATGACAAAATTTTATCCTAAGCGATATGTTTTCCAAGTGAATATAATTCTAGTTTAACACAACATTGCAAGTCAGGTGTGCACATTTTACTAACAAACATATATCAATGTGATTTCAGGGCCTTCTCCAGAAGCAAAAGGAGTTGGAAAGTAGTCTCCTGCCTTTAGCTGAAAATCAAGAAGAGAGTTTTGGTTCTTCATTTTAAATGTAGAAAATCAAATCCTTCACATTTGATTTGTGTCTTCCAAATTATAAAATGTGCTCACTGGCTCAACTGTATTTTTCAAATAGCCTAGATTTACTTATTTTTTTAAATGCTCATTAAAAACTTGTATACTATGTAGTAAAATGCTGTACTTGTTCTATACAATAAAACAGATACTTCTTTTGTAAAAGCTTAGTAGTAAAAAAAAAAAAAAAAAAACCGGTTCTTCTGCTCTGTCACCACCTGGGTATTGAAGCCCTATAAAAACACTTTCTACTTACCTTAATATAGTCTGGCGTTGCTGGGACCTCACAGTGTTCTTTCACACTTTTTATGTAACTTAGGAACTGAAATACCACTCATGCATTTGTTCTAAAGTGCCAAAGTTCTGTCTAACTTATTAACACGTCTAGACCCATAACTCCATAACTTTTACTGAAATAACACAAATTCAGTTTAGGCTCCTTCTCTAAATCCTGACATTTATTTGCACTATGACATTTATTTGTAGAAATTGCAATTTTCAAAAACATTTTTAAAAGTTAGCATTAGTAACAAGTTAGTAATTAGTATTAGAGGCAGTAGTTAGGAATAGATACGGGTTTGAAAGCTATCTCCACTGTATCTGTCTAGTATAGCATTAATGTGTTCAACAAATGGTAATTACTACTAAGACCACCTCAAAAATATATTCCCATTATACTTCCATTTTGCTAAAACTAATTTAAAAATCAAATTGTTCAACGCCTTTGATAAACAGAAGCCTATCTTTTGAAATAAAAAATTTAATTTCATTAAATCAAGGATTGCGCAGGTACTGAAAATTATCCAATACTCTCAAAAAGTTACCAGAATTTTAGCAATAGGCAGTTTTTACATGACTAAGCCTAGAGATAAAAAATGTGTCCTATGTACATAGTTTATTATCTAAATGAAACTGCACTGTTAGATAAATCTTGAGGTATCGAGCCAAAATCCTGTAAATATTAACACTGCTATTACTGACTTATACCTGTGTAAACACAGTATACAAAAGCCTACATCAAAATAATTCACTTCAACAAAAGTACTTTATATCAGGTGACATTAGAGAAAAAGAAGTAAAGCCTTTGCTGTTTACCGTCCTCCTGCAAGCATCTGATTTTACACATAAAACAGGCTTCAATTTGAAGCCTAAGTACAGGTAACATACAAAAAGTAAAACTTAGAAGTGCCAACATGAGATAATTCAAGTACAATATATGTTAAAAATATATATTTATTTCAATTTTTAGATGCTTCAACTGTTACAGGCCATCATGATTTAAATAAAAGAAAAAACATTTGAGAAAGAACAAGAACCTTTTGTTTAGAGAATGAAATATAAATTGTTAATAAACAAAGTCCACAACAATCTCTTAAAAAAAAAGTTACTACAGTTATTTCTCTTGTGAATATGGCCTGGAAGAATCACTTTTCCCCCAACTTAAGGGAGGTGGAGATTTATCTCTATCCAAGCTTTCAGTATAAGCAGATAAGAAGTAATTCTCATTTTCTTGAGACTGACTTGATGAAAGGGCATATGGTGTCCCCAAAAATGTCTGATGAGTGAGAACATTAAAATGACTAAACTGATGGGACATATTTAATTGACTATGATAAACCTGAAAGTTACTATATGAATCTTGTTCTGTTGAATTGCTGTTCTCTCCTTCAGAGCATACTATATCAATAGAAGTTCTCTCTTCAGAATCAAGGTAAGTCTTATCTTCTAATAAACTGTTTTGCACATCAGGAGACGATTGCAACTCAATTTGAGTATTCTTTTTTTGATCTGTTCCACGTGATCCTTTGGTCTCTTTCTCCCATATTTCTGAATGAAAATTGCTGCATACTTCTATATGTGAGATTTCATCCCCTGAATCCAGAGACATATCCTCTTCATCCTTTTCATCGTTTTCTAAAAGAGCTACATTTAAAAAACAAAAAGTCCTCCTCTATTGAAATACACAGTTTGTTTAAGTTTTAAAATTATACACTACTCACACAATATAACGCGTCAGGGTCTGCAAGTCCACAATCCCTTAAAGCTTGGTCTTCTGCCACAAGTTCACTTAGTCACAACACTCACACTAGATGTGAATGTCCAGATAATCCGATGCTAAAAGCTTCTGCGAAATGTGTTCACGTTTAATGTTGGGAAATCCCAACTCCCAGCTCCAAAGGGGTTAATGTCAAAACAGCATCTAAAGTTATACGGTAATTCAGTATTTGACAAGACAAATATAAAATAAAATTTTTTGACATCTAGCTTCACTGGATTACTAAACTAGTTGGTTAGCACTAAATGAATGATCATTTCTGCTTTTTTTCATCAAAAACAAAAGTACATCTTTCATTTTACACAGAACCTGGAACCAAAGCAGAGGCCATCTCACAAAAGATTAAAGCTATGACAGCTCTACTATCTTGCAATTAAATTGCTTTATGCATGTGGGGAAATCTAGTAGCTCAATGCTAAATCGCCATATCTGGTTTCCTACCTTTTTATTAATATAACCCCTTTGCTGACAATAGTAACCAATAATGCTTACAAAAACCTCAAAGACAAAATGCATACTCCATAGTATGCACTGTCTACAATATAGGTAGAAATGCATAATCTATAATAACTTACAACTTACACTGGCTACAGTATAATAAATGAGCAGATCTTGTGCATGCTAAGTATTAGAATGATAAATGTCTTGAAACACTTTCCCTATGGCTGTTTATACTGAGGTACGTGGTTTCAAAATGGTCATTTCATTATTTGGTAACAGCAAAACCATTCCTCTTTTTCTGTCTGCGTTAAAGAAAATGAAAACCACTGAAAAGTTACCTGACTGCGACTCAAGATTCTCATTAGCACCAAGCTGTGGAAGGTTTTCTTCTGTGATTGAATTGTGATAGCCCACAAGATTTTTAAAGTTTTGCATGAAGTCTTCAGCAGTTGCAACCACTATTCCATTATCTGTATAACTGGAAAGCATCTTGATGTTCTTCTCTAAATTAAGAAAAAAAGTTTCATGTATGAAACACTTCAAAATATAGACAGCCCCTAGCCCTCACAAAATCTTTTCCTTCACATTTTCAGAATCAAAGCTTAGCAATACCCACCACAGCCCCATAAAATCCTTTCATTCACATTCCTATATTCATAGTAGAAAGCTTAGGAGTGCTCTCTTTACCTGTTAAAAAGACTATGTGTCGTTGCTGTATGTTCTGAGCCTGAAGTCTGATAAGGCAATCCAATTCTGGAGCATTTCGAGTTTGTGAATCACAATTGTGGTATGACAAAATTTCAACCAGATGTTTCTTCTGATAGACATTCAGAAGCGTCAACAGACTTAGAGCTTTAGCATTCAATCTGTGAAATTAAGCAGTTCAGTTTCTGGATCTGTACTTCTAAAATTTAGTATGGAAATTTCTGCTTTAGATTAAAATTCAATTTCTCCACTGAGGCAACTAATGACAACTGCACTGCTTTAGCTCTCTGCCTGATGTAGGGGGTGTGCTTCTTTGGAAAGAAAGAAAGAAGGGATAAGTCCAGGGGTTTCTTGGTCGCGAGGCCTCAGGGCCAGCTATACAGCTTAGGCTAAAATCTCAGCTGATTATTCTACTTACTAAATAATAAATTATGATTACCTTTATTAATTTTGAACTTTAATGAAGGACTTAAAGGGACAAAAACAGTATAAATCCTTCCTTCAAAAAACACAATATATGGACCAGGCCTGGTGGCTCACACCTGTAATCCCAAAACTTTGGGAGGCCAAAGCAGTTGGATCACCTGAGATCAGGAGTTCGAGACCAGCCTGGCCAACATGGTGAAACCCCATCTCTACTCAAAATTCACAATTAGCCGGATGAGGTGGCTCATGCCTGTAATCCGAACTACTTGGGAGGCTGAGGCAGAAGAATCACTTGAACCCAGGAGGCAGAGGTTGCAGTGAGCTGAGACTGCTCTATTACACTCCAGTCTGGGCAACAAGAACGAAACTCTGTCTTAAAAAATAAAATTAAATACACTATTATGGCTCTAAGCTATTTCTTTTTTTTTTTTGAGACAGAGTCTCACTCTGTCGCCGATTCTCCTGCCTCAGCTTCCCGAGTAGCTGGGACTACAGGTGTATGCCACCACACCCAGCTAATTTTTGTATTTTTAGTACAGATGGGGTTTCACCATGTTGGACAGGATACTCTCAATCTCCTGACCTTGTGATCCACCCGCCTCAGCCTCCCAATGTGCTGGGATTACAGGCGTAAGCCACCGTGCCCGGCCAGCTCTAAGCTGTTTCTATATTGCAAGGGACAAGGCAACAAGTGGAGATAAGCTTTTAAAAGTGAATTGCTACAATGAATTAAATACTCAAAAATTATTTAAGCCTTAATTTCCTGAACAGTGTACCATGGAATGTCGTATTTTAAGAAATTTTTGTGGTATAAAGTTTAAGGAAATAATGATTGACACAATGTAAATTCTTTTAACTAGAGTTCTTCATATCCTTTAATGTGTAAATACATTTTATAGACTTTACTAGTAGAATATAGTGTCCCAAACATGCCTGATTACCATAATCATTTATGGAATCTCTCAATTGACTAGTGTTCCAAAGATCACACTTGGAGAAGTGACTTCCATGCATTTTAGAAATTATCTATGTATACATGAATTGATGTCCTACTCACAAATCACTTCACCAGGTCAAGATTAATCCTTGTCCAAATATATGTAATTTTATTAGCTACCTATAAAGTAGTCAGTTGGGAGAGGGCCTGATGTAGTTGGCACATACAGTTCAGTTAAAAAAGGAAAATGCTGGCCAGGCACAGTGGCTCACACCTGTAATCCCAGCACTTTGGGAGGCCGAGGCAGGTGGATCACCTGAAGACAGGAGTTCGAGACCAGCCGGGCCAACACGGTGAAACCCCATCTCTACTAAAAATACAAAAATTAGCTGGGCATGGTGGCGGGCGCCTGTAATCTCAGCTACTTGAGAGGCTGAGGTAGGAGAATTGCTTGAACCCAGGAGGTGGAGGTTGCAGTGAGGCGAGATCGTCCCATTGCACTCCAGCCTGGGCTACAAAAGCAAAACTCTATCTCAAAAAAAAAAAGAAAAAAATGCTGATCATTCCATTTGGATGATTACTCTAAATCCACAAATGGCAAAGATTAAACCAATTTTACCTATGCACATAACAACTTCAGCAAACTTCTACTGAAAAATACTGCTTCTTATAAAGGCTAGAATAATTCAGTATCTATACTCAATTATGGCTGGCTATGGACATCTGTGAAAAATGAACATCCATAATCTACAAACATGGGAAGAGAGAAATATTATGAGTACAATGTTAAAATCAACAACCATTATATAGTTATGTTTCAAAGCTTACCTGCCTAGTTCCTTTAGTTTCTTCTGAAATTTACAGTGGACTTTCCATTGCCATTTTCCTTCTGGAGTACTAAGTTCCTCAAGGAATGTCAAAAAATTTTTAAGGTTCTCTGTTAGAGATAATGAAGTTTGTTTTTAATTCAATAAATAATCATTCCATAAGTGAATTATGAAAGAAGTGTTTTTTCATATTATGTAGAAACACCTACTTTCCTATGTACTATTTTCATTTCTCTTTGTCTAAGGGAGACAGATCTATACATGCCTAAAGCTCTAATAATATAACATCTACACATAAAAAAGAACATGTTGATGACAGTAATACAAGAAGTGATTCAACTGCAGCAGGGGCAGACAGCCTTGCTTTACACCACATTTAGAGGATATTATTGGTCTAAGAGAAGGAGAAAGAAATTTGAGGTAATAAAAGCTCAAGAAAAGACTGAAATGTACTAGTTATCTGTGAATGGCAGAATAAATGGACAGTACATTAAAAAGTATGAGAGTCAGAAGAGGAGTTACGTGCTCAAAAGAACATCATCTTACCAACTGTGACAACCTCTGGGTTTAGAATTGATTCATCAGATACGATAAAACCTCCAGATACAAATAATTCATTGTATGTATGATTTTTAACATCATCCAGGCTATCAACACCAGCAAAACTAACACAGGGGAGCTTCTTTAAAGTCACCAAGCCAGGTATCTGTTTAAATCCCAAAACAAAAAGAGAAACAGATGGAGGGAATGAATTGACAGACTCAAGTGTGAAGGAACCTACAAGAAGTCTAACAGAATGCATTATGGCTCATCTATATTAGTGGATTACCTCTGGAAAGCCACACAAATAATATTCCCAACATTATTTCCCAATATATAAACCAACATTTATGTACTGGGACCTACCACAGACGACTAAGGAAAAGGAGCTTACAATAGACCTGAAAACACAAAATGGACAAAAGCTGACCTCTCTATAACCTGTGAGTACAGTCAGAATTCAGACGAAGGCAAAAGCCTATGTGCTCGAACAGTCAATCAGGAAAGACGTCCAAGATGTAGGATGGAGATAGGGCTCCTAAGACTAGATGGGATACCTCAAAATTTAAGGGAAAAGGGGACTGGTCTGGCAAAGATGGAGCACAAATAGGTTTTTCCTAGGACATACAAATGAAGATGAAAACATTATGTAGTCAGTCAGCAGACCCAATGGCATTCAAGGATTCAGTACTCTTATTAGTCTTGACTACCTGAGTGACAGGGAAGATCTGTGATGTGCAGCAATTTAAAATTTTGCATAGGTACAAACTTGAATCTCACAAGCTGATTCACAGATGGGTCCTTAAGTTTAATCTCCTTTAAAGCTTATTTTAAAAACACTAGTCTGGCAGACAGTAAGATTTTAAAATAAGGGAGTTTTTAAAACCAAAGTAGTGAATTTGACTTAATAGTCTACCTTGTGAATGAAACCTGCAATGTCTTCATTTTGAATAATAATCAATAGTTTATCTAATTTTGATCTTCTTTCCAAAAACTGTTCAGGATGACATTCTGTATTGCCTAATTTGATAAGATATTCCTGTTAAAGAAAAACAACTAAATCAATATTAAAATACTTCTTTGTAAACATCAATTTAACACCAGAAATGCAAGATAAACTGATAAGCTTAACTACTACCATGACATTATTAACAATGAATGAACTTACACTCTAAGAGACCATCAAATCCTTTTTTTTTTTCTTTGAGACAGGGTCTCACCATTGCCCAGGCTGGAGTATAGCAGCATGATCACAGCTCACTGCAGCCTTGACCTCCCAGGCTCAAGCCACCCTCCCACCTCAGCCTCCTGAATACATGGATGGCACTAGGCTCGCACCACCATACCAGGCTAATTTTTTTTTTTTTTTTTTTTTTTGTAAGAGACAGAGTCTTGCTGTGTTGCCCAAGCTGGTCTTAAATTCCTGGGCTCGAGTGATCCTCCTGCCTTGGCCGCCCAAAGTGCTGGGATTACAGGCGTGAGCCACTGCACATGGCCCAAATCCACTTTTCTTTTCTAGAAGAGGAATCTAAAGGTCAGAGCTTCACCAATCACATAGTCACAATGTTACAGAGCTTCACCAATCACACAGTCACAATGTTACAGCACTATGCAAAGCCAGCCAAGTAACAGTGTGAGTTAACAGAAAGAACTGTTAATTAGGCCAGGTTCTTAACCCAGCTCCTTTAGTTATTATAGAGGTTAATGATTAGACTCTAGGTTGACTATAATATCCTATGAGAAACACTTTAAGGCAACCTAGAGTCTAATCATTAACCACTCCCTAGCTCACCTTTTCCTTTCCATTCTAAGTAGGCCCTTGGTTATTTGCAGCAGTATTAACTGGGATAAACGCCTTCAGAGTTAAGAACTTTCACAACCATAGCTCTAATTCACAACAGCTAAAAAAGCATTTATATAGAGCTTCATTATGTACAATGGTATTCACATACAAATTAGCCATTTCTGTCAAGTTTCTGTCTTCAAAGTAGACTTTCCCAACTAGTAACTCTTCCTCCATGCTGGTGAACATGGTACTGCCTTTCACAGGACACAGGCAGACTTTCATGCAGAGTTCCCTTTGCTCTCTGCTTGCTGGTGGAATCCTGAACACTGAAGCAAACTGCAGGATCCTGGAGGTCATATTCCTCATTTCAGAGATTACTTTTAATGTCAGCACAGCTGGTCAGACAGCTATAATAAAAACCCAGCTTACCTGACAACCAGTCTGCTGCTCTTTCAACCTGAAGTGTTACCCCAAAGAGGATGCTGTTGTGCTAAAGCAGCACCTTCTACACTGATTTTGATCCAATCTCTGGAACTTTTGGGCAGATCTCAGACCAGCTTAGTCAGTTAATGAAAAGGTAAATTACCATCTGACATGCCTGCTGGTAATTTTTTTTTTTTTTGAGATGGAGTCTCGCTCTGTCACCCAGGCTGCAGTGCAGTGGCGCTATCTCGGCTCACTGCAAGCTCTGCCTCCTGGGTTCACACCATTCTCCTGCCTCAGCCTCCCAAGTAGCTGGGACTACAGGCACCCACCACCATGCCTGGCTAATTTTTTGTATTTTTAGTAGAGACGGGGTTTCACCATGTCAATCAGGATGGTCCCAATCTCCTGACCTCGTGATCTGCCCGCCTCAGCCTCCCTGCTGGTAATCTTTGATGTCTTCTTACATTAAGAAGCTTTAAGCTCATTTTAAATAAGACAGTTTAATTCACATAATAAATCAGTTTGACTCCAGAAATATATAAAGTTTACATTTTTATTCATAAAGTCTTTTACTGTAGTATTTTTGCTGGAATATTTCCAATGGATACTGATTAAAAGAATTAAAGTTTCAATCTGGTTTTCTATCAGATTCGTAAAACAAAGAATGCTCTTTTATTCTATATAAATGACAGAAATGACTTATTCTATGCCAGATAAATTAAAAGCACAATTAATTAGGAAATGCATCTCCTATCCCCTTAATCTAAATGTAACGGCTGGGTGCGATGGCTCACGCCTGTAATCCCAGTACTTTGGGAGGCCAAGGCGGGCACATCACCTAAGGTCAGGAGTTCGAGACCAGCCTGGCCAACATGGTGAAACCCTGTCTCTACTAAAAATACAAAAAATTAGCTGGGAGTGGTGGCGGGTGCCTGCAATCCCAGCTATTTGGGAGGATGAGGCAGGAGAATTGCTTGACCCCAGAAGGCGGAGGTTGCAGTGAGCCAAGATAGTGCCATTACACTCCACCCTGGGCAACAAGAGCAAAACTCCGTCTCAATAAATAAATAAATTTTTTAAAATGTCAAATAGGTATGTGTTACAAATCCTTTTAAAAAAAGGAGCGGGGGGGTGGGGGGTGGGGGGTGCGGGGATGGAGGAAGTTGGAGTTATGCTAAGCACACCGGGAACTGTGCCCAACCTATTCTCTCATCTAACCCCAAACCAATATGCAGCTAGCTATGCCCCCAAAGAGTACTGTGCTAGGGAACTTGTTGCTGGCTGGTGGGGAAAAGTTGAGAAACTCTACATTCAGTCATGTAGGGCAAAAATGCAACCAAGGAATTCCTAGAAGTCTTATTTCATTTTCCCAAGAAACCATTAGCAATCAGTAAGGAAAGCCCAACACAGTACTCTGACTCATGTAATTTCTATGTTCTTCAGGTCTTGACCAGGTAACATCACACAAAACATGCTGACCTCAGAGATCCCCAAACTTACAGAAGGCTTAGGACATGTTAGTAGCTATAAAGCCCATGGTCCCTCTGCTTCCTCTAATGAAATTCCAGTCATGGTAAGTAAACTCCATAAATGAGAGCAGGCATTTATTTCAAAATCCTAGGCATTCCCTTGAGGAATTAAAATCCCATAATTTATGATTAATTTTACTATTATACCACTAATGTAATTGCTCCAATGTGTTACCATTTACCTACCTACTGGTAACAAACTTACGTATCTATGTCTAAACATACAGACACACAGAAAGGCGTGTGTGTGTGTGTCTGTGTTTTTTTGTTTTTTTTTTTTTTTTTGAGATGGAGTCTTGCTCTGTCGCCCAGGCTGGAGTGCACTGGCGTGATCTCGGCTCACTGCAAGCTCCGCCTCCCGGATTCACCCCATTCTCCTGCCTCAGCCTCCTGAGTAGCTGGGACTACAGGCGCCTGCCCCCATGCCCGGCTAATTTTTTGTACTTTAGTACAGACGGGGTTTTCACCATGTTAGCCAGGATGGTCTCAATCTCCTGAACTCGTGATCCACCCGTCTTGGCCTCCCAAAGTGCTGGGATTACAGGCGTGAGCCACCACGCCCAGCCATCTGTGTGTGTGTTTAAACCAACTATCTAAAATATTAGTCTGCAGCTTCGGTAGAAAAAATACACCTCACAATGAGAAATCTTTCATGACTGAGGAGTCTTTCAAGATTATCAAGTTTCTTGATCAATAAAGGCTAAAGGGAATGTTACATGGCTAGGGTATCAAGAAACACCAAAAGTTTATCATTAGGCCAACCCTGGGCAGTTTGTTTTTCTATATGATTGATCAAATCCCATGAGATAAACCCTGGCAACTTAACTTTTCCTCTCTGTTTTTTTCCCTCCTCTTCATTAAAAATGCAAGAAACGGCCAGGCGCAGTGGCCCACGCCTGTAATCTCAGCACTTTGGGAGGCTGAGGTGGACGGATCACGAGGCCAGGAGTTCCAGACCAGCCTGATCAACATGGTGAAACCCCACCTCTACTAAAAATACAAAAAAAAATTAGCCAGGCATGGTGTGGCACGCCTGTAATCCCAGCTACCTCGGAGGCTGAGGCAGGAGAATCGCTTGAACTTGGGAGGCAGAGGTTGCAGTGAGCCGAGATCACGCCACTGCACTCCAGCCTGGGCGACAGAAGGAGACTCTGTCTCAAAAAAAAAAACAAAAATCCAAGAAATACTTAAAACCTTCAAATCAAGTTTAAAAGGTATGTGCATAAATGACACTATAAAACAAGATTCTAAATTCTAACATAGATCAGAAGTTCTGAATTTACTTGGACTTACCACTCTTTTATTCCACCCTGAGTTAAATTATGAAAATACACAATTAACATTTATTTTTAGAGACAGGGTCTGACTCTATTACCTAGGCTGGCACAATCATAGCTAACTGTAATCTTGAATGCCTGGGCTCAAGTGATCCTCCCACTTGAGCTTCCCAAGCAGCTGGGACTACAGTAGAGTGCCACCACACCTAATTTTTGTTATTAATTTAAGAGACAATGTCTTGTTATGTTGCCCAGGCTTGTCATGAACTCCTGGCCTCAAGCAATCCTCCTGCCTCAGCCTCCCAAGTTTTGGGATTACAGGTATTAGCCACCATTCCTGGCCTAACATTTAAACACAAAACATTTAAATACAAAAAACTTCCATTTTATAGAGGTCACACCAACAAGAGAAGTTTGTACAGCATTACTATTACCTTCTGGTTTAGTTACCTTTATTTCTTTACAGAGCACACTCTCTTCTTCTTCATGAATATAAAATTTCACAGTATTTTTCTGGACGTCTTTCATGATTTTAACCAAACTATTAAATACTTCAGGTTCTAACTGGCTTATAAAATTTGAAAGAGCTGGTTGAGCAGAAATGTTTACATCACTGGGGGATTTTGTTGTTTCTTCTACTGGTTCCCGGGCCATATCACCAGGTACAATATGATCAGAAGTCACCATTAACTCTGTGGCATGTTGAGGCTGGTTCATTTCTACTTCAGTTAAAGCCGAAGTGGAATGCTGCTCATCAGAGTTGGTATCTTTCAAAGGATCACTACACAGTGGCTCAAGGAGATGTTTATTGTTGAAGTCACTTGAGGAAACTGGTATGACATGCCTTTCCAGAGGATTCGATGCTATCTTAGCACCAGAATCGTTAGGACTGACTGGTGGCAAATTCCCACCCTTGGCTGATGCTTTAATAATAATAGTATTTAGCTTCTCATGCAAACCATCTACAAACTCCTGCACACCAGCTTTGGAAGTCTTAGAATATATGAACTCGGAAAGCCGTTTCATCTTCTCTTGTGTTGAAAAGATAGGTGTGGAAACTGTACTGACATATGAAACATTCTTTTGCTTCAAAATCTCTTCTATCTTCCTAGAAAAGAGATTGTACTCTCCTAACACTGTCCTCTCTGTGGTTTCGCTCACTGCAGGCGGCTCTGCCTCTGCTGCTGGCACACACTGCTCCTCCACCTGACCTGTCAACACGTCATCCTCAGTGGTGCCCTTTAGTGTGTCTGTAAATGGAGAGGATGGAAACTGGTAATCAGAACTTCTCTGTCTATTTATTACCCGGGGGTCGTTAGGAAAGGCCTCCTGTGGTGGCACACACACCAGTTGTTCTTCTGGTGATTTCATACCTATACAGGAAGAGTTCATTATTATAAGAGCAATCCAAAAAGATAAGATATGAAAACACAAACCCTTAAATTGGGGGAAAAAAGGGTTAACACACATTTAGAACTAATTATATATTAGAAGGTAAAATAAAATCCTAAAATTCTGGTATGAATTCTATTCCCTATGTGCCCTACTTATGGGATGGTCCTTAGAGTTGTAGCTAGTGTTAACAACTCTGCTATTTTGAAGCGCTCAAGCAAGCACCAATTTGGCATCAATACAAATTAAGTCATTTGCTTGTTTCTGCCTCCCTACCATTCTGTAGATCTAAGTTTAATACACATTTTAAATCAAGACAGTCAATTACATCAGCTTGCTCAATCCCTGTATTTATTATTTGCCAAGTAATATCTACTATGGTAATGGCCCCTTAGTAAGAATTCTGAGTGTAAGGCAATTGTAAGAATACCAAACAGAAATGCTGTGGGAATAACTGCCAAGTTAAAAGTTGCATCTAGGATCTAGGATAATTAATTTTATCTGCTTTCAGACTTGTTCTCACTTACGAGGTTGCTAAGTAGATTTCCTGTAATGTCAGGGACTTCATTTTATCAGGAAATAAAAGGAACAATAATAAGACAAGAGAAGAACATATTTCACAGCTGCACATTTTTGACAGTCCTTTCATAAATATTTTCCTTTTGTTTGGAAATAATTCTAAAAGAAAAGATAGCTATACCTCATTTGAGATACAGATGTTAGCTGATACTAAGGTTAGCTGATACTAATGAGATTAAAACCTTTCACTCTTGACAAACAGCTCAATCCAAAAGATCATACTTTCCCCAAAAAAATCCTAAATTCAAACACAGTATGTTTTTGAAACTACATTTGAAAAAGGGAACTCTAATTCCATTTTTAAGCAACAAGGGGAAAAATATATTTAACTTCAATTTTAGTGTTATATTTTAGGAAAGGACAAAAACTCATGATCTTTGCTTAGAAGACGTATACACAATTTTACCCGCTAAAAAATTACTGTTTTTCTTTAAGCCTTGGCCAACATTCCCTAACAAATTGCTGCTGTAGTATAGGAAATGGTGCCTCTAAATCAGAAAGTCCAGGTACAGGTAGTTTTCAAACTTACAGTGAAGATTTTGCTCACACTCATCACACTTTTCTAAAGGTTTAAATAGCCTCACTAGGAGTCGAGCTTATGACATTCTCTACCAATCCTGGTGGTTATCATGAACCAGTACACTCATTAACTATTGCAAAGGCAATTTGTCAGCACAGTGAAAAGACCCAAGGCGGGTCTGTAGGCGGAGGTGAGAGGGGAACAAAATATCCAACGTGCCAGGATAAGAATTAGAACTGTATGAAATTGATAAACCAGAAAATCCAAGTTTCATAAGATAATTAGGAGTACTAAATATCCTGAGTATCTTAAATCTCCAACATTAAAATGTGCTTTAGTACACATAAAGTGTCTGGAAGGATACACGAGAAATTGGTAACCATGGCTAATATATGGGGAAGAATCTAAGTGTTCCGGGCTGGGGCAGTATTACTTTCTTAAGTATTTTTGGACTTCTTGAATTACGTATCATGTCAAATATCTGATATATTCAAAGAAAAAAAATTGAATTGCATCTCATAAAACATATGGGTTGCGAAGAACTACCTTAATTTAAAAAATTCTGAATTATTTATTAGACATGGGGCCTCACTATGTTTCCCAGACTGGCCCTGAATTTCTGGCCTCAATTCCTCCTGCCTCAGTCTTCCAAGTAGATGGGATTACAGGTACATACCACCACACCCAGCTATTTATTACTTTAAATGCAACAGTGGCTCCCAAAATGTATAGCTAAACAACAACCAGTAAGTTTACTCCTCAAGGGTTATAAATAAAGGGAATATTTTTAACCTGAAATATAAATTAAATCCACATGGAGAATTTTCCATAATTAAAAACCTCTAAACCAAATAGATCCCTTTATAAAATATAAATAATCACAACCTAATTTTATTTTGCACAAATTTCCCTGTATGATTTTATTAAGAACTTAACTGCTCAGGCACAGTGGCTCATGCCTGTAATCCCAGCACTTTGGGAGGCCAAGGCAGGCAGATCACCTGAGGTCAGGAGTTCGAGACCAGCCTGGCCAACATGGTGAAACCTCGTCTCTACTAAAAAAAAAAATACAAAAATTAGCCAGGCGTGGTGGCGAGCACCTGTAATCTCAGCTACTCAGGAAGCAGAGGCTGCAGTGAGCCAAGATTGCACCACTGCACTCCAGCCTGCCTGGGCAACAGAGCAAGATTCTGTTGCAAAAAAAAATAGAAAAAAAAAACAAAACTTAATTATTTTGAAAATATCTTCATCTATAAGTGATTGAAAACACACATACATGTCAATCCATAATAAAGCTTTTGTTGTTGGTGGTGGTGGTGGTGTTGTTGTTGTTGTTGTTGAGACAGAGACTCGCTCTGCCACCAGGCTGGAGTGCAGTGGTGAGATCTCGGCTCACTGCAACCTCCACCTCCCAGGTTCAAACAATTCTCCTGCCTCAGCCTCCCGAGTAGCTGCGACTACAGGCTCAAGCCACCATGCTCAGCTAATTTTTTTATTTTTAGTAGACAGGGTTTTACCATGTTGGCCAGGATGGTCTCGATGTCTTGACCTCCTGATCCGCACACCTTGGCCTCCCAAAGTGCTGGGATTACAAACATGAGACACCGTGCTTTTTTAAAAAAAAACTTATTGCCATTAAATAATTGCAGTATTTTAACTTTTAAGTGAAAGGGGAGTAGTCAGTTCTCTAAAGGCACCATCATTCAGATGTCTACACTTTAGCTTACAAAATATAAAGATGGTATTTCCAAATAAGAGGAATGCAGGTGCTGATGGAACATTCTGAAGCATAAGAAAGATAACTACTAGCCGGGCACAGTGGCTCACACCTGTAATCCCAACACTTTGGGAGGCCAAGGTGGGCAGATCACGAGGTCAAGAGATTGAGACCATCCTGGCCAACATGGTAAAACCCCGAAATCAGAAAAGAATTACTGATAGATGCAAAACATGGACTCCCTGACACGATATTGCATGAAAGTACCAAACACGAGAGACGACATGAGTAGGCTCTATTTATCCTAAGTTCAACAACAGGCAAAACTAATCAGATTAGCACTTACTTGGGAACAAGGAGAGTACTAACTAGGAGAATGTGGAAGAAAATCTTCTGGGATGCTAGAAACGTTCTACATCTTGATTTGGGTGATGGTCATGTACATATGTAAAATTTCAAAAAGCTGTACAATAAAGATCTGTGGCCAGGTTCAGTGGCTCACTTGAGGTCAGGAGTTCGAGACTAGCCTGGCCGACAAGGTGAAACCCTGTCTCTACTAAAACTACAAAAATCAGCCGGGTGCGGTGGCACATGCCTGTAATCCCAGCTACTTGGGAGGCTGAGGCAGGAGAATCGCTTAACCCAGGAGGCAGAGGTTGCAGTGAACCAAGATCATGCCATTGCACTCCAGCCTGGGTGACAGAGAGAGATTCTGTATCAGAGGGGAAAA
Source organism: Homo sapiens (assembly GCF_000001405.40). Classification (NCBI taxonomy): domain Eukaryota; kingdom Metazoa; phylum Chordata; class Mammalia; order Primates; family Hominidae; genus Homo; species Homo sapiens. The sequence goes on from NC_000003.12 coordinate 56,637,532, forward strand.
AAAAAAAGATTTGTGAACTTTCCTCTATGTTATATATCTGTTGTTCATGGTTTCTTTTTTTTTTTAACCACATTTTCCTAGAAGGAGATGGTGAAGATTTTCTTCAAGGAAACTAGTAACTTTAATTAGCGGGGGAGGGGAACTCCCAAAGGAAATAAATAACTACAAAGATGTAGTCATTTCACATTTCTTACAAATAAAAAAACAACACTTTAATTTCTGAAAAGAGTCAGATACAACAAAACTGAAGGAAAATATAAAAAAGATCACCACCAAACTGTAAACAAGAAAACAATGCCTATGACCATCTGCAGAGAAGTTGAATCCACCAAGATCAGACAAAGATTATCTCCTAGGTACCCACTGCCAACTAGCTAATCAATAATATCTGCAACTGTTTCTGAAATCCAAGTTTCTTAATCTTATTTAATCTACCTGCAGAAATTAGTTTTACAATCAGAAGAACTAGGTTAAAAGACTATGAATAGTATACCTAAAATATAAATGGCTTACCCTTCTTGGCTATTTTTTAAAAATTTAAAAAAGAAGAAACCCAGGTTTGGGGGCTCAAGCCTGTAATCCCAGCACTTTGGGAGGCTGAAGCAGGTGGATCACCTGAGGTCAGGAGTTTGAGACCAGCCTGGCAAACATGGTGAAATCCCGTCTCTACTAAAAATAAAAAAATAAGCTGGGCATGGTGGCATGCGCCTGTAATCCCAGCTACTTGGGAGGCTGAGGAAGGTGAATTGCTTGAACCTCGGGAGGCAGAGGTTGCAGTGAGCCAAGGTCACGCCACTGCACTCCAGCCTGGGTGACAGAGCAAGCTTCCATCTCAAAAAAACCAAAAACAAAAAAAGAAGAGTTTATCATAAAATATACTGCACAAATGGCTTAGGAATATATTCTGGTCTTCCCAAATCATATTGTAAGATAGACTCTACTATGGGTGAAGAAAATTTATATAAATATTCGGTGACTTATCTGAACACTCTTTATAGTAAGAATAGTGGATACAACTCAAGTAATGATTTACATATAAATAAATATGGTACTGTCCAAATTTTCTGTAATTAAAAAAATTTAAGTCAATGCCCTATTGATGGAGTATCAGAAATGCAAGTAGCAACTCTGAAGAAGGGCACACTGGGAAGAAAAGCAAAGCAAGCCTTCTCACCTGGTGTTTGTTTCTCACCATGTTTCCCCAGCTGGTCTTCTGGGCTTCTTGCATTCCCTCCTGAGGGAAAGCATCCATTAGACTCTCTTCAGACATTAGTGATACCTACACTAAGCACCTTTCAGACAACCCCAAGTGATAACAATGCAAGCATTCCTTCTTCTGCCTAAAATAATCTGAAGGGTCATACTGGTGATGATGGAATATCAACACTTAAGACATTGTACCTTCAAATGACCCAACACCAAGTATGAAGGTGTCTAAATGAGAAACGGTTAGGATAACCTTCTTATATCAACTACTTCTTTTGTTTCTCCTACTCAAGCTGATGTTTCCACCTCATAAAACAATACTAGGTTCCCTCTATCATCACCTACAGGCCTCCTACCCTCCAGAAAGATGTTAAGTAGAAGATGGTGCTAAAGCCCATGGGAACTCATCAAGTTTTATAAATTCTTCTCAGAGTCCTCGGAAGTCTCAGCAGGTTCTAGTTTAGTTCACAGGCCAGTCTACTTTGTAACAAAAAGTTGTTTGCTGTTGCTATTGTTTTTAAAAGGTTAGAGGTGTAGGACTGGAAAAGACGTATACCCTGAAAATATTTCCAAAAATGTTTAGCTAGAAAAGTGAGTAACAACTTGGAATATTAAGAGTATGTATTTATGTGTGTGTATGTATGTGTTTGCACAGAGAAATTAGAATGCTACCAAAAAAAAAAAAAGATAATATTTCAACATCTGCTAAACTTTTTGCCTCACAGTTCAATAACATTTACATTTGATCATTCAGGCCATTCTCTAAGATAATCCAATTTATTTAAGATAATCCAGTATTAAGAAATCAAATTTCTAATAGATGAACCTCAACATTATCACTTATTAGATGACAGCTTGTTACGGTGAAGTTTAAAGTTTGAGAAGACAGCATTTAATTGGTTGTCCAAAGAGCACCATTTTATCTCTGCAGCTACCTCACCTTATCAAAAACTCAGTTTCTGCCAACAGTCTTCATTCAGCAGTCTGCATGCTAAACTCCATAGAGACAGTGTGTCTTAAATCCCTGTTTTTAAGGTGATTTTGCAGGTGCTTGCTGATGCTGACCAAGAACAGCAACACTCAGTGATGAACACTGTATTACTCAAAATAAGACACTGAAGATGTCAGCACCAATTAAGATGAAGCACCTAGTGACCCAAGAGTGAAATCCACAGAAGATGGAAACATTCAGGAAACTGGTCTCTAAGTAAAATGAAGCAAACACAAGTCCAAGTATACTTTTCTTACCTGTAATTGGAATCAGTTTCCAATGTATTTCAGTCTCTTCAACATTATTTGACTTAGACTGTTGTCTACGAAATCCATGTTCAATGGGAACACTGGGACACAAACTGCAATCTTCAAAATTATTCACGCTAATTAAATTTGGATCCTAAAAATCAAAGTACACACTGAATAGCTTTATTTCCAATTCATTTTAATGTCAAGAATAAACTGTTTTTTCACTGAAAATTCACGTGCTTCAATCTAAACATTACAAATGCGTAAAATCAACATGGTAAAGTTATACTCTAGTTTCAAAATTAAAACATCTTTTCCCTCGAAACATAATTTTATGTTAATTTAGAACAGGGATTGGTAAACGTTTGTGCTGAAGTGCCAAACATTAAATATTTTAGGCTCTGCAGGCCAGACTCTCTAGTCTATCACAGGCAATACCTAAACAAATGGACACAGCTGTACTCCAATAAAACTTTAGTTATAAAAATGGGTAGTGTGCTAGGTTCAACCCATGCCCCCGCCCCCCATCAACTTGATTTAAAATACAAAAGATATCAGAAAATATTAATACAGGTTAGTTCCTCAGTGCCTACCTTACATACCCCAATAACCCTCCTGCCATCATCTTCCCCTTGAAATAAATATCCCAAAACGACATCGAGAAAGAATGGGGACATGCATACAACTTTTAAACAAAGGCAGGGAAGAGAAAATGGAGACAGTAAATGAAGAAATAAGCCCATAGGAATACGGTGCAATCCTAGAACTATTCCCCAGTGATGCAGTGACTGCTTAAGGCAGATAAGGCTACTTCTCAGCTACAAACCAGCACTCTGAACATATATCATAAATATACTGGACACTCTAATAAGCAAGGCTGAGAGTCACTTCAGGGGTAATCCTAAAGGCTGCTTATGTTCCATTCCTATTTGCGTAAGAAATACCAAGTACCTAACTGTCACACTGCTGTACTGAGACTGGCATCCTCATCTGCCTCACCTTTGGGTTCTCTGTTACTGCCGACAGAAAGCCAATGCTTTAATAATTCAACTTCATTATGAAACAATAAGGAATTAACTCCCAATAAGCCATTTCTGACAAATATTAATAGATTGTTCCGCCTAAGCTTTATCACAAGTAAACTGTAGACAATATATTAAGCTTCTAAGAAGGAAGGAAAACTACTTCAGCATTTATCTCTTTGTAACAAGGAATAACTTAGGAAGTACCATCCTAGACAGGCACCTTTACTCAAAAGTGCATTTTATTTCTTTTTCAAAGAAAAAAATCATTCCCTGAAGCATACTCACAGCACCTCTTTCACACACACACTCACAAACACAAAGGTAACCAACAGCTATATGCTTACTTCTTTCAAATGTAGCTTATGGTCAGTGCCCACTTCGCTGGTAGAAATAGCAACAGAATACTTAGATGTTGCATCAACTTCTAGTAATAAGCTCTGAGTACCCTTAAACTGTGCATTTTCAACTTTTGCACAAGTAGGCTGCTCATAGTCTTTCTTATCTGGGGTAGAGTTCAACTCATACTCATGTTTTTGCCTCAGCTCTTCATAGGCATCATCAGTGCTCAATCCTAAGGCTTTGTTGACTGTGTCTGTCAGAGATGCATCAGAATGGCGCGCATTTGCTAGTGTTTCTGATAACCAATTAAACAGCCTATGGATGTCAGCAATGCCGGAGTTACAGGTATCCTGCTGCTGCCGCCTCAAGTCAGCATCATGTCCAAGTGAGCCAATAGGCTGTGGAGACTCTGAGAAAAAGGAAGTCATTGGTTGAAGTTAAGTTTAAAAGCAAGCATAAAACTTTTAAAATCAAATATACCTAAAAAATTATCATAAAGCATTTATGGTCAGGAACTCAACCAATTTGCTTAGACTTTACAAATATTCGCATCACTTTACAAAAAGAATTGTAAAATTTTGCACATAGTTCAAAATTGCTATTAAAGTTTAATTTCCATTGTAATTTAAGCATTCTATCAATAGGAAAATAAGCTCATGCATTAGGTTTTAAATATGTGTATTAATAACTACCATCAAAATCTCAAAGTCAACCAGGTGCTTGACAAGAGATGAAACATTTGTAATTACTATTTTGCCAATTGTTAGGATTATATGTGTATTACACTAGGCTACTAAAAAAATGACAATTTGATTTCTATCTTTTCCATACCTATTATATTTTGTCCTTAAGGCATTGGCTGACACACTTAAAATCTACACCTTATCTTGAATGACTAGATTACTTAAATTCATAATGAAGCTAGGGTATTATAGAGATAAAATCACCCTGAAGAAATCTCCACGAAATTTGCATCAAGAACAAAAAGTATTATAAGAGGAAACACGTTAAGACATGGTTTCATGCATGCACTATAAATCTGTATAATCTGTAACAATCAATATATTTTAAAACTTGTAAAGGGCGCAAACATTCAGAAAGTCATGTGCTTTAATATTGGGGTGGGGTAGGGATTGGGTGAAGCCTGAGTTAGGATTTCAAATTTAAGAGTATAATGTACCACAACAAAAATAAATGTCAGAAACAAAGGAGTGCATACTGTATGACTCTAATTATGTAAACTTTTTATAGAGCAGGCAAAACTAATCTATAAAGACAAAAAGCAGATCAGTAGTGGAGTGGGGTGAGCTACCTAACAAAGAACACAAAGCAACATATAAAAATGTTCTGGCCAGGCACGGTGGCTCATGCCTATAATCCCAGCACTTTGGCAGGCTGAGGTGGGCAGATCACAAGGTCAGGAGATCGAGACCATCCTGGCTAACAAGGTGAAACCCCGTCTCTACTAAAAAAATACAAAAAATTCGCTGGGCGTAGTGGCATGAACCTGTAGTCCCAGCTACTTGGGAGGCTGAGGCAGGAGAATCACTTGAACCCAGGAGGCGGAGGTTGCGGTGAGCCGAGATCATGCCACTGCACTCCAGCCTGGGCAACAGAGCGAGACTCCATCACCAAAAAAAAAAATTCTATAGGCTCACGCCTGTAATCTCAGCACTTTGGAAGGCTGAGGAGGGTGGATCACCTGAAGTCAGGAGTTCGAAACTAGCTCAGCCAACATGGTGAAACCCTGTCTCTACTAAAAATACAAAAATTAGCTGGGTATGGTGGCACACGCCTGTAATCCCAGCTACTCGGAAGGCTGAGATAGGAGAATCGCTTAACCCAGGAGGCAGAGGTTGCAATGAGCCGAGATCGGGTCACTGCACTCCAGCCTGGAAGACAGAGTAAGACTCCATCTTAAAAAAAAAAAAAAGTTCTATATATTGGAGCGGTGATTACACAGCTGTCAAAACTAATCATACTGTGTGCTTAAATAGGTACACTGATATAAACTGTACCTCAAAACAGTTTATGTTAAAAGTTACAAGGGGTGGTGGGAATGGGTTAGGAGGTTACCTCATAAAATGACTGGGCTCACCACCAAATCAAGATCAGGGTGTTTTAAAAGTTAGAATATGGCTGGGCATGGTGGCTCACGCCTGTAATCCCAGCACTTTGGGAGGCCGAGGCGGGCGGATCACAAGGTCAGGAGATCGAGACCATCCTGGCTAACACGGTGAAACCCCGTCTCTGCTAAAAACACAAACAAGTAACCAGGCATGGTGGCGGGCGCCCCAGCTACTCGGGAGGCTGAGGCAAGAGAATGGCGAGAACCAGGGAGGCGGAGCTTGCAGTGAGCCGAGATTGTGCCACTGCACTCCAGCCTGGGCGACAGAGCGAGACTCCGTCTCAAAAAAAAAAAAAACAAAAAAAAAAGTTAGAATACAACCTTGAAATCTCTACCTTCAGAAACAAAGTATGCAAAATTACTTAAAAAGAAATAAGTAAGAAACACCTAAAAATGCAAGTCTGATAGTCACTAGTTTTAGTTAAGCATTCTACCCTTCTTCCTCTGCTCCATTTCTCATTTGGTTTATTATAATTAGTATGGCTTTCTCATCATTTTAATTATTGATGAAGCCTGATTTTTACCCACAACTATTTTTTCACATACACAGAATTAGTTACCAACAAAAACAGTACCAAAAAATAAGTATCTTATTTATTGAGTGCATATAATGTGCTCAGTGACAGGAAATGCAGCAGTTTGTTGTCAACAATGCTTTGGAGTCAGTCAGAACTGACTTCGGATTGTGCCACTAACTTCATAACTTTTGGTAAAGTTATTTAACTTATCTGAGATGATTTTCTCATCTGCAAAATTAGGATAATAATGCCTATCACTCAAGAACTATTAATAAATGAGTTCATATACATAAAGTACCTAGCACATAGTAAACAGAGCTCTCAAGACATGTCACAAGATAAGACAGTATGTGTCAGTAAGTGCTAACAGGTTCAGCACAGATTGCAAATCCAGCATAAACTAGAGGAGACCATTAAGGAGAATAGACAGAAAGCTGAGGAGAATATGAACTGCAAAGATATAAGGCTTGAAAGAAATGGAAGCTACTTCAGGAAAAAAAAGAGGGAAATAAAAGACTGACCATGACATACTCTAGGCAGAGAGAGATGACCCTTAACCAAGACATGTGAGAGAACAGTGGGAAACATGGCTGGACATGGCTAGTCTATAACAAAGCCTTAAAAAGCAAGTATATAAGATGAGATTGGTAGCAAATTAGCAAAGCAATACTGAGAAGAACATGATACTGAAACGGGTGCAAGAAGGTAGTAAGTCAGGAAGGCCACCAAAGAGATAAAGAACACAGACAAAGAGTAACAACATTGCAAAGAGAAAGAGACACACAGGTTAACTAAAGAAAAAATCATTATAGTTACTGCAAAGAAAAGTAATGTCAAATAGAACTTTCTGCAATAATGGAAATGTTCTCTCTCTGTACTAATACAATGGTGTGGTTGTTGAAATGTATTTTAATTTCATTTTAATTCAAACTTAAATAAAAACATATGGCTAGTGGCTACCACATTGAATACCATAACAATAAAAGAAGTAAAAGGAGAGCAGGCTGAGCATGGTGGCTGACGACTGTAATCCCAGCACTTTGGGAGGCCGAGGCAGACAGATCACTTGAGGTCAGGAGTTCAAGACCAGCCTGGCCAACATGGCAAAACCCCGTCTCCACTAAAGATACAAAAATTAGCCAGGCACAGTAGTACGTGCCTGTAATTCCAGCTACTGGGGAGACTCAGGCACGAGAATCTTTTGAACCAGGTAGGCAGAGGTTGCAGTGAGCCAAGACTGAGCCACTGCACTACAGCCTGGGTGACGGAGTGAGATTTTGTCTCAAAAATAAATAAATAAATAAAAAGAGCAGGAAAGTGAAAAGTGAGGATACAAATACAGATTGCTAAGAGCAAAAGTGTAAAAAGACACTGATCTGACTAACCTAGACTAAGACACTGATCTGACTAACCTAGACTAAGACACACTGAATCTGAAGAGACAAGTTGCTTAATAAAAAGCATAAGAATATTCAGTTCTGCCATAATCAGAGGAGCAACAGTAACACAAAACGTGGATTGTTATGTCAACTTTCTATGAATGCAAAAGAACTCATTCTGTGCTTATCAACTAGTAGTGTGAAGATCTTAAAAATCTAGATAAAAGTGTTTTAGCTGACTTGCAATATTGAAACAAACACACTTAAAACAAGCGCCTTACATGTCTATCTTTTTCTGTCAACTAAAACAAAACAAAGGAAAAAAGAACAACAAAAAAAGAAAAACCCAAAGATATTCCTGGATTCTTGGGGTAGAAAAGAGTATGTGTATGCATATTTTATTTTCAAATTCAGAAGGTTCCTTTTCATTATGCAACAGCCTAAAAGATACTACTATTCTGATATTATACTTCTTCAACTATAAAAATAAAGGAATATGGCCAGGCGTGGTGGCTCACGCCTGTAATCCCAGCACTTTGGGAGGCCGAGGCAGGCGGATCACGAGGTCAGGAGATCGAGACCATCCTGGCTCACATGGTGAAACCCCGTCTCTACTAAAAATACAAAAAATTAGCCGGGCATGGTGGCAGGCGCCTGCAGTCCCAGCTACTCGGGAGGCTGAGGCAGGAGAATGGCATGAACCCAGGAGGTGGAGCTTGCAGTGAGCCGAGATCATGCCACTACACTCCAGCCTTGGGGAGACATCAAGACTCCGTCTCAAAAAAAATAAAGGAATATAAAAGGACAAGAGTTCTGATTAGTATTATTATGTCATGTTAACCTAAACCAAACAATTTAGAAATCTGATGTACCAGGGCAGGAATTGTAAAGTGTTTCCTGTACTGGGCCAGGTAGCAAATATTTTAGGCTTTGTGGGCCATACAGTCTCAGTGCCAACTCTGCCATGACAGCATGAGAGCAGCTACATACACATAAATAAATGGGCATGGCTGTATTCAAATACAACTTTCTTTACAAAAATAGTGGACAGGCTGAATTTGACCCTCAGGCTTTAATTTATACGCCCCTCTGCTACAAGAAAGAACAGAACTACTTTATTTTTGGCTGTTATAAGAGCAATCTGATATTTTACCTTCATACAGATGGCAATTTTCAGATAAATTACTGGTTTTGGCGAGCTTTCTCATATTTTCAGGTAGATCCTCAAGCTTCCTCTTCAAGACAGTTTTGCTTCTCATATCTTCTGTGTCTGAGTCCCCACCCACACTCTTTTTCCTACACTGAATTAAATTAATCAATTCTTTGACTCTATCCTTATCATAATCCAAAGAATGAGATGATCTTTGCTTTCCAGATATAATGGCTTCACCTCTTGAGTTATTTCGTTTTCCAAATTTCATTTTTGTACCATTCATTTCTTCTTCTTGACCTTCATAATCTGAAAGTGGACTAAACTGCTGAAGTTTTCTATTTTCTTCAAATAGTTCTTTTAATTTACAAATAGGTAACTGATACACTTCAGGCCGAAAAATATAGGCATGCAAACAAGTATCAATATGGGATTTATTTCTGGGAGCTGAGTATAAGAATTTTTTATCATCTAATCGTGAATCATATGGAAACATAATAAACTCTCGTTTACCTGAACCAAAACCTCGCTTAAAAAATTCACTTACATACTTTTCAACAACAGAATGAAAATTTATGGCGCTTATATTTTTGAATTCCTTTCGACACTGAATCAAAGAAAATTGTAAAAACTGAGCTATTTTTAATACATCTGGCATGCTCTCATGCCTCTCCTGTGGTGCTGCATTGGTTGAACCTTTTTGTGCTGTAAATAAAACAAACAAACAAAAAAGCAAACCATGTTAGCAATCAAGAAACTAATCAAATACAGATCTAAATATTGCCAAAGAAGTATAAAAACATTTATACATTAATGTTGAACCAGACGAGTATGTACCCTAGTACATATATACAATATAGCAAATATATGAATAGCATGCTTGTAAAGTCCAGGATCCTAAAACAGGCCAATAAGAAACTAAAACAAATGAAAAAGCAGAACACATTTTTAAAGGAAAAATCACCCACTCATTGAAGATCTCACTTCCTACTGCCCCCAGGAAATTCAAATAGTGGCAAGCAATATGTAAGAAGAAACAGAGACAGAACAAGATCTGAGGCTCCAAGCAAAACAGTCCTGCATGTCATCTCTTCCTCTTATAAAGTAGTAACTAACTTCACATGAACAGATATGTAGATGCTGAGTAGCCACAACTGAGAAACTCATCCTTAATCCAACAGTGAAATAAAGCCATTAGTGGGAACTTTAGCTTAATACACAGTATTAAAGTTCATTCTTAGAAAAGGTGGTTAACAAATCTTGTCTTATATCAGTGCCAAAAATTCTCATTAATTTTGAATTGCCTAATATTTATCCTGGCAAATGATGCTTTAGAGTTACTAAAATTTGAATGCAAAATTGAACTAAGCTAAAAAATAATCATACAAAACCCTCACAGACCGGGAATAGTGGCTCATGCCTCTAATCCCAGCAGCTTGGGAGGCTGAGGTAGTTGGATCGCTTCAGGCCAGGAGTTCAAGAACAACCTAGACAATATAGTGAGATCCTGCTTCTAAAGAAAAAAAAAAAATTTAAACTTAGCTAGCTGTGCTGGCGCACGCCTGTAATCCCAAGCTACTCAAGAGGCTGAGGCAGGAGGATCACTTGAGCCTAGGAGGGAGGGCAAGGCTGTATGTAGTGAGCCATGATCGCACCACTGCCTGGGCAACAGAGTGAGACTCTATCTCCAACAGAGTGAGACTCTATCTCTAAAATAAATAAAAAGTAACCATCATAACTAAGCTACAGTACTATAACAATTATAATCAAGCTTTATGAGAGCACTGATAAACACAAATTAATTTTTCATAGTTAAAAAAAATCGTCAGCCAGGCACAGTGGCTCATGCCTGTAATCCCAGCACTTTGGGAGACCGAGGCAGGAGGATCACTTGAGGTCAGGAGTTCGAGACCAGCCTGGCCAACATGGTGAAACCCCGTCTCTACTAAAAATACAAAAAAATTAGCTGGGAGTGGTGGTAGATGCCTTGTAATCCCAGCTACTCAGGAGGCTGAGGCAGGAGAATCACTTGAACCTGGGAGGTGGAGGTCGCAGTGAGCTGAGATCGCGCCCCTGCACTCCAGCCTGGGCAAGAAGAGCAAAACTCTGTATCAAAAAAAAAAAAAAAAAAAAAAAAAAAAAATTCATATAATTTGTGTCTTATATTGCTAATACCTCTTAACCCCCAGTATTTCCTGAAACATGAGGTAAGAAAGACAAAATGTTTAGTGAGTTATCTGGAAAATTTCAATGAAATGTTAAGTATCTATAAGTAACCAGATTTAGATATTCAAAGAACTTACAAGTAACTATGCTTCTAGGTTCTTGAAATAGAAACAAAGCATGTAGGACTCGAGACTTGGCAGTCTGATATTCTAAAAAACAGAAGCCAAACTCATTAGCAATGTGTTTTAACTAAAAAGTTAAGAAAGAATTGTAAAAATTTATTAAAGAGAGACCACCTACCATATGGAGGAACCATCTGATAAGGGGAGAGAAGAAAAAGGTATCCTCGGTCTCCCAAAGGTTTAACAAGAACCTGTATTTTGAGGGGAAGGAAGAAGTTGTATCTGCTTTATTATTATTCACCATAAGGCAGACACACAGCATTTTCTACTAATTGTAAAGAAAAAAAGTTCTTAATCATCTTTTAAGAAAAAATATTGCTAATGAATTAGTTAATTCTTTCTACCAACTCTGCTGATTAACAGGATTCCAATCAAATAAAAATTCCTTGGTTTTCATAACATTAATGAGAAAATGTTACTGAAAGAACTCCCCTAACTGCAAAACCACGTTAATTTTTCCCTGAAGCTAAAATACAAGGACCAAGCTAAAGACTTCAATTTTCTTCATCAGTTCAAAAGACATGTTTATTAATGGCCAAGGTAATGTGCTAGATGCTAGATACAAAACATGCTTTGAAACACTGCGTTGCAAGAGTTCAGACTAATCACAAACCCAATGTGTTGCCATAATCTAACTGCACACATATTACATGAACACTTTTCACATGTAAGGGAATTTGCCCAGAGATATCCAAATACAAGCAACACAAGATCCTTGATCACGAGAAGTTTATAATTAGGTAGAAAGAGTACCACAATAAATACCAGTAATTACATAAGACAGAAAAGTTCCCTAAGAGATTTACAAAATAACAGAAATGGAAAAATACAGTTTGTTTACGGTAGTAAAAGATGGTCAAGAAAGGTTTACTGAAAGTGTATCAAAAGTGGATTTTGAAGAATGGGTACACTGACAAGAGCCTGAGATTGTAGGAAGGACATTTCAGTAGAGGCAACACCATGAGCAAAGGTGAGTTGTAATGGACAGTTTACAAACATCACAATATTTATCACTGGCAACAGGGTGAGGACAGACTAGGATAAATGTATAAGACAAGTCGGGAATGAAAGATCATGGGTTAGCTGTAAAAAGACCAGAAGCCAGGCTGGCCAGGAATGTCCTTGAGAGCATATCCCTTTGAGCTACTGTTTCCTTAAAACAACAGTAAGAAAGAAGACTTGACAGCACAGTGCAGGACGCAGAAAAACAATCTAATGCAAAGAATTTATTTCAGGGGCTACTGCAATAGTTCACAATGTTTTGGGTAAATGAGAAACTGAGCATGGCAACTGAACACAAAAGGATATCTGAGCTCTGAAAGAAAACTCGTACTACCTAAATTCCTACTAAAACAATTCCAGTAAACAACGCCTGTATAAAAACTAATAATTCAGAGGACAAAAAGTAACTGTGCTACTAATTCACATTTAATAAAAACATTGTTTGCACACTCAAAAGTAAAGTGGTATTGTGTTTGGGGGTTTCAGGTAGCTTAGTTGACCACTTTCTCCAGGGTCAACTTCTCCTTCAGTTCAATCTGTGCCAAAAATGAGTCTTAGATACCTGGTACTCAAGGAGGTTATTTTAGTGGAAGCAGGCTGGTGGTATGGGACAGATAAAGTCATGGGGTCAGATGACCAAATGACTAGGTCCATCTGAAGACCATTCTAAACTTTGGGGAATCTTTCCCCATTTTTACTGCCTGGATTCCATGAGGGTCAGTTATCAGGTCTTTCTTTTATAAAGGAAGTTCAAATATTCTTGTAAGGGTAAACTTTGTTGTAAGGTTTCTAATAGTTAATCTGTGCTGAGGTGGCCTTGTTTCCTAAAAATCCCAGGGCCAAGGTTAAAAATCCTCAGGCCAAGTTACATCATACTGCTGACATATAGTATTGGCCCTGCAAGATATTTAACTGGGTCTTACGGCTACCATTTATAGCCACGCTAAGTCTCTTAGAGTATACTACAAGCGGACAATGTACCTGAAAATTTTGTTTCAAATACTTTTATCCAAAGTATTTTAGATAATATACTTCTTTTAATATTTTGTTCAAACTCCTAGTTGATGAAATAAAAAGTTACGAAGCACAAGATTTTCATGTTTTGTGCTCACTGACGAAAACCAATTAGATGCCTTTAACCTCTCACTCACTCCAAATACTAGGTTTTATAAATTCCACTACCAGTAACCTAAAGATTCCTGTATTTTAAGGGGGCCCAATGTTTCCAGAAATCCATGGAGTACAAGCAATCTATGATCAGAAACAACACTAAGGCTGACAGAGGCTTCAGCAGTTATATCTGTGGCTTCAGCCCAATGAAATCCATTCAACTCTGCAGAAAAGAAAAATCCTGCAAATTGTGCTCCTGTTGTCTCTATTTTAGCTGTTTGGTTATTCTTAAAAAAAAAAAAAGATATTAATCCAATCTCTGGGGTTTTTAAATTAGTTTATTCTACTATTTTAAATTTCCAGATAACATTAAAGGTATTATAGCACTCCCCCACCCCCACAAAAAAAGAGTTAGTATAAATACATGTACAATGGGCCAGGCGCAGTGGCTCATGCCTGTAATCTCAGCACTTTGGGAAGTCGAAGTGGGAGGAGGATTGCTTGAAGCCAGGAGTTGAAGACCAACCTTGGCAACACAGCAAGACCCCAACTCTACAAAAAAAATTTTAAAAGTTGTCATGTGTGGCGTCATATGCCTATAGTCCTGGCTACTTGGAAAGCTAAGGTGGGAGAATTGCCTGATCCTGAGAGTTCAAGCTGTGAAGCTGTGATTGTGCCACGCACTATAGCACCTCAGCCTAGGCAACAGAGAGTCCTGTCTCAAAAAAAAAAAGCTTAGAAGGAAATAAGCTACACTAAAGTGAGATTCAGCAGAAAAAAAAAGATTCAAACACTCAAAGGCATCAAAAATTGGAATTATCAGATGCAAAAAGGAAAATAATCCACTATGAAATCTTTAAAGACATAAAATAATTGGAAGAATTAAAAACATTTTCAAGCAAAAATGTTTACGCTAATGTTCATAGCACCATTATTCATAGTAGCCAAGAAATAGAAATAACTGATAAAAGAACAAACAAAATGTGGTATTATCTACACAATGAAAGCATACTGGGCCATAAAACAGAATGAAGTTCTGATATATGCTACAACATCAATGAGCCTTGAAAATTATGCTTAGTGAAAGAAGCCAGGCACCGAACGCCACATATTCTTGACTCTATTTATATAAAATGTTCAGAGCAGATAAATCCATAGAGACAGAAGTAGATTAATGGCTGTTAGGGATTAGGAAGGGGGAATGTACAGTGAATTCTGAGATGAAAATGTTCGGGAATTAGATAGTGTTGATGTTGCACAACAGTGTGAATCTACTTTTAAAAAAAACATAGAATTATATACTTTAAAATGGCTAAAATGGCTGGGCACGGTGGTGCACACCTGTAATCCCAGCACTCTGGGAGGCCAAGTTCAAGAACAGCCCAGGCAATATGGCAAAACCCTGTCTCTACAAAACATACAAAAATCAGGCAGGTGTGGTGGTACGCACCTGTAGCCCCAGCTACCCAGGAGGATGAGGTAAGAGGATCACTGGACCCCAGAAAGTCGAGGGTGCAGTGAGCCAGGATCACACCACTGCACTCCAGCCTGGATGACAAAGCAAGACCCTGCCTATTTAAAAAAAAAAAAAAAATGGCTAAAATGGTTAATTTTATGTTATGTGAATTTTATTTCACTTAAAAAATATAGGCAAAGAATACCGGAATATAATGTGCACCTCCTAGAACTCTGCCTGGCGTATGATAGGTACTCACTAAATACTTCTGAAAGACTTAACAAGAACCTGCTATAAAATAACCAGGCAGATCCAAAAAAATTCAAATGTAACTTTTAAAAATAAAAAACATTCCCTGTGAAATTAAAAACACAATAAATAAATAAAGCAACAAATAAGACACAGCTAAATACAGGATTTTTAAACTAGAAGATAGTTATGATGAAGTTACTTAGAATGCAGCACAGAGAAACAAATAGATGGAAAACATAGACAAGGTTAACAGACGTGGAAAATATGCCTCTTCAGAGTCCTAAAAAGACAGGCCAGGCCGGGCGCAGTGGCTCACGCCTGTAATCCCAGCACTTTGGGAGGCCGAGGCCAGTGGATCACCTGAGGTCAGGAGTTCACAACCACTGGCCAACATGGCGAAACCCTGTCTCTACTAAATACACGAAAATTAGCCAGGTGTGGTGGCACACACCTACAACCCCAGCTACTCGGGAGGCTGAAACAGGAGAACTGCTTGAACCCGGGAGGTGGAGGTTGCAGTCAGCCAAGATCATGCCACTGCACACCAGCCTGGGCAACAGAGTGAGACTCCATCTCAAAAAAAAAAAAAAAAAAAAAAAAAAAGAAAAGACAAGCTAAAGAAAATGAGGGAGAAGTACAATAAAAGAGATAACTAATTTTCCAGAAAAAAAGACACAAATCCACAGATATGAAAGGAAAAGATATACCAAGCTGGATAAATAGAAATCTACACCTAGATACTGTAACTGCTAAACATCAAAGACCAAAAAAAAAAAAGATTTAAAAAGTAGCCAGGGGGCGGCAGGGGACCTACAAAGGAACAATTAGACTGAGAGCTAACCCCTAAACAAAAATAGAAGCCATAAGACACTGCAGCATAGTCAAAGTGCAAGAAAATAGCTGTCAACCCAGAATTGTGTACCCAGCACCCAATGATTATAGATTATACATTTTTCTCAAACACAGAAGGAGCATGTACAAAAATTGACCACACAGTAGATCTTAGTCTCAACAAATTTCAAATAATCACCACCATTGTTGATTACAATGCAATTAAATTAGAAATAAAAAAGACAAAAGTATCCCTGTTTCCCTATACACATACCTCTACATCATATATCAAAGTTAAAAAAAAATTGGAAACTAAAAAATAAAAATTTCTTAGAAATGAATAATGAAAATACTGCACATTAAAACGTGAAATGCAACTAAAGCACTACTTACAACTGAGTATTTATTGACTATTTTTCTGACTTAAAGACAGAAATAGCAAAACAAGTCTCAAAAAAGTAAAAGTTGGCCAGGCTTGGTGACTCACCCTGGTAATCCCAGCACTACGGGAGGCCGAGGCAGGCAGATCACTTGAGCCCAGGAGTTTGAGACCAATCTGGGCAACATGATGAAACCCTGTCTCTACTAAAAATACAAAAATTAGCCAGGTGTCATGGAGCATGCCTGTAATCCCAGCTACTTGGGAGGCTGAGGCAGGAGAATCCCTTGAACCCGGGAGGCAGAGGTTGCAGTGAGCTGAGATTGTGCCACTGCACTCTGGCCTGGGAGACAAGAGCGAAACTCTGTCTCAAAAAAAAAAGGCAGAGATGGTATAAGAAAGGAAAATTTCAGGTCAATCTCATTCATCATCACAGATACAAAATTCCTAAACAAAAGCCAAACCCCACAATTTACTTTAAAAGCTGTGGCAGGGGTGGGCGGGGTTGGGGGGTGGTAGTTTCTATACAAGCAATGCAGGGGTAGTTTAATATTGGAAAACTATAAATATAACTCACCTTAGTAGGTCTACAGAATAAATACCATGTGTGATGGTTAATTTTTTAGGTCAACTAGATTTGGCCAGGGAGTGCCCAGGTATTTGATCAAATATTTTTCTGGGTGTTCCTGTCAAGCTATTTTCGGATGAGTTTACAACCAACAGACTGAGTAAAGCAAGCCAACCTCCCTAATGCAGGTTGGCCATATCCAATCAGCTGAAGGCCTAAAGAGAATGAAAGGCAAACCCTAACCCCCACAACAAAAGAATTCCTCCTGTCTGTCTTCCAAGTTGGGATGTCAACTGTTCCCTGCCTTCAGACTTGAACTGAAACATTGGCTCTTCCTGAGTCTTGAGCCTGCCAGCCTTAGAACTATACCACTGGCAGTCCTGGTTCTTGCACCTGCATACTCAGACTGAAACTGTACCATTGGCTCTCCTGGGTCTCCAGCTTGTTAACTGCAGATATGATCTTGGGACATGTCAGCCTCCATAAATGTGTGAGCCAATTCTTTACAATAAATCTCTTTTTACATACCACCCCCACCATAAACTATTGGTTCTGTTTCTCTGCAGAACCCAAAAATACTGTGTGACCAGATTGATAAATGCAACCCCTGACCCAAAACAAAAACCATCTGCTAAAATTCAAAATCCATTCATGGTTAAAAAAATAAAGAAGCAAAGTTTAAAACATAAAAAACTACTGTGGACTTCCTACTTAATGGTAAAATGTTATAAGGCTTTTTTTTCTTTAAATCAAGAAGGCAAGAATGCCCAAAATCACCATTTTTATTCAACTTCTTAGTACAGATCCTAGACTGCACATTAACATGGAAAAAGAAGTAGTATATAGTAGTTCCCTTTTATCTGCAGAAGATATATTACAAGACCCCCAGTGAATGTCTGAAATCACAGATAGTAACAAACCCTATGTTTTTTCTTATGTATACATACCTATAATAAAGTTTAACTTTTAAATTAGGCATACTAAGAGACTAACGACAATAATTAATAATAAAATAGAACAGGCTGGGCATGGTGGTTCATGCCTATAATACCAGCACTTTGGGAGGTGGAGGCATGAGGGTTGCTTAAGGCCAGGAGTTTGAGACAAGCCTGGGCAACACAGTAAGACCCTATTCTCTATTAAAAATTTTAAAAAATAGATAAATTTTAAAAACTAGCTGGGCATGGTGGTATACACCTGCAGCCCAGCTACCCAGGAGGCTGAGGTGGGAGAATCACTTAAAAGACAAGTAGTTCAAGGCTGCAGTAGCTATGATCACATCACACCACTGTACTCCAGCCTGGGCAACAGAATGAAATCCTGTCCTCCCACCAAAAAAATAGAGTAACTGCAACAATATATAATAATAAGGGTTATGTAATGTGGTCTCTCTCTCTCTCAAAATCTTATTGTAATGTACTCACCCTTCTTATGATGACGTGAGATGATGAAATGCCTATGTGATGAGATGGAAGTGAGGCTGATGACATAGACATTGTGATGCAGCATTAGGCTACTACTGAAAACTAATTTAAAACTTATTAATTATTTCTGGAGCTTTCCATTTAGTATTTTCAGACAACAGCTGACCACAGGTAACTGAAACTACAGAAAGCAAAACCAAGGATAACAGGGGACTACTATAAAGATGAGAAGAAAAAAATAAAACCAATCTACCTTCCAGATAATGAATTCTATATAGAAACCCCCAAAAATGTACAAAAATAAACACTTCATTCAAATTTCACATTGATCTGCATTAAATCAATATGTAAGTATCAATTACATTTCTATATATACAAGAAACAGAAAATGTACTAACATGGAAAATACTATTCACGGGCCAGGCATGGCGGTTCACACCTGTAATCCCAGCACTTTGGGAGGTTGAGGCAGGCAGATCACTTGAGGTCAAGAGTTCAAGACCAGCCTGGCCAACATGGCAAAACCCCATCTCTACAAAAAATACAAAAAAAATTAGCCAGGTATGGTGTTGCACGCCTGTAGTCCCAGCTACTCAGGAGGCTGAGGCAGGAGAATTCCTTGAACCTGGGAGGCGGAGGTTGCAGTGAGCTGAGATCACACCACTGCATTCCAGCCTGGGTGACAGAGCGAGACTCTGTCCCCCGCCCCCCCCCAAAAAAAGAAAGAAAATACTATTTACAAAAGCATCAAAAAATGTAAGACAGCTGGGGATAAATCTAACAAAAAATGAGCAAGACTAGTATCCAGAAAATTCTAAAACTCTATTAAAAGAATACACTAGGCTGGGCGCAGTGGCTCACACCTGTAATCCCAGCACTTTGGGAGGTCGAGGCAGGCAGATGATGAGGTCAGGAGTTCGAGACCAGCCTGACCAACATGGAGGAAGTCCCATCTCTACTAAAAATACACAATTAACCAGGCATGGTGGAGCATGCCTGTAATCCCAGCTACTCTGGAGGCTGATGCAGGAGAACTGCTTGAACCCAGGAGGAGGAGGTTGCGGTGAGCCGAGATTGCACCATTGCACTCCAACCTGGGCAACAAGAGCGAAACACCGTCAAAAAAAAAAAAAAGAATACACTAAAGAAAGGGCGAGATGGCCAGGCACGGTGGCTCACGCCTGTAATCTCAGCACTTTCAGAGGCCAAGGCAGGCAGATCATGAGGTCAAGAGTTCAAGACCAGCCTGGCCTACATGGTGAAACCCCATCTCTACTAAGAATACAAAAATTAGCCGAGCATGGTGGCAGGCGCCTGTAATCCCA
This sequence comes from Homo sapiens, assembly GCF_000001405.40. Taxonomy (NCBI): domain Eukaryota; kingdom Metazoa; phylum Chordata; class Mammalia; order Primates; family Hominidae; genus Homo; species Homo sapiens. The sequence continues at coordinate 56,657,214 of NC_000003.12, forward strand.
GCTACTCCGGAGACTGAGGCAAGGGAATCACTTGAACTCAGGAGGCAGAGATTGCAGTGAGCCGAGATCACGCCACTGCACTCCAGCCCAGCAACAGAGCAAGGCTCTGTCTCGAAAAAAAAAAAAAAAAAAGTCAATATAATCTTATTTCGTGTATCATCTCCCTGGGTGAAAAGAAAACTTCCCTGGATTTCTACGTGCCACTGCAAAAAGTCCTAGCCTTCTAATATACAAAAATGTATATGATATAAAGATAAGGGAATGTTTGCTTTCATATCCCCCACAAATATTTTACTCTTCGCATACCTTAAGATTTAGATCTGTAGTCATTTATCTAGTTAATTGCTCTGCTCCACAATAATAAAACTTATTTTATCTCCCTGAGAGCATCAAGTGGGGTAGATTAAGAGATTACAGCAAAGAGAGGTTCCTAGGTTAAGTCCAGAGGTGCCAAGAAGACTATGGAGATCTCCCTAAGCATTTACATTTCAATACAGAATGAGTTTCCAGGAATTTGGAAATGTCTCTTGGTCCAAGAGGGCTAAACAAATGGCTCCTGAAGCGATTTTATTTATATACCAAAGAGTTGGAGTTAATATTCATAACATTTCAAAGAGACACATTCAGGATAGCAGGGAATAGCTGCCTCTTCCCTTTTATAAGCAAATAGAAAGTATTTGTCCCCATCTTTTACCTATGTAGTATGCAGCTACTCAGGACAAGTGGCTTAGGCCTGCATGCCCTAGGGAGTTAAGGACTAAGGCAAAGGAGGGCCAATACATTTTTACTTACTGTGGGGTATTCACAAAATCTGTCTCTGATTCAGAAAACCTTGTGTGCATTTCTTGGACAAAATTTAAAAATCAGTATTCCTCAATGCACTGCTCATTATCAAGAAAACTATGAATAAAGTAGCTATAGACGGAATAATCCCAGTGAGGCCTGCTGGAAAACGGATAGCTACACAAAATTCCTAGGTACATTAGATTCTGGGAGTGTATCCTTGTAGAATGCTAGCAACCTTTAAGATCTAGGATTTTACTTTACTTCTTGATTCTGGAAAAGATCCAGTCTTCCATTAACATAATGTAATACTTGGTCAGGTGAGGAACGAAATGCCATCTTTCCTATCCTGATCCTCATATCAGTAACCGAAAGATATTGTAATTTTCTGATAAACCCCTCATTGTCCGAATTCTCAATACTCACTCTCTGAAACACAAGAACCAAATAGATTTGTGTAACTCAGTATCTCTCCATATCCAAACCTACTATCTCAACTTTCACTTTCTGAACTTGGGAACTGAATAGATTTTGATGATGAGGAATGCTTGCATTGTAGTCAGGCTTTCAGAAGAAAACAAGCCATGTAATACAAACATAAAATTATGTTCATATGCAGTGAGAAAGTAAGAAGGAAGGGCCAGGCGCGGTGGCTCACCCAACACTTTGGGAGGCCGAGGCGGGTGGATCACTTGAGGTCAGGAGTTTGAGACCAGCCTGGGCAACATGATAAAACCCCGTCTCTACTAAAAATACAAAAATTAGCTGGGTGTCGTGGCACATGCCTCTAATCCCAGCTACTCGAGAAGCTGAGGCAGGAGAATCGCTTGAACCCGGAAGGTTGAACCCGGAGGTTGCAGTGAGCTGAGACTGTGCCACTGCGCTCCAGCCTGGGCGAGAGAGTCTGTCTCAAAAAAAAAAGAGAGAGAGACAGAGAGTGAGAGAGAGACTGTGTGTGTGTGTGTGTGTGTGTGTGTGTGTGTGCACGCGTGTGTGTTTTAATTCTAGGACATTTAATTGAAAGGTTTCTAGCCTGTAAGTCAAAGACTCGCAAGGGTTTTATAACTCTGCCTGGAAGTTTTATGTCAATCTGACTATCCCATCTATAAACAACAGACTGATTAAGCACATATATATGAAAATAATTAAATTCTATGTAGCCATTAAACATGAAGTTGCACGTTCTGAAACTCAAAGATATTTGACTGCCATTCGACTACCTGGAAACTGAGGCTCAACAAAGTGAGAAGTAAAAAGTCAACTGTTGTAAAACTTGTATTAAATGGCGCACCTATGCAAAAAAGTTGTATCCCTCTTTCTTGGAACTTACGACCACCATTTAGCAAGACAAAAAGAAACCTTGGAACAGCCACTTCCCTTCTCTCCAACCACCTCCTCGCCTTCAGCTAAACCACATATACTGGCATCACATTCATTTTCCATTCACTTCTCAACCCACCACAATCTGATGTTTGACCCAATCCCTCTACCCAAACTAGATATGCTTCAGTATTAAATTGGACCTTACCTCAGAAATATCCCATAAATCTGTCTCTTCTTGTATCATTACCTTGTCATCCCACCCGCCATCACCCTCTAATGTAATAGTTTCTACCTCATCTCCCCTCAATTTATTCTCGAGTAACTAACGTAATTATTCAAAACACAGATCTTATGTTGCATACACTTTCAAAGTTTCAATGCACACCCTTGAAAATCCTTCAAAATCTGCTGCTCTTAGGATCAAATCCAAATTTCCAAACACTTGAACACTGCCTGAATGACGCTGTATGACACAGGTCCCTACTACTTTCCCCCAACTACTCTAGTGTTCCTTTATCTCCTCAACCTCACTGAGTTTATTGTTCTTGGATTTTCTTTTTTCTTTTTTTTTTGAGATGGAGTCTCGCTTTTGTCACTCAGGCTGGAGCGCAATGGTACGATCTTGGCTCACCACAACCTCTTCCTCCTGGGTTCAAGCGATTCTCCTGCCTCAGCCTCCCCAGTAGCTGAGATTACACCACACCAAGCTAATTTTATATTTTTAGTAGAGACAGGGTTTCTCCATGTTGGTCAGGATGGTCCCGATCTCCTGATCTTATGATCTGCCTGCCTTGGCCTCCTAAAGTGCTGGGATTACAGGCGTGAGCCACCAACGCCCGGCCTGATAATCACATTCTTAATCACAAAGTATAATAAAGATATTCCATGGGGGCTGGGCACGGTGGCTCACGCCTCTAATTCCAGCACTTTGGGAGGCTGAGGCGGGCAGATCACGAGGTCAGGAGATTGAGACCATCCTGGACAACACGGTGAAACCCCGTCTCTACTAAAAATACAAAAATCAGCTGGCTGTGGTGGTGTGCACATGTAATCCCAGCTACTCAGGAGGCTGAGGCAGGAGAATTGCTTGAACCCAGGAAGGCGGAGATTACAGTGAGCCAAGATCACGCCACTGTACTCCATCCTGGTGAGACAGCAAGACTCCGTCTCAAAAAAAAAAAAAAAAAAAAGATATTCCATGGGAAAGACTGGTTTGCACAAGCTCCAATACCATGGCCCAAATAAAAGAATACCAGAACCACAGTAAAACACTGTTAACTAAACAGCAGCAACAGACAGACACCTCATGGTACTTTCAGAGGCAAAAATAAACTGAAACACTAATATGATCACACATGAATATGCATATTTGTAACAAAGAATGAGAAACATTAAAAAACTTTTCACTCACAAGTTTTTCTCTGTCTAGTTTTTGCAGTAAACTCTCCATGTTACTTCCAATTCTTGTCTTTTCCACAACTTCATAAAGGCTGCAATACATTCCATTCTTCAAAACTGACATAAGAAAAATACATAGTAAATATCCAAATCAAGTCTGCTTCTAATGCATTTCAATAAAATTAAATTACCTTACCTTCATTTGGACCTAAGTATGTTTCCTTATAAAACAGTGCTGGAGGGATTTTCTGTTTCAGATGATCAATACTCATAACTGTTTCAACATCTAATTTCTCAGGTCTGAAAGAAAATTTTAAAAACATGTTTGCCTTATCTGTATTTTCAACTCTAGCAATCTTAACACATACACAAAAAAGTACACTTGATGGAAAATAGAAGAGCATATCTACGAATATCTCACCTTATTCTAAAGATCTTTTGTTTCGTTTGTGACAGTCTCACTCTGTCACCTAGGCTAGAGTGCAGTGGTGCGATCACAGCTCACTGCAGCTTCAACCTCCTAGGATCAAGTGATTCTCCCACCTCAACCTCCAGGGCAGCTGGGACTACAGGCATGTGCCACCACGCTAGGGTAATTTTGGTTTTTTTGGGTCTTTTTGTAGAGACAAGGTCTCCTTACGTTGCTCAGGCTGGTCTCAAATTCCCGGTCTCAAGTGATCCTCCCACCTCAGCCTCCCAAAGTGTTGGGATTACATGAGTGAGCCACTGTGCCCAGCAGTAAAGGGGATTTGATACTGGAAGTCCAGATATATACATGGGTAGATAGCTAGCCAGGCAATATTTCCAACCTTCCATCCTTAAGCCAGAAACTAAAAGGCTGTCATTTTATTAAGGACAACTGAAGTATAAACTGTTAATCTTCACATGTTTATAAAGGCCCACAATGATGGAAGCAAGAGATTTTAGACCTTTCTATACCAACATATGCTGCATAGGACTAAAAACAGCCTATATATTTTAACTCACCAAATCAAAGCTCTTCCCAACAAAGAACTGGTAACTTTTAAGTCTACTATATTCAAAATGCTACATAAAAAAATATATCTACTTAGAATAAAACTAAAAAATTATATTTCAGACTTAAATCACTAAGAAAAAGTTTTAGGCTGGGCGTGGTAGCTCACGCCTGTAATCCCAACACTTCGTGAGGCCAAGGCGGGAGGATCATATGAGGTCAGGAGTTCGAGACCAGACTGACTGACATGGCAAAAGCCCCGTCTCTACTAAAAATACAAAAAAAAATTAGCTGGGTATGGTGGCAGGACCCTGTAATCCCAGCTACTCAGGAGGCTGAGATGGGAGAATCGCTTGAACCCGGGAGGCGAAGGTTGCAGCGAGCCGAGATTGCACCACTGCACTCTAGACTGAGTGACAAGAGCGAAACTCCGTCTCAAAAAAAAAAAAAAAAGATAAAGTTTTATACCGTAAATGTACTGACTAGCCTATCCTCAAATCAAGACAGAGACGTAGAGGACTCATATTGCCAAATCACGTAATTTCAAATCAACCATTTAAAAAACAAACCAACATTTATATTGAAGTTCTTATGAACCAAAATAAAATTTAAATATGAAAAAGAAATAAGGAAAAAGGCTCAAGAAAGTGATAAAATTAGCAACCACGAACTGCTCTTTACTTATACTTACAGTTTGATAGGCAAAAAAGCACGAGTGGCTGACCTCAGAGAAATATAACACAAAAGTTTTCCTTTATTTAAAAGCTGTCCTTTCCACAAGGTATAGTTATATTTATCTAAATAAAAAGAATATAATGACACAGCTTAGTCACTTGGCAGCCCAGAGAAGTGAGTGCACATTTATTAGAAATGAGACGGAAAATATCTAGAAACAAGGTTTAAGTAGGAGGGCAAAAAAAAAAAAACAGTGACTCTTCTACACTTCTATTTACTAACAGTTCAAATATTAGGATTTTTGTTTCAGGTATTTATCCCCTACAAAATCATTCCAGTTGCAAAGAATAACAAATGTATCTGTCTAAATGTCATTATCAGAAAAGTTGGGGAGCAAAGACAAGATAATTATTCATCTCTTATTTCCTCCAAAGGGACACTGTATGAAATCTGGTTGATTATATGAATGCCTACAGTGTCCTGTATCTTCTACTCATTGTGTTTTCATTATAAAGAAACTTTAAAATAGGCTGGGCATGGTGGCTCACACCTGTAACCCCAGCACTTTGGGAGGCCGAGGCGGGTGGATCACTTAAGGTTAGGAGTTCGAGACCAGCCTGGCCAACTTGGTGAAACCCCAACTCTACTAAAAATACAAAAAATTAGCCGGGTGTGGTGGTGGGCGCCTGTAATCCTAGCTACTCAGGAGAAGGCTGAGGCTGGAGAATCGCTGGAACCCAGGAGGCAGAGGTTGCAGTGAGCCGAGATCACGCCACTGCACCCCAGCCTGGGCGAGAGTAAGACTCTGTCTCAGAAAAGAAAAAAAAACAAAGAAACTTTAAAATAGTTTAATGTCAATGCTACTTTCAATCTTCTCTAATTCTAAGTCCTACACCTCTGGTGAATTTAATACTTTTAAAAAGCTGAGTTATGAAACCTGTTTTATTTTTTATCTTTTTCTATTAAAGTGCTAAAACCTTTCAGTCTATTCACAGTAGCAGATTTTCAAAGGAGATCTTATGCTTGGACAACCAAATGCGCTGATGCTACATTATAACTTTTCATACTTTGCAGATTTTCATTCATTATAAAAATAATACAAAGCACTTAATCTTTTGCTATATGTACTTATTCTTTCCATTTATAAAACTAAAGAAACATAAATCTCTTACCTATGTTTCTATCTGTATTAAAGCTGTTAGATCTACAAATTTTTTAAAAGAAAAGAAAAACATTACTCATTAGTATAATCATAAAAATTAACATGTAAGATGATATAAGTGCAATTTTTAATGGCATACTACAGTTAAGTCCTTCCTCCAGGTAGGAAGAACAAAGAAATTACTCATTACAAAGTCTAGTAAATCCAAGTCTACTTAGAGAAAACAGAAGTACTTACTTCGCTCAAATTACCACATTTACCCAAATTTAAGGGAGTTGTTTTTTCCAAAAATATTAACCAAGAGAGAACAGTGTCCACCAAAGTCTCTTGTCAATTATTTTGCTGACATTAGAAGACACAGCCTCAATATATAAATATATTAATTCATCATTCAGTAAATACATACTAAGCTCTTATTTACCAGGCACAGTTCTAGGTAATAGGATTATAGAGATAAACAGAACAAAGTTCCAACCTACATAAATCTAATGAGGAAGACAGAAAACAATGATATATAACAGATCATGATGGTTTTCAGTGCTATAAAAAGAGACATAAGAGTATAGAGGTAAAAAAAAAAAACAGAGAAACCTCAATCATAAGGAAATACGTGAAGAAATGTAGAATGAATTATGCAGCTTACTGGGGAAAGTGAGAGAACAGCAAATGCAGAGGCCCTGAAGCAGGAGCATTCATGGAATATTCAAGGTACAAGGATGGATGTTCACTCAATGCTCCTTTGAAATGATATAGAGGTCAAGAGATGGAATCAAAGAGGAGGCAAAGAAATTAACAGTCATTATTCCTGGGGGCATGACCTCATAATTTTAAGTGCTGGATGTCTTTTAAAGAGTACTTATGAAAACACTGTAGTGAAAGTATGTATCACAGTGATCATAAATTTAGAGCCACAAAAAATGAAAGCCACAACTGTCTGGATACTATGTCAATTGGTACCTGTGGCTATAGATGGTTTCCAAGGATTATTCACCTACATAAAAGGACCGTAAATGGAAGAGAAGATAATTTGATCTGGAAAACTGACAAAGAGGTCAACCTCAAAAATGTACATATATGTTTCATGATATATGGTTTTAGAACAGCAGTATTTCTAAATTAATAGATATCATACATGACTTCAAATATGTATACACACCCAAAGTAAAAAATGAGCAGACATTTGACCATCTCACCTACATCCCTATAAATATACTTATTCCATTTGGCTAAAGCATTTTTAGAATCAACACATGGGGAAAAAAAATGGTAACTGCTTCCTATTTGGTCACCTTATACTAGAGCTTTTAAGAAATACTCAGTAACACAAGAACAGAAAACCAAAAAAAAGGAAAGAAATCATCAGGCCAAGTGTGGCAGCTCATGCCTATAATCCTAGTGCTCTGGAATACCAAGGCAGGAGAACTGCTTGAGGCCAGGAGTTTGAGACCAGCCTGGCCAACACAGCAAGACCCATTTCCATGAAAACTAAAAATAAACCAGACATGATGGTGCATGCCTGTAGTCCCAGCTACTTGGGAGGATCGCTTGCACACAGGGGTTTGAGGCTGCAGCAAGCTATGACTGCACCGCTTTACTCACTACAGCCTGGGCAACAGAGCAAGACTTTGTCTCTAAAGAGGAAAAAAAAAGAAACAGAGGGTCCTCAACACTGGCTGAAAATCAGAATCACCTGGAAGCTTTTAAAAACTATCAATGCCTTGACTGCCCACTAAATATTTGATTGGTTTGTGGTGAGGCATGAGCATCCTTTGTAGAAGCTCCCCATTTCCAAGGGTGCTAATACACAAAATCTCACTTTTTTGTTGTTGTTGTTGTTTAAATACAGACGAAGTCTTGCTCTGTCACCCAGGCTGTAGTGCAGTGGTGCGATCACAGCTCACTGCCAACCTCCACCGCCCAGGTTCAAGCGATTCTCTTGCTTCAGCCTCCCAAGTAGCTAGGACTACAGGCACGTACCACCACATCCAGCTAATTTTTTTGTAGTTTTAGTAGAGACACAGTTTCACCATGTTGGCCAGGCTGTTCTTGAACTCCTGACCTCAGGTGATCCACCCACCTCGTCCTCCCAAAGTGCTGGAATTACAGGCATGAGCCACTGCGCCTGGCCAAAATCTCACTTTTTAAAACTGCCACTTACTGGCCAGGTGCGGTGGCTGACGCCTGTAATCCCAGCACTTTGGGAGGTCGAGGCAGTAAGATCCCGAGGTCAGGAGATCAAGACCATCCTGGGTAACACAGTGAAACCCCGTCTCTACTAAAAATACAAAAAAATTAGCCAGGCATGGTGGTATGTGCCTGTAGTCCCAGCTACTCGGGAGGCTGAGGCAGAATGGCGTGAACCCGGGAGGCGGAGCTTGCAGTGAGCCGAGATCCTGCCAATGCACTCCAGCCTGGGGGACAGAGAGAGACTCCATCTCAAAACAAACAAAACCTGCCACTTACTCAACTACACAAACCTTCATTTCTAAGGAAGAGATTAGCGAGATGAGGTTTAAATTTTAGCTTGTATTTATTTCCACATGGTAAACTGTCTGTTCTTCACACCGACCATTTAAAAGTCATTGTAAACACTTCAGTCTCCAACCAACTTCAAGGGAAGTTAAAAAAAAAAAAATGGGAAGGAAACAAAATGGTCCTCCTAACTCAGTAGTACAGGATCTGTAGTAGAATTATCACTGCGGATGATGTCTAAAACTCCTAAGTCTTACCTTGATGAAGGTACAAACTTCGGAGTTTGTATATCATCTTTGTAAGTAAAAGACACAACTGCATATGGACAAACGTGTCTTGGTCTTCGCCTTAGCTCATCAAAGCCATACTCATAAAAATAATACTAAAAATAAGAAAATGAAAAATTAACTTCTTTAAAAAGGCAAGGTGAAACCTTATATTTAACTGCCTGATTTCTGAGAAATAGAAAACCATATATGCACTTCTGACAAAAAATGTCTTTAAGCTCTGCGTGCCAATTTAACTAAAATAATTAGTACTTTGTATTCATTTTGTGATATAAAATATTCTGCATCTAAGTGCGTAAGATCCCAGAGTATTACTAACTATTCCAAAAGTTTACTTCTGAAGAGTTGACCACCGGGAGTTTCCTAATAAAAATATTATAAACAGAGCCTAAGCTCCCAGGTCAGCTCAGAATAGCCAATCTAATACAAAAAGCAAAATACTAAGAACACAATCTCAACTAAACCAAACTATGGTTTTGCTATTTCAAAAGAAAAACACACCTGGGCTCCAATTGCAAACAAAGTAGCAAAGGGAGATACGGAAAAGAATCTGAACATAGGTGACAAAGATAGCCTTCCCTCTTCCCATTACCCATCAGTCTTTCCCCTTCACCTCTTCACCACATTCAGTATAGTACAGTTTTGTAACTTTCAGAGTAGTGATTTTCACTTTAAGAATGCCTGAGTTTATGAACAAAGTAGTACAGTTCTTCAAAGTCCATTCCCCTGGGAAACTATTGATTTCAATAATGTTGTTATTGCTCTAAAAATGGCTGGAGTTTTTAAAAAACGTAAGGCCAGTTTGCAAGTCCTTCTAGAAAAGCCAATAACTATCTTACATGTATACTTCACACCTACCAATATTGCTACTGTCCAGAGGGTAATCAAATGAGTCAGTCCCAAATGACTTTGGTGAATATAATTTTTGCTAAAAGCCCACAACAATAGTTCTTAAAATTTTATTTTACATAAATAAAGCAAAAATTAAAGAAAGAACATTTCCAGGGAAGTTAACATTACTACTTTTCACAAGCAGTCTATTTGGTTATAGACATTTTTTTTAATGTTAAAAAGAACAGGTGCCGGGTGTGGTGGCTCACAGTTGTAATCCCAACACTTTGGGAGGCTGAGGCAGACAGGATCACCTGAGGTCAGGAGTTTGAGACCAGCCTGGCCAACATGGTGAAACCCCATCTCTACTAAAAAAAATACAAAAAATTAGCTAGGTGAGGTGGCAGGTGCCTATAATCCCAGCTACTTGGGAGGCTGAGGCAGGAGAATCATTTGAACCTGGGGGGCAGAGGTTGCAGTGAGCCAAGATCACACCACCACACTCCAGACTGGACAACAGAGCGAGACTCCGTCTCAAAACAACAAAATACTAATAATTAAAAAACAAGAATAGGGAGGCCGAAGTGGGAAGATCACTTGAGCCCAGGAGTTCTAGACCAGCCTGGGCAAAACAGGGAGACCCCCATCTCTATTTAAAAAGACAAACACAAAAACAAAAAACCATTGCTTTATAGTCAAACCTCATATAAAAACTTAACACTAAAGCTCATCAAATGTTACTCTTATATAGGTGTAGTATATGTCAATTATACTTGAATAAGGCTTAAAAAATAGTTCTAGGTTTGCATCTTTAAAAATGTTAATAAAGATAGAAAATACCTATCAAATCAATAGTATAAAATGTTATGCATTAAGATTATTTCAAGGGGTTTCAACTTTACCTTGAAAGATGAGTAGTATCTTATTAGGCAAGAGATCTTTCTAGGCCAGGAAATGCCAAGGTTTCAAAATGAAATGAGGTGTGTTGAGGGCAATGATCATATAAAAACCAGGTCACAGTCTACTGGCAGGAAGAGCTAGACTAGGGAGTCTATAAATATTACCCTGTAACCTTGAAGACCCACTGCATGTTTCTGAGACATCTCAGAAAACACTGAACAAACAGCAGCAACAGACACTGGAGTCTGGAAGTGATATGCAGACACCAGAGTCTAGACTAATGTGGGGACAGAGAGAACTGAAAGGGAGACATTTTAAAGGATTTGGTAACAAACAGGTATGAGATCACAACATTACAACGGATCCTGGAACCTACCTGAGTAAGCTCATAGGCTCTGTAAGCCAAAAGTGATGTAATTCGATTGGCATTCTTTGACACGTGACATTCATGCTTTGGTGTGGGGTCCAAAGCACTCTTATTTAACATAGATTCCAAACTTTTTACACCCATGGGGTCATATATACTCTTTATTTTACCCTAAAATAGAGAAAACCTTTTAAGTGTCTACCTAAACCTAATTGTTGACTATATAACATTAATATTATGAAATACTTCTTTGAATATAGATCAACTATCCCAACCATTTTTTCCCTTTAATATCTCACAGAACAGCTGGGCGCGGTGACTCAGGCCTGTAATCCCAGCACTTTGGGAGGCCAAGGCAGGCGGATCACCTGAGGTCAGGAGTTCGAGACCAGCCTGGCCAACATGGCGAAACCGTCTCTACTAAAAATACAAAAATTAGCAGTGCATGGTGGCGCACGCTTTTAATCCCAGCTACTCAGGAAGCTATGGCAGGCAGAACTGCTTGAACCTGGGAGGCGGAGGTTGCAGTGAGCCAAGATTGTGCCACTGCACTCCAGCCTGTGTGACAGAGTGAGACTCCGTCTCCAAAAAATAAATAAAATAATATCTCATAGAACACTTTTACCAAATTTGAAGCAGTAAGAAAAAGCTAATCACTAAAAGAAAAAAAAAAAATCATTTGAACTTGTTTAATAACAAGTAAATAGAAACTCCATTCATAATACTCTTCACTAATATAAATCATATTACCAACATATTACTCTCTACATTCCTTTCTTTGGAAAGGAAAACAAACTCTTAAGTACGGTTAGCTTAGCTCAAAGATGGCAAATAGGCCAGGCGCAGTGGCTCATGCCTGTAATCCCAGCACTTTGGGAGGCTGACGCGGGTGGATCACGAAGTCAGGAGATCGAGACCATCCTGGCTAACACGGTGAAAACCCGTCTCTACTAAAAATACAAAAAATTAGCCGGGCTTGGTGGCGGGCACTTGTAGTCCCAGCTACTTGGGAGGTTGAAGCAGGAGAATGGCATGAACTCGGGAGGCGGAGCTTGCAGTGAGCCAAGATGGCGCCACTGCACTCCATCCAGCCTGGGCAACAGAGCGAGACTCCATCTCAAAAAACCAAAAAACAAAAAACAACACACACACAAAAAAAGATGGCAAATAAACCATTTTCAAAAGTATCTTTAAGTACCAAACACTAACAAGCATGAACTTTTAAACAATCTCCTAAAAACAGCATCATCTAAAAATTAAAATCCAAATCAAGTGTAGTTTTTCATACATGAAGTGTGTAAGTTTAAATTACCTTCATTATTTTAAAAATAACAACATCACCCATTGCCCCCGTGTCCAAAGGATTCGCTTGTAATAAATCAGCATACCTAGAAAGATAGACACCTAGAAAAGACGGAAAAATTAAGGAAACTGATTATATTTTTCAAAATCACTAGGACTAAAATAAGACATTTTTAAGAAGTTATCCTTCATCAATTTGAGGTGTTCAAAAATCAGAAACAAAAGATAAAACTGATCTTACATTTCAGAACCTATGACTAGTCTTTTTCTGGGAACATAATAAAGCATGAATTTAATAACAACTGCAGTGAAATTACGAGACAATGTATTTTTAGACAGCAACTTAGTAGTAGATATTTATATTTAAAAAGAAAAAAGATTACCCATGGAAGGACTGCCAAGAATTGTTATTTTGGACTGACCCACATGTAATCCTTTTTCACATATGGTTTGAACCTAAATTTAAAAAAAAATACTTCATCTTGCAGTCATAACAACATTTAAAACATGAAAAAATAATTTTATAAACTTGGTTTAAATAAAAACAAAGCTTCTTAACTATGTATCATTCTAGATCACAGAAATCTTATATATTTGCCACTTTATAAATATTAATGTAAAACTGACTTACACTTCTCAAAGTAACCATATCTAGAATCCATTTTTCTTCATTTTAATTTTTTTAGAGATAGGGTCTCCCTCTGCCCTCTAGGCTGGAGTGCAGTGGCATGACCTTGAACTCCTGGGCTCAAGTGATCCTCTCACCTCAGCCTCCCAAGTAACTAGAACTACAAGTGCTCACCACCATGCCTGGCTACTTTTCAATCATTTTTCTTCATGCCAGGTGTGACAGATACTCTTAACTCCTGCCACTCAATATATATAACCAATTCTTTTCAAAGAGAATTAGAAACAGCAAAATATTATTCCACCTAAATATCTTCGATTAAAAGGGGAAAAAACAGACCAGGCATGGTGGCTCACGCCTGTAATACCAGCACTTTGGGAGGCCAAGGCAGGCAGATCACTTGAGGTCAGGAGTTCAAGACCAGCCTGGCCAACATGGGGAAACCCCAACTCTACTAAAAACGCAAAAAAATTAGCCGGGTGCGGTGGCGTGTCCTGTAATCCCAGCTACTCGGGAGGCTGAGGCACAAGAATCACTTGTATCTGGGAGAAGGAGGTTGCAGTGAGTGAGCCGCGATCACACCATTTAACTCCAGCCTGAGCAACAGAGTGAGACTCCATCTCAAAAAAAAAAAAAAAAAAAAAAGGAAAAATGGTTCCAGGCACATAGAATCAACAATATAGAAGATAATCTCACATATAATCAACAATATAGAAGACAGTCTTCTTAATAAAGAAAAAAGGCCAGGCGCGGTGGCTCACACCTGTAATCCCAGCACTTTGGGAGGCCGAGGTGGGTGGATCATGAGGTCAGGAGTTCAAGACCAGCCTGGCCCACATGGTGATACCCCGTCTCTACTAAAAATACAAAAATTAGCCAGGTGTGGGGGGGTGTTTCTGTAACCCCATGTACTTGGGAGGCTGAGGCAGGAGAATCGCTTGAACTCAGGAGACAGAGGTCGCAGTGAGCCAAGATCACGCCACTGCACTCCAGCCTGGGTGACAGAGCAAGACTCCATCTCAGAAAAAAATAAATAAATAAACAGAAAAGTATTATTATCAAGCACATTCTAGGGGAAGAAAATAGGACTGGTCAGAGAAAAAACTGAGTACATTTGAAAAACAAATTACAAACAATAAACATTTTGCCCCATTAAATCATGTATTCCACTTATATATCAAAAAAGTCTGTAATTGTAAAGAATACTGTTGAATAATCACAAAATTAGTAACTTACAATGGAAACATCCCCAAATTGTTTTTTATAAAATGCGTTAACTCACCTGGTATCGATCAACCATCAGAAATGCATAGGATTCTGAAAGTTCCTTATCTAAACGACCATCAAACTTCAGTTCTCTTCGCTTTTCTGTAAACTAAATGAAATTAAAACTATAACAACTACTTAGCATGTGATTATGTTTTTCAAGCTACAAGTTTTATTTTTTTTTCCAAGAAATCTCACACCTACCAAAATGGAAAAATAATCTCTATCTCTCTATACTCTCTGTCCTTCAGTTTTTCCCCTATTTTAACTGGCTCTTTATATATAATATTAATATAGTCAAATAAACATCTAATGCTCACCAATCTTTAAATTTATCTTATAATTTTACCACATTCCAACTCTCCCATAGATTATAAATTCATGCTTTAATTATCTTTGTATCTTCCATTTTACTTAACATGGTACACTGCATCCAACAGGTGGTTTAATAAATCTGCTGAATGACCAACTTCTAGATTATAAACTCAATTAGGACAAGAAAAATGCTTCTTTTCTCTGTAACTGTATTCTCAATGCCAAGCACATAAGATGTGCTCCATACATATTTATAGGATGGAAGAGTGACTTTTTCTAACTAGTTGGAACTATAAGTTATCCTAAACCACTGGCTTTCCTATCTATAAAATAGATATGCATTTAAAATATAAAATAGCTAACATTTTATATTCAGGCTATTACTGCTCTTTAATAACTAATTTATCTTCAGACTAAATTTTCATATGAAATTAACAAATAATCGCTACCATACCATGAAACCACATCAATTCAAACTACTAAGATTTTAATTTTCTCTGGGATTCAGTGCCCTTTAGGGAACCTTTCAAAATTAAATCCTGGTACCACTTGGTTAACCAACTTGCAAAAATAAAAAATTCGTATTTCAGGTCCATCGGAAATCATTATGCATCAAATATTTCAAAACATCTATACATTCTGGCTTTTCCTAAATCAAAACTCAAATATTCTAATTTGTACATGAAACTTAAGTTCACTGTCTAACATGCTCAATTATTCTTCTTTGTTTGAACTTTTTCACTAAGAATATGTACTAATGATAAAATCCTAATATAGCCACCAGGCAATAATTGTGGAAAAAATGAAGCATGTCCTAAAAACAAACACACCCATATATTTGACTTCATTAATTACCTTCCAATTTAGGCATTTAATTAACATGTACAATACTCAAAGAGCAAAAAGCCCTACTAATTCACAATTTATTTATTTACTTATTTATCTGAGACAGAGTTCTTGTTCTATCACCCAGGCTTGAGTGCAGTGGCGCGATCTCAGCTCACTGCAACCTCACGGGTTCAAGCAATTCTCCTGCCTCACCCTCCCAAGAAGCTGGGATTACAGGCATGTGCCACCACGCCTAGCTAATTTTCGTAGAGACGGGTTTTGCCACGTTGGCCAGGCTGGTCTCAAACCCCTGGCCTCAAGCGACCCGTCCACCTCGGCCTCCCAAAGTGCTGGGATTACAGGCATGAGCCACCATGCTCAGCTGAATTTACAATTGAACCATTAGCTAGTAAGCTATCTCTACACTTAAGATTTTCAGTTAAAAAGTTATTTTACATAATTGCATATTAGTAACAATTTAACACAGCAGATAAATGTAATGCTACAGCAACATCTGGTGGAAAAAAGAGATGTCATTTAAAACTTGTTTTCCCAATTAGGCAGGTGCAGTGGCACATGACTGTAATCCCAGCTACTTTGGAGGCTGAGGCAGGAGAACTGCTTGAACCAGGGAGGCAGAGGCTGTAGTGAGCCGAGATCGCGCCACTGTACTCCAGCCTGGGCAACAACAGTGAAACTCCGTCTCCAAAAAAAAAAAAAAAAAAAAAAAAACTTGTTTTCCCTTTGTAATTTGGTTTTCCTAAAAATTTTAGTATTTCTAGAGAACATTTTTTTCCCAGGCTGTTAACTGGTTCTGAAAACAATCTTACAGTAAGTATAATTTAAAACATACCTCCTTTTCCAAAAGCTCATTGTGTACCAAGCAAGCACGTCTGTAGTTAAAATTTGTTACTGAGGTTGGTTCAAGGTAAGAAGAATGGAGAATATTTACAACATCTTCAAATTCTCGAGAGCCTGGAGTTAATGGCTGGAAAAGTGCTAAAATAAAAAAACAAACATTTAAAATGTTTAACATTACTCCATCTTAAATATAGCTTTTTATATTTTTGTGGGTTAATGTAACTTTAAATACCATGAAAAAAGGCATCAAGGCTATCTTACTTTGTGATACGCAAAAGAGATACTTATTAACTCATTGAAAAAAAATGTAAAACTAGTTGCCTACATACACCAGTTCCTTCAACAATGAGGATCTGGCATTACATACATAGACAAGGAAGGTGCAATTTTGCAAACCTTAGGCATGCTATATTAGGCAACCTAAATTGCTTAAAGACTCTTAAAAGAACCTGTGTTTATACTCAACTTAGCTCCTATTTTATGTTACACTGAAGTATGTCTCAGACTGTGTATTTCAGCAAACTACCTATACCATGTATGAGACCATAAAAGCATTTAAGACGTTATGTGAAGTAACAAAATATGCTGTTACTGACACACTGGTCTTTAAGTTTAAAAAAAAAAAAAAAAAAAAAAAGCTTGGTGGCTCATGCTTGTAATTCCAGCTCTTTGGGAGGCCAAGGCAGCAAGACTGCTTGAGCTCAGGAGTTCCAGAGCAGCCTGGGCAACACAGTGAGACCCTGTCTCTACAAACCATTAAAAAAAAAAAAAAATTAGCCAGGCATGGTGGTGCATGCCTGTAGTACCAGCTACTTGGGAGGCTGAGGCAGGAGGATCCTTTGAGCCCAGGAGTTCAAGGCTGCAGTGAGCCACGTTCTCCCACCGCACTCCAGTCTGGGAGTGAGAGAGAGACCCTGTCTCAAAAATAAAAATAAAAAATAAAATGCTGCACTCACGTGGCTTCTTGTATAATCCACAAAAAGTAGTAGAACATTTATTATGACAACTTAGTAAAATGAAAACATGTGGGGCTTTAGAGTCAAAGCTGGACACAAATACCAGACCTAGCATTACTGGCTTGGAGTAAAATGCAGGTAAATAAATTACTTATATAGCTCAGCTCTCTCATATGTAAAATGGCAAACTCCAGCTACTCTAATAACCACTATATGCCACATGCCACACTAGACAACACGTGGAAAAAGCTCTAAGCATAGCATCTGACGCATAGTAGGACATTGTTTGTTTTGAGATGGAGTCTCGCTCTGTCACCCAGGCTGGAGTGCAGTGACACAATCTTGGCTCACTGCAAGCTCCGCCTCCAAGGTACACACCATTCTCCTGCCTCAGCCTCCCAAGTAGCTGGGACTACAGGCACCCACCACCACACCCGGCTAATTTTTGTGTGTGTGTGTTTTTAGTAGAGACGGGGTTTCACTGTGTTAGCCAGGATGGTCTCGATCTCCTGACCTCGTGATCCACCTGCCTCGGCCTCCCAAAGTGCTGAGATTCAGGCATGAGCCACCGTGCCCAGCCAGGACATTTAAGTTTTTATCCTCCACATCCCCAACCATTCTACATCCCACTGAATTTTTTTTTTTTTTGAGATGGAGTTTCGCTCTTGTTGCCCAGGCTGAAGTGCAGTGGCACGATTTTGGTTCACTGCAACCTCCGCGCCTCCCAGGTTCAAGCGATTCTCCTGCCTCAGTCTTCCAACTAGCTGGGATTACAGATGCCTGCTACCACGCCCAGCTAATTTTTAGATTTTTAGTAGATATGGGGTTTCACCATGTTGGCCAGGCTGGTCTCGAACCCCTGACCTCAGGTAATCCACCTGCCTCGGCCTCCCAAAGTGCTGGGATTACGGGCATGAGCCACCGTGCCCGGTCCCCACTTAATTTTTAAAACATTTAAATCAACTATGCAATTAGTTCTTGAGAATTACTGGTCTAGTAACCTCAAATTTCCATCTTATGCACAAAATACTTTAATTTACTAATACACCTAAAAGTCTATACATATATATATTTCCCCAAATCAAAAAGGAACCACTTTTCACTGTAGAGAGAACTACTCATAGAAACTATGTTATTCTCTATTACCTTAATTTCTTTCAAGACACTATTTAATAAGGGTCAAGAATGTAACAGTCAAAACAGGTCACTACTGAAAACATAATGTTCCACTTGTACATACTCCTAAAGGTAACAGATGCAGCGAACCGTTATCTTTTTTATACATGATTATTAGACTTTAAAAGACATGTCAAATGACAGAGCCATTCATCCATTCATTTACCAAAGCATGTATATATTACATAAGTGTCTGTAAAAACGTAGTTTTCAATGGCACAATGTGTACAAACAAATGGTTACCACTATTTTCGAACTGTGCACGAAAAAAATAGTCAACAGTTATAGCAATACAATTAAAAAATAAACAGGAGTAAGCTCAAACAAGTACTCAAATAGAACAAGACTACTCAACACAAAGTGTCCTATAATCAAACTTGTAGCAGACGAATATGCTCGGTAACCTATTGATTGTAAGCTCCATGAGAGCAGGAACCTGCCTTGCTCATTACTCGTGTTTCCCACATCCCAGTAGCTAGACCTGTGAGTGCCAGCCCTAAATATATTAAATAGTCAAGAAAATGAGAAATTTTGTCAAGAGCTTTAAAAATGGTAACAATATATTCTACTACTAAATGACTGTGATTTAAAATTGACTCTTTCACAAATTCAACAATTCAGTAATATACGAAACACAAATGAAAGCTCAGAAAAGAGGGTAGAAGGCATATATTGTCTTCATTCAAACCTGTGTTATGGAACGTAGGACAAAAACATCTTATCTTTGTGATAATTGTCCCCAATTAAACTGTGAAAAACTTGGCAAGGAAAGCAGCATGTGGAGGTCTTTATAGGCTTTCACAACCAAAGTGGGCCAAGCATGATTTTAAAAGTTGGGTTATGATTTTAAAAGTTGGGTTTTACACGATTTTGTTTCTAAACAAAATGACTTCAGATATATAAAATGTACACAAAAAAAGGTATCACATGGCTGCCAATTTCTATGA